>NC_000008.11:143266168-143568246 GCF_000001405.40 Homo sapiens | reverse complement strand
CTGGCCCGCTGTGACCACGCCTTTTGCTGGGGCCTGCTGGAGGAGTTGGTCACCGTGGCCCACTATGACAGCCCCGAGGCCCTGAGCCACCTCTGCTGCCGCCTGGTCAGTAGGGGAAGCAAGGTGACCGCAAGGGGGTATGATCAGCAGCCCACTTGTTCCAGGGTTCACCGGGGCCCCCAACCGTTTCTACTGCAGCCAAACCAGATAGGCTACTGGTGGGGCAAGTCCAAGGTCTCCGACCATGCCACCTGCCCTGGGGGCTCCCCTGGAACCCCGGCCCCTGGATTCAGCTCTGCAGCCTCCTCCGCACTCAGGATCAGCCCTCCTGTCCTGCCACTAGCCCTTTTGTCCCCAGGTTCAGCGATACCCAGGCCACGTGCCCAACTTCCTGAGCCAGACCCAGGGCTACCTGCGGAGTCCACAGGACCCCCTGCGCCGGGCAGCCGCCGTGCTTATAGGTGAGGCCGCCCGGGGTCACACTGCCCCTGGCACCGGGGCTTTGGGAGCTGGGCCAGCCTCCCCCTGGGGGGCTGTGGGGCCTGCACTCATGCATCTGCTGTGGTCCAGGCTTCCTTGTCCACCACGCCAGCCCCGGCTGTGTCAACCAGGACCTGCTGGACTCCCTGTTCCAGGGTGAGGCCCCACCTTGCCAGGGGATGGTGTCCTGGAGACGTGGCTGGTGCTAGGGCGGAGTGGACGGGAGCGGTGGGTGGAGGGCCAGGGGCCCGGGCACTCGGCCCTCCTGGGCTCCCCAGCCTGAGCCGCGATCTCCTCGCAGACCTAGGGCGACTGCAGAGCGACCCCAAGCCGGCTGTGGCCGCGGCAGCGCACGTGTCCGCTCAGCAGGTGGCGATGCTGGCCCGTGCCCGGGGCTGCCCCCGCGGGCCCCGCCTTCTCCGCATCGCCCCGCGCCCCGCCCGGCCCCCACCAGTCTTCGCCGACAGCCCCTTCCAGCGCCGGAGCGTCGCGGGCCGCTGGGGCTGCTCCGGACCCCGCCGAGCCTGAGGCTCGGGGCTGGGGCCCGAGGGCCAGGGTCCGACTCGGGCACCCCACGCGCATAGCAGCCTGTCCCCGCCCTGACGGAGGGGCTCCCTGGGCCTGGTGCTGGACGCCAATGCCCTCCCCCACCCCCCACCCCCGTGACCCCTCTTCAGGCACCCACCACCCTGATGGTGACAGAGGGGGACAGCCAGCACCCATCTGTCCCCGTCAGGGCTCTTGTTCTCACAGCCCCCTGGAGCATGCCCCATGCCCCAACCTTGGGCCTGGCTCCTGGCCCAGATGGCACCTGGCCTCTTGAGTCTGCTGGGGGACCCCAAAGTTGGTGGTCCCATAGCCTGCCCTCCTGGGTCTCCACCTCATGCCTGGACAGGACGCTGTGGCCTGTCCGGGCCTTGGCCAGCCCTGCAGCTGCACCCCCGATCCTCATCCCTCACCCCATTCCCTGCCAGCATCCTAAGGCTCCTGGCGGGCATCCTCTCTGCTCAAAATTATTGACCTGTCTCCCGGCCACACCTGCTGTGCCCTCTCAGCCAGGCCATCATCACCCCCTGTTCATTATGTCAGGCCTCATGGGAGCCTGGCCTTCTCCAGAAGCTGGCCCCGGCGTCCTCCCAAGCTGGACCACGTAGGCCCCAGATCACACCTGGGGGTCCAGATGTAGGGGTCCTGTGTGCACGCCCAATCAGACCGAGCACTTGTGACACTACCCCAACACCTCTCCCAGGGCTGAATGAGGAACGCGCCACTGGACACATGAGGAAGAGGCTGCTCTGGGAGCTACTGATGCTGTGACCTCACCTCTCTGGCTTTGGGCGGCAGGTCCCTGCACCTAGGATGCCTGCCTGGAAATGTCCTTGCATTCGTGGCCTCCTTCACAGCCTCCTCCTCAGAGAAGCCTCTGCGAGTGCACAGGGAGTGTGTGCAGCCTTGTGAAGGGCTGGGACCACTTGCCCAGACTGGGGCCCCTCAGGCACAGGCGTGGGGTCCTACTGACCTGTCTCCCCAGCTCCCACACAGAAAGCATCTAAAATAAACACACGTGGATGGAAAGCGTTGGGCATCTGTTTTGAGTGTGGTTATGGGAGCTGACCCTGGTCCAAGATCTGGCTCAGGCTGGGGTAATAGGCCATAGTCCCTGATATGGCCCCAGGTAGAGTCAGTTTGGCAGCAGGGTTAAAGGTCAGGCAGGCTCCAGGCACAGGCTATGGCCAGGTCAGGTTGGGTTAACCCTAAGACAGAGAAGCTGCGCTCTGGTCTAACAGGCATGGAATGGATGGGGTTAGAGCTGTCAGCACCGGGGTGAGTGTCTCTTTGCAGGTCATATGCAGGAAGCTGAGGATCAGGTGAAGGGCCCGGGTCTTCGTGGAGTCAGGGGCAAGGTTTGGTGGATGAGTTTGGAGCCTCCACAGCAGATACCAAAACGGGATTCAACATACCAGAAACAGATAGAGAGAAAGAGGCCAGAGAGGCCAGAGGCCACCAGATGCCCAGTGAAGGTCAGATAGACGGAAGCCCCATGGACGTCCGTGCTAGCCTTCAGGAAGCTCTCAAACCAGCCATCTGTCCGAGGTCCGCACCTCCCAGGACGGGCTAGGAGCACCCATGGGGGGCACACCCTCGGCACTGGCGGGGACGGGTTTCGGGACACAGCCACATGGATCGTCTCAGTAGCAGCCCCAAAGAGGGAAGCAAGCCCGGCCTCCTTGCTCACCTTGCAACCAGGAGCCAGGCCCCAGGGCAAGCATGTGCTGCCCACCTAGCACAGGCTTGCCCACACCCCACAGCACGCTGGACAGTCTGGTGGGCAAACCCAACAGTGATGCCACGCTCACCCCAGATGGGGGCTGAGGCGGGGAGCTGGCTGTGGTGGGCAGGCAGCACCCCTGCGCTCCTCCCCCTCCCTCATGGTGCCCGGGAGAGTCCGCGCCGTCCTGCGGCAGGCTGTGTGCAGCGCAGGCGGGCTTGCCCCATACAGCTCCCTGTTAGGAGTGTGTCCAGCCCCGCCTTGCTCTGGCACTGCCCAGAACCTGGTTGCCCTGCCAGGAGTGAGATTCATGCAAAGTCCACATGGCCTCTAGAGTGTGACTCTTCCCTGCTGGAATTCCTGGGAGGCTCCAGGTGGCACAGTGGGCTGGTCCCTCCATGGGGATGCTGTGTCCCCAGGGTCCATCAGATCCACCTGCAGAGAGCCCACCCCAGGGCAAATATTCCAACGGGGTCTAAGATTGGAGGGCAAGAGGGCAGGTGCACCCTGACACTCATTCCCTTTCCACCTCCAGCCAGTGGGCCGGGACAGTCTTGGCCTGGATGCCCAAACAATCTCTAACGGGCCATGTTGCCAGAGAGCTCATTGGTGGTGCAGCTCTCAAGATGGGGCTCAGGTGTGGCCTGTCACATGGCATGGCCCTGCCGGTCTCAGGGCCCCGAGGCTGTGCCTTGTGTGCCTGCCTTTCCAAATGCTTTCTAGGACCCGGGCTACTCCCACCCCACTCACCCTTTCAAGTCACCCGAAAGGGTTTTCCAAGGAGGACCATGAGTCTGAGAGGCGTTGAGTTTGTTCCTACACTGTGGGTAGGAGTGTCTAGGAGATTCTGTAACTTGGATCTGAGATACTGGAGTTTGTTTTGTCTCCTGTTTCAATGTTAATGTCACTATTCATAGCAATACCCCATCTCTACAAAAAATGAAAAAATTAGCCAGGACTGGTGGTATGTGCCTATCGTCCAGCTACTCAGCAGGCTGAGGCGGGAGAATTCCTTGAGCTCAGGAGATCGAGGCTGCTGTGAACCATGATTGTCCCACTACACAGCCTGGGTGACATTGCAGGACCCTGTCTCTTTAAAAAAAAAAAAAAAAAAAAGGCCAGGCGCGGTGGCTCACGCCTGTAAACCCAGCACTTTGGGAGGCGGAGGCAGGTGGATCACGAGGTCAGGAGACCGAGACCATCCTGGCTGACACGGTGAAACCCCTGCAGTGAGCCGAGATGGCGCCACTGCACTCCAGCCTGGGCGACAGAGCGAGACTCCATCTCAAAAAAAAAAAAAAAGTCTGCTGGGTGCGGTGGCTCACACCTGTAATCCCAGCACTTCGGGAGGCCAAGGTGGGTGGATCACAAGGTCAAGAGATCGAGACCATCCTGGCCAACATGGAGAAACCCCGTCTCCAGTAAAAATGCAAAAATTAGCTGGGTGTGGTGGTGTGCTCCTGTAGCCTCAGCCACTCGGGAGGCTGAGGCAGGAGAATTGTGGGAGGTGGAGGTTGCAGTGAGCCGAGATCACGCTACTGCACTCCAGCCTGGCGACAGAGAGACTCCGTCTCAAAAAAAAAAAAAAAAAAAAAAAAAAAAGTCACTGTTGGGCCTGGATACCAGGTTTTCTGGTGGATTTAATGTCCCAGTTGTAGCCAAATCCACTGTTCCTTCTCTTTTGCAAGCTCTGCAAGTTGTGTGGCCATTGTGTGCCCTGACAGAAGTGGGGAAGGCTGGCGACCATGTGCAGGTAGACTGGTCCCCACCAAGGAAGGTTGTCCACTCTCCCAGGAACAATCACTCCCCGGCCACGTCAAGTGTTGCGTGTCCCTCCCTGGACGTGGAGGCCACAGCTGCTGAGCTCCTGCAAGTAAGCAACTGGATGTGACCCTGGACCTGCTTAATTCCCACAGGCCGGAGACCTCCTCTCTCCAGGCTCTTAGCTCAGGCAAGCAGATGTGGGTGAAATGTACCAAAGGTCAGTTTCTTTAGTACTGCTTCCCCAGGAACCTCCTGTGTGGCCCCAGGAGGGCAGGGCCTGTCATCAGTCACACCTGCACCCCTAAAGCCCCTGTGGGCCGAGGATGGCTACACCCTTCAGCACATGCCTCAAGCTCCCTGAAGCAGAGGTTCCTGCCATGCCTCAGCCACGGACACGCCTGGTGGAACTGTCTCACCTAAATCGCCCTGCCCTTCCTCACAGGTAGAGAAACACACAGGCAGGGGTGGGCAGGGCCATGGGCCCATTACTCTAGAGAGCGGCCAAGCCCAGCATGGGGCTCCCCTTAGCTCCAGGGTGCAAAAGAAGCCGGGCAATGCAGACATCACCTGCACTTGGCCCTGATGTCCCTCCTGATCATGCATGGGTACTGTCCCCACCCCTACCCACCCTACCCCAGATCCAGGACCCCTCAAAAACTCTGCTACCAGCCTTTCCTTCGTATGCCACCTTTATTGTGTTTCCCCAACTCCTGGGCCCCATGGTAGACTGGCCACATGGCTACTGGGCTCCTGGCCTTCCTAGGGCTAGCAGCTGGTGGGCAAACACTCTGCCCTGCTGGAGAGCTGCCAGGCCATGCCCGGGCACAGGCTAGTGGGGCTCCTGGCTCAGTCCTGATAGCAGTGCCAGGGAGGCGTAGAGTGCACACATGCGGCCCTGGGCCTGCGGCTCCCAGCACACGTGGGGAGTGTCCTCCCCCAGCTCTAGGCCACACTCGTCCAGCAAGACCCAGGCCGGTGCTCCTTCGCCCCAGCTGTTCCCCAGGAGCCCGGGGGGCAGGGACATGGTGCTGCGCTCCTGCCACGGGGCACTCTGCTCCAAGAGGCTGCCCACCTGCCAAGACAGGGCAGGAGTGAGTCAGATGGGGAAATCTGGGCATCTTGTGCCTGCCCATACCACCCCTTCCCAGGTGCCACAGGGCCCCTTCCACTGGCTCAGCCCATCCTCCTGCAGCCCGAACCCAACCCTCTCACCAGCTCGAGCGGCCCCAACAGGGTCTGCGACTCCAGCGCCTCCGCCAGCAGCTTGTGCTGCGTTTCACTCAGCACTGGGAGAGAGTCAGGTAAAAGGGGGTTTCTGAACGCCCACCGGGAAAGCCCACCTCCCTCCCTCCCACCCGCCACCTGCCCCCAGCGGCCGCTCACTGGTCAGTGCCCCCAGCAGGTAGACAACAGGGATAGCGAGTTCCGGCACCAGCATTCCGGAGGACAACACCAGGCACTCCAGGACAGCACCTGCTGGACCGTCCAGGGGCTCCACCGGCCCAAGGCTCTGGCCCTGCTCCAGCTGTGGGCACGGGAAGGGCAGGTGAGTCTGGCTGGCTGGGCAGGCCTTGTGTGCCCCGGGCACCCTCCCCCGCTCACCGCCTCCTCCAAGGCTCGCAGGGCCAGCTGGTCCCGCAGCACCCCCTCCAGGCCCTCCAGCAGCAGCTGGCACAGCTCTCTGTCCAAAAGCTCCAGTTCCTTGGAGATGGTCTCCACCTCTGCCCGTAGGCCCTGGAAGTCTTCAGTGAACGCCCCCTCCGCAGGGACCCCATCTGTAGGGACAGAAGGGCTGGCACTGCCCAGGTGCTTACAGGGCCCTGGAAAGCCTCGGTCAGGACAGGCAGACCCCAGGGGGCAGGAGAGCCCACCAAAGGTCCCCGGGGCGGTCAGGAGGGCACTGACCTGTCAGGAAGTTGTGGAGGCACCTCATCATGGAGAGGCCAGAGGGCAGCTGTGGCCAGGCGCCTTCGCTCGTGGAACGCTTGTGGCCTGGGCAGGGGCATGGGAGGGCAGGGCTGGTCAGTGCCGGGGAAGGGTGTCTGAGCCAGAGAGGGCTGAGGCCTTCCCCAGGCCGTCACAGCCCCGCTCACCACTGCCAACACTGGCAGCCCAGGGCAGGAAGGGAGGCTGGGGAGGCCCAGGGTCAGCTGTCCTGTGTTGCCCCTTGTGTGTGTATGGGGGGTGCCCACCGCCTCAGGGGGCTGCCCGGCCTCCCTGTGCCCTGAGAACATGAGGAGAAGGCCTCAACTGCCCAGGGAGTGTGCTTTTCCCACCGGACACCCCATGCTGGGGGCTCTCGGCTCTCACCTGTCGCGGGTGGCTGGAAGGTCCTCTGCTTCTTATCCGGGAAGAGAAGGACGTCTGGCAGCCAGACGGGAGCAGACAGGGACAGGCATGTCACCTAGATCCCAGCATCCCCTCCCCTCCCCTACTAGGAGCTCCCCTGTCCAGCTCAGGCCCTGCCCAATCACCCACACACCAGAGCACAGGACCTCAGCCACCTGCCAGACACAGGACGTTGTTCAGCCAGGGGCCCACGGCAGCCCAAGCTGGCGGGTAGCTCTCCCCAGGCCTCCCTGTTTCTCTGCCAGGGCCTGGGCCCGAGACACCCCCAACTCCAGCTCACCCAAGTCAGAGTCAATAACCAGCTGGGCCACCCGGAATGCGAGGGTGCTGCCTGAGGGGATGGTGACCGTCTTCTTCTGGCTCAGATGGCCCTGGCCCTCACCCTGAGGCATGGAGATGGGCTCGGGGCTGGGCCCTGGCACCGGGCCGTGGGGTGCGGGTGCGGGCCGGGTGCCGGGGGCAGGCCCGCCGCCAGGTGACTTCGGCTCCGCAGCCAAGCGCAGGGCTGGGAGCTGCTCCGAGGGGCCTTGGCGGAGCCCAGCCCGCCGCCTCCGTCACCCGCCGCCGCATGCCCACGTGGGGGGCCAGGCGTGGCCCGGGGCTGGCTACACACCTGCAAGCACGTGGCTCCGGGCAGGGAAAACCGGCCCGAGCCCTCCCGCTTGTGGGTGCGCGTGACTTCCACCTCCTTCTGTGTCTGCAGCACCTCAGTCACCACGTACACGTTGTCCCCGCGGCTGCGCAGCTGCTGCAGGACTTTGTGTTCTGGCTGCCGCAGGTGCCTGTGTCCGAGGAGCAGCAAAGCTCGCTGGGCCGCAGCCCCTGAAGGCGTCTTCCCTCCCCTGACAGCCCCACGCCACCGGGGGAGGTGGTGCAGAGGGGCCCTCCAGAGGTCTGTGGGTGCCGGGGCACCGGCAGCCTCTCCGTGTGCTCCCCACGGGGACGGGACCCCATGAGGAAAGGTGGACTCGGGGACTCCAAGTCCAGACTCGAGGTGCGGCCCCCTCACCTGGGCCCCCGTGTTCACACCACCCCTTGTCCTCACAGCAGCCTGGGGCTCAGTCCGGTCCTTAGGATCCAGTCCTGGCAGCGGAGGCCCCAGATGACCCCTGCAGCTTCCTTCCTGCAAGCTGGTTCCGGCCACAGCGCTCTTTTGCCTCTGGGACTTTCCTGATGCCCCAAGGTTGTGACCTTCCCAAGAGCAAGGCTGGGACCTGGCACAGTGGCTCACCCCTGTAATCCCAGCACTTTGGGAGGCCGAGGCAGGAGGACTGCTTGAGGCCAGGAGTTCAAGACCACCCTGGCCGAGATAGCAAAACCTCACCTCAAAAAATAATTTAAATAAATAAATAAATAAAAGCAGGGTTGCTTGGGGTAGGTGGGGCCCTGCCCTGCCCTGCCCTCTTCGGGCCCACCTCTCATGGAGCAGAGTCTGCCAGGTGTTAGGGTCCACACTCAGCGAGTACACATTCATTGAGGTGCTGGAGCTGTCAGACACCGCGGCCCCGCCTGCGATCTTTGCCTGTCCTGGGGCTGCCAGCTCCACGCTGCCCTGTATCTGCCCATCCATGGCATCGTAGAAGTGGAAGCTCCTGCCACGCTGCACGTCTAAAGCAAGGCCAGACCTGAGGCTGTGCCCAGCGCCCCGCCTCTCCCCCGCCCCCACCAGCCCTGTCCCAGCCCCAGGGCAGAGGGACCTTTGGAAAGGCCCCGGCCTCTGGAAGAGAGGCCCAGAGCTAGAGGCTGCAGAGCCCAGTGGATGGTTGGCCCCAGCCCGCTCCCCTCTCCCATCCAGCCTCCCTGGGGCTCTGCCTCAGCACCACATCAGGCACCTGGTTCCGCGGCATCCGGCTCCAGGATGTCCTTGATAGACAGGTTGACACACTTATAACGGGGTTTCCAGAACCATGAGCTTGAGGGCTTCCTAACCACCAGGCAGTAGGGCTGGAAGCCAGTGGAGCTCTGCAGGCTGGTCACAGGGATGAACTCCCCACCATGGTCCAGCTCCTGGACCACTCTCCGGACTACCCGCTCAAAGGCCGACCCCATGCTCCTGAGGAGGGGAAATGGGTCAGGCATTGTGCTCTCGGGGCGGGCGGGAGGGAGTGGGAGAAGGGTCAGTACTTGGATGTCTCCCATGATGGGGGACTCCTTCCCTCCAGAACAGCCCTGCCCAGCTCATCCTGGGATGCTCCCACTAGCAGAAAGCTTCTGTCCCCGGCCCTCCCCAACACAGAATTACAGTGTTCTCCCTGTTGTCTACGGTACCATGAGCACCTCCAGCCAGGGACAGTGAGGCCTGACGCCCAGACCTGCTCTAACACAGAGGGCTCTGTCCACTAGAATGGCTGCCTCTGGCTGGGAGGAAACAAGCTGTCACCTCCTGAGCGTGGTGCAGGGACCCACTGCAAAACCCAGCCAGAGTGTCACCAGGGACCCACTGCAAAACCCAGCCAGAGTGTCGCCCCACCCCAGCTGCGTCCTCCAGGGCCTTCTCTGTGCCTGGAGCTCCATGAGCCACCTGTCCAAGGCTGAGGCTTTGGGGGTCAGAGGCCATAGCGGGCCTCCGCTGGGATAGGGGGCACCTGGGCCACTGTGGAGGGGCTGCAGCTGCCCCAGGAAGCCTCTGAGTGCTGGGTCTGCTGAAAGTGGAGGCTGGGCCCAGAAGGCAGCTGGGGGCGGGAACAGCACCGGCCCGGGAACCTGGATGGCGGACCTGGGAGTCAAGCCCAAGCCCAGGTCCAAAGGCCGGGCCCCTGGGCTGGCCAGGGGCAGCCTTTCCCGAAGCCTGGAGCTTCCGCCCCCGTGTGCGGCGCGGGGCCTTCTGGGCGAACGCTGGGGCAGCAGGGCCAGCATCCCCCACCCGGGAGCCAGCGGCCGGCCCCACTCGGGAGCTCCAGCCAGGCCGGGGGAGGGGGCGGGGCGCAGCTCACCGTGACCGTCGGCGCCCCGAGGGTGGCGCGTCTGGCGCGTCTGCTCTCCCTGGGAGCCGTCCGGCGAGCAGGAGCTGGAGGTGCCCAGAGCTAAAAGTGAAACTGCAACCTGACGCAGGGCCCGCCCAGGACGCCCTCCCGGAACCGTCCCGGAGAGCCCGCCCCGGCCCCCTTCCTGCCCCCTCTTCCCGCCAGCCCGCCTGGAGCACCAGCCTCGCGCGTCCGGAGGAACCTTGGCTTGGCGCCCCATCCTGGTAGCCTCAAACTTCATAGCACTTTGTGGTTTTTCTTAAAACTCTGAGCCTGTGCCCGGGCGGATCACCTGAGGTCGGGAGTTCAAGACCAGACTGACCAACATGGTGAAACCCCGTCTCTACTAAAAATACAAAATTAGCCCGGCGTGGTGGCGCATGCCTGTGATCCCAGCTACCTGGGAGGCTGAGGCAAGAGAATCGCTTGAACCTGGGAGGTGTAGGTTGCAGTGAGCCGAGATCATGCCATTGTACTCCAGCCTGGGCGACAGAGTGAGACTCCGTCTCAAAAACAAACAAGCAAACAAACAACTTTGGGCCTGTGCCGAAGGGTCTGGGCAGATCTTCCAAAGATGTACAAAATGTAGAAATTGCCCTCAAGCAAATGCAAAGATGCTCAACACCCTTAGTCATCAAGGAAATGCAAATGGAATCCACAGAGAGATACTGCACACTGACAAAGATGGTCGTATTACTAAAGGTGAATAACCAGCGCGGGGGGCACGTGGAGTCACTGGAACATTTGTGCAATGCTGGTGGGAATGTCAACCCGTGCGGCCCTCTGGAATAAGCCTGGCAGCTCCTCCAAGAGTTACCGTGTGACCCAGCAATTCCACTCCTAGCTCCACCCACAGGAATTGAAAGCAAAGACGCAAACAGATGCCTGTGCACCAAAGTTCACGGCAGCATCCTTCGCCATAGTGGCAGCATCCGTCGTCACAGCGGCATCATCCTTCATCATAGCGGCAGCATCCGTCGTCACAGCGGCAGCATCCTTCGCCACAGCGGCAGCAGCTGTCGTCACAGCGGCATCATCCTTCGCCATAGCGGCAGCATCCTTCGCCAAAGCGGCAGCATCCTTCACCATAGCGGCAGCATCCTTCGCCATAGCGGCAGCATCCTTCGCCATAGCGGCAAGGTGGAAACCCTGTCCATCCACTGAGGCGTGCATAGACTAAACATGGCCAGTCCAGGCACTGGAATCCAGGCCGTAGAACGGCGCCCACGGTCAAAAGGAATGAGACCCTGATGCACTGGGCGACACAGACGGGCGACACAGACTTGGAGACATCATGCTAAGTGAAAAGCCAGGCACACGGAGCGGACGGCGTGATCCTGCTCACGTGATGTGTCCCGAATGGGCACGTCCAGAGGGAAGAAGGGAGATGGCGCTGCCGGTGCCCGGGACGGGGGTTGGGAGCGACGGTTGCTGGTTTGGGGTTTCTTTCTGGGGTGAGGAAGTGTTTTGATATTGGCCGTTGGTGATGTTTGCATACCTCTGAATATGCTAAGACCCACAGAATTGCACACTTTAAATGGATGAATTGTATGGTATGGGAATTACACAATTATGTCTCATTAAAGCAGTTATTTTAAAAATCTAGTGCCCAGTAGCAACACCTAGTCTCGGCACAGGCTCCCTCAGTGCCCTACTGACCTAAGTCATGGTGGGCCCAGGGCCATGGGCCCACCCCTGCACACGGTAGTCCTCCCACCCGGCCCTCCCAGCCGCTCCGCGGTTGTGGATGGGGCTACTTGGGCTTCGGCCCCACTCCTAGGCCTGACCACAGTGGGGACACAGTGGTGCCCTGCGGGTCCCTGCTGGTGCTGTCTCCTGGCTGTTTTGTGTATTTTTTGTTGTTTGTTTTGTTTTGTGTGAGGCAAGATCTCTCTGTCGCCCAGGCTGGAGTGCAGTGGCACAATCACCACTCACTGCAGCCTCGACCTCCTGGGCTCAAGTGATCCCCTCCTGTCAGTCTCCTGAGTAGCTGGGACTACAGGTGCTCAGCACCACACCTGGCAAAGTTTTCGTTTTTGTTTTGAGACTGAGTCTTGCTCTGTCACCAGGATGGAGTGCAGTGGCGTGATCTCAGCTCATTGCAACCTCTGCCTCCCAGGTTCAAGCGATTCTCCTGCCTCAGCCTCCCGAGTAGTTGGGACTACAGGCATGTACCACCACACCCGGCTAATTTTGTGTCTGTGTGTGAGAGACGGAGTGTTGCTCTTTTTTGCCCAGACTGGAGTGCAATGGCACAACCTCAGCTCATTGCAATCTCTGCCTCCCGGGCTCAAGCAATTCTCCTGTCTCACCCTCCCGAGTATCTTGGATTACAGGTGCCCGCCACCACGCCCAGCTAATTTTGTATTTTTAGTAGAGACAGGGTTTTACCATGTTGGCCAGGCTGGTCTCGATCTCTTGACCTTGCTATCCACCCGCCTTGGCCTTCCAAAGTGCTGGGATTACAGGCGTGAGTCACCGCACCTGGCTGTAAGTTTTTAAAATTATTTAATTTTCAGTAGAAAGGTCTCACTATGTTGCCCAGGCTGGTCTTGAACTTCTGAGCTCAAGTGATCCTCCCGCCTCAGCCTCCCAAAGTGCTGGGATTCCAGGGCTGAGCCACTACACTGGGCTTGGGTACTGTTTTGCAGACCAGGTGGGTCTAAGGTTTCATCTCAGGACACACTGCTGGGCAGAGCTGACCTTCCTCCGTGACCCCGGCAGGCAAGGAGCCCACACACTGCTGCCCCTGGAAGCCAGCGCCCTGGGGTGTGGCAGCCCGTCCCTGCTGGGTAACAGGGCCAGCACGTGCTGAGCTGTTGTGCTGCAGCCTCCATGGTGAAGATGGAAGGAGCCGGGCACACAGCATCCCTGCAAGGCCACAGGTGTTGGGGGTCGCTGCTCCCTGCCCTGTCCTAGCAGCCACTCCCGAGGGGTCAAGGTCCTGGCTGGGGCAGAGTTGGGCAAGGAGGATGCAGGCTCATTTGCTCACCCAGATCCTGCAGCCCAACCCTGAGCCCAGCTGGAGGTGTCCAGGGCAGGGATGTTGCGGCAGCCTGGGGCTCTGCACCCTCCACCCTTCACCGCCACATTCTGCCTCTTGGCCTTTACCTCCAAGAGCTCTGGGGCCACACCAGCCCCCCACCCTGCCTGGCTGACCTGGCCTGAGCCTCACCCTGAAGGCTCTCACACTCACTCATTCATCCAACAAATGTGTATTAGCACCTGCTGCTAGGTGATTTTCCAGCGATCCTGGGTTCTAGCAGCAAACAAGACAAGGTCTCTGCCCTGGTAGGTCTGAGGCCAGTATGCTGAAGGGGATTTCTGGTGGTGTGTGCGTTGGAATGCTGCAGCCACAAATAACTGGAAATTCAGATGCCAACAGAAGGAAACATTATCTTGTGTAATCAGAAACCCAGAACTGCTGTGTACCCCAGGCTGGACACAGGCAGGCCTGAGAGCTTTGGCTGGTGATGGGCACCTAGGGCAGGGGGTACCCAACTCGGCCTGGCGGGCTTCTAGCTCTGGTCCAGCTGGAGCCCATTAGCTGGGTGTGGGCCCAGAATCCTTGCTTATGGTAGCAGGAGGCTCCAGGAGCCTAAGAAGAGACTAACGCGTTTGTGCGCGTGTGTATGCACGTGCATGTTGTGTGGCTGTTGTGCGCGTGTGCATGCAGGTGTGTGTGTATGCACGTGGGTGTTGTGTGCCTGTTTGTATGCGGGTGCTTGCACGTGCGTGTTGAGCGTGTTTGTGCACGTGTGTATGCACGTGTGTGTTGTGCGTTTGCGCGCGTTTATGCACCTGAGTGTTGTGTGCGCGTTGTGCGCGTGTATGCACGTGCGTGTTGTGTGCGTTTGCGCGCGTGTATGCACGTGCGTGTTGTGTGCGTTTGTGCACGTGAGCACACACGTGCGTATTGTGCGTATGTGTATGCACGTGCGTGTTGTGTACATGTGCGCGTGTGCATGCACGTCCGTGTTTTGTGCATGTTTGTGCGCGTGTGCATACACGTACGTGTGCGCGTTTGTGCGCGTGTCTGTGTGCGGGTGCATGCACGTGCGTGTTGTGTCCACGGGTTTGTGTTCACGTAGGGCATGTACACGTGCATTTGCCCAATGTGCTCCCGCTCGTTGATGCAGGCACGCATCTGCATTTATATGTAAGTGGGCCTCTGTGTTCCTGTGTGTGCACATGTCGCTGTGTGTGTTCATGTGCAGGTCACGGTGCGCAGCCGGTGCCACGCCCGTGGCTGTCCGCTGCAGGAAGGGGAGCCCATCTGGGCCTCCTCCCTCCTCCCCTCCTCCCGCTTTTCTCCTTTCCTTTGCAGCAAAATTCCTGGAAAGCCCTGTACAGCCTCGCTGCCTCTAGGTCTGTGGTGCGTCAGGCCCCTCCCAGACACCGGCAGGAGGTGGCGGCCTCCAGAGTGCAGGGCGGGCCTTGCCTCCAGCAGGGGTGTGAAGAGCCCAGGCTTATTTTCCGGGAAGGCCTCGCTGCCTTGTTGGGGGAATGGGGTGGAGGCGGCAGGCACGGCAGCCCCTGTGGGACTTGGTCTGAGGCCAAGCAGGCGCCGTCTGCGGGCAGGAGGGGCAGGTGAGGGCCCGGACGGCTGAGCAAGGTGTGGCCCACCGTGCCCGCAGGTCAACGGGCAGTGACGAAGTTACCTCAGCTTCCAGCTGGGCGCTGGCGAGGACAGGTGCTCTGTCCACACTCAGTTCTTCAATCATCACCCCGAACGGGAAGTGCTCGAAGGAGGGCAGAGGTCAGCCTGGGAGGAGGGAGGGAGGCCGGCCCCGCCCCATCGCTCCGGCCCCCATTCACAGGCGGGGCCAGAAGTGTTGAGGGCAGAACCCTGCAGCGAGAGGGCGAGCGCCTCCGTCCCCTGGGTCGGGGTTCATCCCTCCGCCCAGTTTACGGAAGTCGGCGAGGCGCCCTGGGCCAGATCCGCGCAGGTCCTGGGGGGCCAGAGCCTGGGGAACACCACGTCCCTTCTGCTGCGTGTGCAGAGTGAGCGGCGGGCGGCGGGGCTCCAAGGAAGGGCGGTCCCGGGGGCGGCTGTCTCGGAGTGCGGCTGAGGGGCCAGCCCCTCAGAGGGGGCGCCTCTGCCCTGAGCAGCGTCCAGGCCCCTGGTTCTAGGAGCCAAGACAAGCGCTAGGGTGGAGGCGCGCAGAGCACGGAGGAGGGGACCAGCCAGAGAGGTAATCCCCGAGCCGGGAAGGGCACGAGGACTCACGCCAGACCGCGACCTGGACAACCCGGCCTCGGGAACCAGCCCCGCGCAGGGCGGGACTTCAGGTGCCTGCCAGACACTGTCCTGGCCTGGCAGCAGCTCCCGAGGGGGTCTGGGGTGCCGGGGAAGTCCCCACTATGTCCTGGCAGCCTCACTCCTCGCTGGCTTCTCTGCCTTGCCCGTCCCCTCCCCGCACCCTCCCCTCCCCTCCCCGCACCCTCCCCTCCCCTACCCCCACCCTCCCCTCCCCTCCCCCCACTCCCCTACCCCTGCCCCCTACCCCTCCCCGCCTTTCCCACTCTGCCCCACCCTGCCTCTTCACAGCTTCACTTTTGCTGGTCCTCCTGCCCCCTGCTCTACACACAACCCACCCCCCACCCCACCTCCCTATCCCCCCACCCCCACCTCCAGGGCTTTGGGCGTCTGAGCCCACATGGGGCGGATTGTGGTGATGGGGGCCCTGTGGGAGGGGTGTCGGGCTCAGAGGCGCCCCAAGAGTGAGGAGAGGCAGGTGGCAGAAGAGCCCTGCTAAGGCCAGGGGGCCTCAGGAAAACTCCCCCAGCAGCTCCTGGGCACCCCACGGCTTACACCCGCTCCTGGGGCAGAGGGCGATGGGGTTAGGGGCCAGCCGCTGCCTGCAGGGAACCCAGGCCTTGCCTCCCAGCGCTCTTCCCTGGCACGCACCCCCCATCCTGTCCCCTTCTGGGGTCCCTGCCCTGAGGCCTGTCCTTTCCTCCCCAGCTCTGGAAGGAGTGTTGCTCCCTGGGCAGGTCTGAGGTGGGCTTGAGGGAGGGTGACACAGAGGCATGCCCCACCTGGCTTCTGGCTTTCTGGGCCTCCGCCTCTCTTCACTTTGCTAGAAGAAGCCGTCACTGCCAGGATCCGGGCATTACTTTGGGGGTGGGGAATGTTTTCCATGCAGGTGGGGAACTCCTGCACTTTGGCCAGTGTTTAATGCCCGTGGAAGCCTGGCACAGAGAGATTCACACCCTTCACCCACCATGGTCCCGGAGAGCCTGATGGCAATGCCTGACCTCAGGAACAGGAGACCAACAAAATACACTTTCTTGGCTTGGTGCTGTGGCTCATGCCTGTAATCCCAACACTTTGGGAGTCCAAGGTGGGTGGATCACATGAGGTCAGGAGTTGGAGACCAGCCTGAGCAACGTGGTGAAACCCCATCTCTACTAAAAATAGAAAAATTAGCCAGACATGGTGGTATGCGCCTACTCAGGAGGCTGAGGCAGGAGAATCGCTTGAACTTGGGAAGCAGAGGTTGCAGTGAGCCAAGATCACAACACTGCACTCCAGCCTGGGTGACAGAGCAAGAATCCATCTCTAAAATAAAAATATACTTTCTCCCAAGGTCCCCAGCCCAGAGGGTGTGAGGGCCTTGCAGTGGGAGGTAGGTGTCACTGCGCATCCGTGACAGTGGGGAGAGTGGGATGAGGGGGACCCACCAGACCTCTAGAGCAGTTTTCTCCCACTGTCACTTTCTCCCTCCATAATAGAGGGCACAAGGGGCATCATGGGGCACTGGGTGTGGCTGGCCAGACACCTGTTCCCACCTGAGTGATGCAGGACTTTCCTCAATCACTTTTGCCAGCTGGAGACACCCAGCCGGCCCTTGCCCTGCTTCGGCCCTCAACTTCAGGGCTGGCTCAGGCCCACCGCCATTTCTGTCATGGAGGGCAGAGGACCACAGTGTTACAGCCTTCTCTGTACCACGTTCGATGGGTCCCATGCTCTTGTACTGCATCCAAGAAGAATGAGGATATGTTGACAATCAGATAGTGAGGAGGGGCTGGACACAGTGGCTCAGGCCTGGGAGGCTGAGGTGGGAGGATCACTTGAGTTCAAAAGTCTGAGACCAGCCTGGCCAACTGGTGAAACCCTGTCTCTACTAAAAAAAAAAAAAAAAAAAAAAAAAAAAAGCCAGGTGTGGTGGGCACCTGTAATTCCAGCTACTTGGGAGGCTGAGGCAAGAGAATCGCTTGAACCTGGGATGTGGAGGTTGCAGTGAGCTGAGATCACGCCACTGCACTCCAGCCTGGGTGACAGAGTGAGACTCTGTCTCAAAAAATAAAAATACAAAAATTAGCCAGGTGTGGTGGTGGGCACCTGTAGTCTCAGCTACTCGGGAGGCTGAGGCAGGTGAATTGGTTGAACCCAGGAGGTGGTTACAGTGAGCCGAAATTGTGTCACTGCACTCCAGCCTGGGTGACAGAGTGAGACTCTGTCTCCAAACAACCCCAACACACCCCAATAAAGAGTGAGGAGGGTGGAGAATAATTTTATTGAGCAATGGAATAGCTGTCAGTGGAGGGGATGATGCTGGGGTGGTTTCTCTCCCAATGTGGCTGAGTCCTGGGCTTTTATGGGCTCAGAACAGGGGAGGGCATGCTGATTGGTTTGTGGGCATTCAAAGAGAGACTAAAGCAAAGGCACCACTGAAAGGTGGGCATGATGATGTAGAAAGCCAATTCGGTAGGGTAGGTATATGTAAAATAGGTGAAGGGTGGGGACGAATTAGAGGAAAGCACGCCAGACAGGAAGTCAGGTTCTCAATCCGGTCTGAGGATTTAACTTGTAGCTTGGCTTTCAGGCTGTCTTTGGCTTGGAGGTGGAGCTCCACCAGGGACCCACTCCTATCTGCGTAGGCATTTGTCTGTCTCCTGCCACTATCACGAGGGCCTGGGGCCTGGCTGCATGCAGAACCCCCACCTGGCAAGGAAGGTGGCTGGAGGGGTCAGGGCTCCAGGGCCACACCCCCGGGGTGGGTGTGGCTGGGTCACTGGAGGGGAGAGGCAGGGACTTTTGCAGGGCAATGAGATGGGGTTAGGGGTGGGGTGGAGGGGTGGTGGGGTCCGGGGAGTGGTGTTGGGGGGCGTGGGGTACATAACAAGCCCACAAAAGGCCTGACATTCTGCGCATGTCCCCTGATAAAAGTGCGTTTAGCATGGCTACACTGCGTCTTATTAGTCCTCCCTTCCCCAACAGAGGCTAGTGCTTGGGGCAGCCTTCTGAGGTTGGGCTGGAGAGAAGTGGGGTGCTTTGAGGCCCAGAGCACCCCTGGGGGGGTGTTGGGCAGGCGCAGGGCAGCTTGCGGACCCAGAGGGAAGAAGGCTGCTTAGGCTCTGGTGCAGAGTAAGCCCCTGCATAAGAAAAGAGCTGGAAGCTGGGTGTTGGGGAGGGGAGGAGAGCAGAGGGAGGTGGGATGGGGACAGAGAAAAATCCCCCGTGGGGAAGGAGGGGAGAAGTCCACTGCAACAGACAACAGTGATGGCTTACTCTCGGGGTTCATCTGTTTACTGAAGTCTGATGGGAATCCCACCCCACTCAGACCCACACTGGGCAGCGCTATGGGAAGGGGCTCCATGAGAAGGAAGGAGACGCCGAGGAAGAGTGGGCGGCCAGCACCTGCAGACCCCGGTGGGAGAGACGGCCACGAAGCAGCCTGGCCAGGATGTGCAGTGCGCTGCCCTTCCGAACACCGGTGTGCACAGCAGGCGGTTTAGGTGACTCTGCTTCCCGCCAAGGTGGGTTGTTTTCACGTTTGCCAGTTTCACACGTGCCAGAGCTTTCAGCGTAACTGCGGAGACCAGTTGTAGCAAGTTGACTCTGACAGTGCTCACATCCCATTTACAGTTTCACAACCCCAGAAAACAAACTCACACACCTTGCCCTGTCTCAGCAAGTGGCTGGGCCTCTCCCACCACCCTACTACCCAAGAATACATCAGTTTTTGCTGTGTCACAAAGCACCCTAAAATGCGGTGGCTTAAAACCACATCCACTGATTTGCTGATAGTTATGGGAGTTGGTAATTTAGGCTGTGTTCGCCTAAGATGGCTCAACTCTGGTCCCTGTGGTGCCATCTGGGTTCACTGGTGGGCAAGAGACAGTCAGTCGGCCAACATGTTGGGCAGATAACTGTTGGCAGGAGGGTCAGTGGTAGGAAACCGGAGTCTCACTCAGCTTGAGCTGCTATGAAAATCACCACAGAATCGGTGGCTTATGGCCGGGCACGGTGGCTCATGCCTGTACTACCAGCACTTTGGGAGGTTGAGGCAGGTGAATCACCTGAGGTCAGGAGTTCAACACCAGCCTGGCCAACATGGTGAAACCATCTCTACTAAAACTACAAAAATTAGCCAGGCGTTGGGCCGGGCACGGTGGCTCATGCCTGTAATCCCAGCACTTTGGGAGGCTGAGGTGGGCAGGTCACGAGGTCAGGGGATTGAGACCATCCTCGCTAACACGGTGAAACCCCGTCTCTACTAAAAATACAAAAATTAGCCGGGTGTGGTGGCGGGCGCCTGTAGTCCCAGCTATTCGGGAGGCTGAGGCAGGAGAATGGCTTGAACCCGGGAGGCAGAGCTTGCAGTGAGCCAAGATCGCACCACTGCACTCCAGCCTGGGCGACAGAGCGAGACTCCGTCTCAAAAAAAAAAATTAGCCAGGCGTGGTGGCAGGTGCCTGTAGTCCCAGCTACTCAAGAGGCTGAGGCACAAAAATCGCTTGAACCCGGAGGCAGAGGTTGAGTGAGCTGAGATCACGCCATTGCACTCCAGTCTGGGTGATGAGAGCAAAACTCCATCTCAAAAAAAAAGAATCAGTGGCTTAGATAGTGAAATTTCTCATAATTCTGAAGGCTGAAAGTCTGAGAGCAAAGTGCCAGCTTGGCTGGGTTGTTGGTGAGGGTCCACTTCCTGGTTTCGATGAGATGGGAGTTCAGCACGACTTGTTTCACAAGATACAGGTCACAGAGAGCCCACTGATAAAGCAGGCTGCGGTAAAGAAGCCAGTCAAAACCCATCAATACTGTAGCAGGACGAGCCGCAGTCAAAACAACCCAGACACCGGATTAAAGAAGGAAGAGGTTTTTATTAGGCTGGGACCGTCAGCAGACTCATGTCTTAAGAGGCGAGCTCCCTGAAAAAGAAATTCCTAGCCCTTTTAAGAGCTTACAACTCTAAGGGGTCCCCGTGAAAGGGTCATGATAGCTCAAGTAAGCGTGAGGAACGTGACTGGGGGCTACATACATCAGCTCACAGAACAAAAAGTTTCACAGTGCTTTCTCATACAATGTCTGGAATTTACAGGTAACACCAGTAGTTTTGGTCAGGGGTTATTATTATTATTATTTTTTGAGACGGAGTCTTGCTCTGTCACCTAGGCTGGAGTGCAGTGGCGCGATCTCGGCTCACTGCAAGCTCCGCCTCCTGGGTTCACACCATTCTCCTGCCTCAGCCTCCTGAGTAGCTGGGACTACAGGTGCCTGCAACCACGCCCCGCTAATTTTTTGTGTTTTTAGTAGAGACAGGGTTTCACCGTGTTAGCCAGGATGGTCTCGATCTCCTGACCCCGTGATCCGCCCGCCTCGGCCTCCCAAAGTGCTGGGATTACAGGCGTGAGCCACCGCGCCTGGCCTAATGTTATTATTATTATTTTAACTACCAGGGCCAGGTGGTGGCGCCAAGGTCGTCTCGCTATTTATCTTACTTCTGTTTCTTTCCAACTTTTTGCTTTCTCCCTTTTCTCCTGTCTTATAAACTAGGGAAAAGGGGAGGTGGGGGAGAAGCTGGGAAGGACAACAGGAGAAGTGGTGGTCTCATTCCAACACCGAGATGGTGATGAAAGCGACCTCTGTTCATCCTTACGGCTCACTGTGCCCTCATTGCAACACGTTAGCATACTACGGGAAATTCCCGCCGGCACCATGATGGTTTACAAACGCCAGTATCTTCCGCAAGTTACTCTATGTGGTCTGAAAGGGGGAGGACAATCCGTTCCAGGAACTCCCCACCCCTTTCCTGGAAAACTCATGAGTAATCCACTGCTGGTTCAGCACATAATCAAGAAATGATCATAACAAGAGTCAGTCAAGCAGCCCACACTGCTACTCTGCTGTCGATAGCCACCCATTTATTCCTTTCCTGTTTTTATTTATTTATTTATTTATTTTGAGTCGGAGTCTCGCTTTGTCGCCCAGGCTGGAGTGCAGTGGCACCAATCTCGGCTCACTGCAACCTCCGCCTCCTGGGTTCACGCCATCCTCCTGCCTCAGCCTCCCAAGTAGCTGGGACTGCAGGTGCCTGCCACCACGCCCGGCTAATTTTTGTATTCTTAGTAGAGATGGGGTTTCACCATGTTAGCCAGGCTGGTCTCAATCTCTTGACCTCGTGATCCGCCCATCTTGGCCTCCCAAAGTGCCGGGATTACAGGCGTGAACCACCAGCCTGGCCTTCCTTTACTTTCTTAATAAACTTGCTTTCATTTTCGTCTACCGGCATGCTCTTAAGTTCTCTCCTGTGGCCGGGTGCGGTGGCTCACACCTGTAACCCCAGCACTTTGGGAGGCCAAGGCAGGCGGATCATAAGGTCAGAAGATCAAGAACATCTTGGCCAACATGGTGAAACCCTGTCTCTACTAGAAACACACAAACTAGCCAGGCGTGGTAGCGTGCGCCTGTAGTCCCAGCTACTCTGGAGGCTGAGGCAGGACAATCACTTGAACTCGGGAGGCAGAGGTTGCAGTAAGCCGGGATTGCACCACTGCACTCCAGCCTGGGCAACAAGGGCAAAATTCTGTCTCAAAAAAAAAATTATTTCCTATGTGAAGCCAAGAACCCATGTGGCCTCCCGGGCTGAGCCCCCATTTGGGGATTTTCCCTGTGACACACAGACACACAGTCAGCTGTCTTCCTTTCTTTTTCCTTTCTTTCTCTTTCTCTCTCGCTTTCTTTTTCTGAGACAGGATCTTGCTCAGTTGCCCAGGCTGGAGTGCAGTGGTGTGATTGTAGCTCACTGCAGCCTCAACCTCCTGAGCTCAACCACTCCTCCCATCTCTGCCTCACTAGTAGCTGGGACTACAGGCACGCACCACCATGCCCAGCTGATTTTTGGTATTTTTTTGTAGAGACAGGGTTTCACTAGGTTACCCAGGCTGGTCTTGAACTCCTGGGCTCAAGTGATCTGCCTGTCTGGATCTCCCAAAGTGCTGGGATTCCAGGCATGAGCCACCGTTCCTGGCCCAGCTGTTATCTTGCTGTTATCACGTGGTGGATGTTATATATAAAGTTTCAGTGCCGCAAAAGAACTAGCACTCCAATATCACATTTTCCTTTTAATTCTCATCAAGGCAAGATACTTCTATAGAAGGGTGCACCCTTACAGATGGAGCAATGGTGAGCACACATCTGGACACGGGAGGGGAAGTGGTTCTTATCCCTGACGCAAGTGGTCCCTGTTGCTGTGTTGTTCCCCTATTAGCTAGCGTTAGACCGCACAGGCTAAATAATTCCGATTGGCTGATTTAAAGAGAGTGATGGGGTGAGTGGTTTGGCGGGAAAAATGGGTATGACAGAGCAGGTAACTGGAATGAGTCAGGGTGGAGCAGGTAATCGGAAAATGTTGCTTTATGAGGAAGTTTAAAAGTAGGAGGTAACGAACTGAACATATTGACATATTGATTCTTTGAAAAGAAATTTAGAACTCACATCTAACAGTGGAGAAAAAAGAGAGGTAGTCTCTGGCTGCTGCTGTTTTTTTTGAGATAGAAATCCGCCCTGTCACCCAGGCGGGAGTGCAGTGGCATGATCTCAGCTCACTACAACCTCTGCCTCCCTGGTTCAAGCGATTCTCCTGCCTCAGCCTCACGAGTAGCTGGGATTACAGGCACCCGCCACCATGCCCGGCAATTTTTTTTTTTTTTTTTTTTTGAGACAGAGTCTTGCTCTGTCGCCCAGGCTGGAGTGCAATGGCGTGATCTCGGCTCACTGCAAGCTCCACTTCCTGGGTTCAAGTGATTCTCCTGCCTCAGTCTCCCAAATAGCTGGGACTACAGGCATGTGCCAACATGCCTGGCTAATTTTTATATTTTGAGTAGAGACGGGGTTTCACCATGTTGGCCAGGCTGGTCTTGAACTCCTGACCTCAGGTGATCCACCTGCCTTGGGCCTCCCAAAGTGCTGGGATTACATACAGGTGTAAGCCACTGCGCCCGGCCACAATGTCTCAATGTCTGCTTTTTTTTTTTTTTTTTTTTTTTTTTTGAGACAGAGTCTTGCTCTGTCACCCAGGCTGGAGTGCAGTGGCACCATCTCAGCTCACTGCAACCTCCGCCTCCTGGGTTCAAGCGATTCTCCTGCCTCAGCCTCTTGAGTAGCTGGGACTAAAGGTGCGTGCCACCATATCTGGCTAATTTTTGTATTTTTAGTAGAGATAGTGTTTCACTACGTTGGCCAGGCTAGTTTCGAACTCCTGACCTCGTGATCCACCCACCTTGGCCTCCCAAAGTGCTGGGATTACAGGCGTGAGCCATCGCGCCTGTCCTGTCTGCTTCTTATAGGGCACTAGTCCCATTCACGAGGGCTCCACTCTCATGACCTAACCACCTTCCAGAGGCCCCACTTCCTGATTCTATCAGATTGACGGTTTGGATTTCAACAGATGAATTTAGCATGTGGGGGCACAAACATTCTGTTCTCAGTGCTCTGCATGTGCTGCTCATGGTCCGGCAGGCCAGTCCCGGCTGTCACAAGGTAGTGGTCACAAGAGTCTCAAGGGAAACGAGACAGGGCTAGTCCACTGCACAACTGCTCATCAAGCCCCATGGTGGGAAATTTCATCCCATTCATTCTCAGAGTCCTCTCATGGTCACCCATGTCCTGGCACATAGGTCACTCCAGAGTCACCCATGGGCTTGTCTCCAGGCCACTCGCAGGCTGCCTGGAGGGAGAGAGGCAGAAGCTCTAGCCAAGTGTTCAGCTGGGAGAGTTGCAACGGGAGAGGAGGAGGATGAGGAGGGAGGATAGACAGGACTGGGTGGTGCTTGGATGGGGTCTGCAAGGCAGCAGGAAGCAAAGATGGTTTCACATGGATTCCGCCTCTCCTAGATCCATCTGGGCTAGGTGGGACTCCTGGCTGGGGCTCCCATGGCCTGAGTCAGCCTGTTCTACTGCCTGGACTTCCCAGCCTCCATTCATTCACTCTTCTGCTCGGGGAGCCAGCCCTCTCCAGCCAGCAAGCTGCCTTTGCTGCTGCCGCTAGAGAAGCCCTCACAGTGCCCATCACTGTATGTGAGGTGGAGTGACACTAGCCTCGCTAGTGCTGGCCTTGGGAGCAGGACAGAGGCGGGCTGGGTGGAGGCTGTGGACTGCGTCCTTACCTGCGTGCACAGGTGTCTCCTCAGAAGCACCATGCACGGGAGTCCTCTGCGTCACTGTTGCCATGTGTCTCACGTCTACATATGTTAGAAACCTTGGTATCTTATTTTTGCTGCAGCTACTTGTTTTAGAGAAAAGAGAAAACATTTTCATTTCCTAACACACTTCTCATTTCCTATACTCTTTCTTCTTGTAGATCTGAGTCTCCATATTGTATCCTCTTCAGCCTGAAGAAATTTATTTATTTATTTATTTATTTATTTTGAGATACAGTTTCACTCGTCGCCTAGGCTGGAGTGCAATGGTGCGATCTTGGCTCAGTGCAACCTTGGCTTCCCGGGTTCAAGTGATTCTCCTGCCTCAGCCTCCTGAGTAGCTGGGATTACAGGCGCCCCCCCACCACGTCCAGCTAATTTTTGTATTTTTAATAGAGACAGGGTTTCACCATGTTGGTCAGGCTGGTCTCTAACTCCTGACCTCAGGTGATCCACCCACCTCAGCCTCCCAAAGTGCTGGTACAGAACCTTAAGAAGGGCTTTGCAGTCTCAAAAAAAAAAAAAAAGGGTCTCGCTCCGCCAGTCTCCTGTCTCAGCCTCCCGAGTAACTGGGACTACAGGCACCCACCACAATGCCCAGCTAATTTTTGTATTTTTAGTAGCGGCGGGGTTTCACCGTGTTAGCCAGGATGGTCTCGATCTCCCGACCTTGTGATCCGCCCGCCTCGTCCTCCCAAAGTGCTGGGATTACAGGCATAAGCCACTGCGCCCAGCCCAGCCTAGCCATTTTAACGTGTACAATTCAGTGGCATTATTACCGTCATAATTTTGTGTAACCATCACCACTACTTCCAAAACTTTTTCATCACTCCAAACAGAAAGCCTACACCCATTAAGCAACATTTCTCCATTCCTCCTTATCCCAGCCACTGAAACTCTAATCTACCTTCTGTCTCTAGGAATCTGTATTCTAGATACTTCATGGAAGTGGAATCACACAAGATTTGTCTTTTAGTGACTGGCTTATTTTACAAAGCACAGTGTTTTCAAGGTTTATCCATGGTGTATCCTGTGTTAGAATTTCCTTCTTTTTTTCCTTTTATTTTTTTTTTGAGGCAAAGTCTAGCTCTGTCGCCCAGGCTGGAGTGCAGTGGCTTGATCTTGGCTCATTGCAACCTCCGCCTCCTGGGTTCAAGCGATTCTTCTGCCTCAGCCTCCTGAGTAGCTGGGACCACAGGTGTGCGCCACCACGCCTGGCTAATTTTTTATATTTTTAGCAGAGACGGGGTTTCACCATGTTGACCACGCTTGTCTCAAAACTCCTGACCTCGTGATCCGCCCGCCTCAGCCTCCCAAAGTGCTAGGATTACAGGCGTGAGCCACTGCGCCCGGCCGAATTTCCTTCCATTTTAAGGCTGAAAAATATTTCATTGTTTGTATGGATCACATTTTGTTTATCCTTCCATCCACCCGTGGACACTTGGGTTGTTTCCGTCTTTTGGCTATTGGGAAAAATGCTGCAGTGAACATGGGGGCACAAATATGTTTGAGTCTCTGGTTTCCATTCTTTTGGGAATATAGCCAGAAGTAGGGTTGCTGGATCATACCGTAGTTCCATTTTTGTTTTCTCCTAGAAAGGCAGATTGCCACATGCAGCGCCTCATTTGGATGTGTCTGGAATCTTGACTACCCTACCTTCTCCTACAAATGGACCTTGAGAGCTTGTTTGGAGGTTCTACCAGGGAAGCCCAGCTCTTCTATTGGGTATGGTCGTTCTCTTCGACTGAGCTGCAGCTTCGGGAGGGACGCACATGAAGCAGTGAGGAAGGAAGGGGACACCCGCCTAGCCAGCCAGATCAGCCGAATCAACCCTGGCGATCAATGGGATGACAGGTGTCGCAGCCAGATCGCCCTCATATCCGGTAGTTCTACTTTTAACCTTTTGTGGAATCTCCATAGTTTTCTGCGGTGCTGCGCCATTTACATTCCCACCAACAGCGCACAGAGGTTTACACTTGTACATGTTTCCAATGACGAACTAAAAACTTTCATGTTTTCAGAGGTTCAACATGTCTATCCAGGGAACCTTGCTCTCCGATGTCTTCTCCTCTGGCCACAGTAAGAGGTTTCACAGACCCTCCTGGGTCAAGAGTAATTGTTAACTGGCCCTTCTCCCATGGGTCCCCGCGTAGACCCCCCCCCCCCCAACACTCAACTGGGGCGAAATGAAACGCAGGGACTGTGGGAAGGAACTGCGGTATGGGCTGGGTGGGCCCCAGGTCTCGCCCCTCGCCAAGTCTCCCAAGGGGACGCGATCCCGGACTGCACAAGCTGGGCCCGCGCGGCCTCCCAGAGCCCAAGCAGTCCCTTCCCAGCCGTTACCAGGCCACTTCCCGGCGCTCACTAGTGACGTCCCCGCCTCGTTCTGCGCGTGCGCGGCTCTGCCTCTCCGCTGCCGTTGTCAGCGCGACGGCGGGTCCTCGGCGGTCGGCAGACATCCGGGCCTGCTCCTGGCAGCTCCGCCCTGGCCCGCTCCGCCCCGCCCGCGGGAAAAAGGTCGCGTAGCGATGACGTCGTGGGGGCCTGGCCGGCCGTCGCGGACTCGGGAGATGGAGGAAAAGGAGATATTACGGCGGCAGATCCGCCTACTGCAGGGTAGGTCCGGCCGGGGCCGGGACGCGAGTCCCCTTCTTTCCCCCTCACCTCGCGGCGGGTCCCCTGCCCCCTTGTCGAAGGGGTCGCTCACCGCCCGCGTGTTCTGGGTGGCGGCTGGGGTGGGGGACGGTAGGGTCCGCCAGGACTTGTGGGCCGGCTCAGGGCCCGGGTCAGTCCCCGGCTCCAGCTTTGTCGAGGGAGTGGTGCCGGCCCTGCTGGGGCTGCAGAGGGTGGAGGCAGGGCCGTCGCTTAGTAACCCGCGGGGGGCGGCGGCCCTCCCCACCACCGCGGGCTGTCGCGTCCCCCGGCGCCCACTCTCTCCCCGCGCCCCACTGCGGGGCTGGGACTAGTTCATGGCTCATTTCGGCAGAGCAGGCTAAGGGCGCACGCGGGTTCCTTCCTTGACGCCCGGTTTTTTTTGAGACAGAGTCTTGCTCTGTCACCCAGGCTGGGGTGCGGTGACGCGATCACGGCTCACTGCAATCTCCTCATCCTGGGTTCGAGTGATTCTCCTGCCTCAGCCTCCGGAGTACGTGGGATTACAGGTAGGCGCCAGAACGCCTGGCTAATTTTTGTATTTTGAGTAGAGACGGGGTTTCACCATGTTGGCCAGGATGGTCTCTAACTCCCGACCTCAGGTGATTCACCCGCCTCGGCCTCCCAAAGTGCTGGGATTACAGGCATGAGCCACCGCTCCCAGCCTCGACGCCCGGTTTTGATGCCCCTTTTCTCCGAACAGTCACACTCCCCTTGCCATTCCAGGCGCAGACTGAACAGGCTTCAGCTTCCACACTTAAACATTAAAAAACCCAAATTGGTCTTTCTAAACTTAAAAAGAAAATCCATGTTCGGACGCAGTGGCCCACACCTGTAATCCCAGCACTTTGGGAGGCTATGGCAGGAGGATGGCTTGAGCCCGGGAGTTTGAGACCATCCTGGGCAACATGACGAGAGCCCGTCTCTACAGAAAAATTTTAAAAAGTGAGATGGGCGTGGTGGCTTGCGCCTGTAGTCCCAGCTACTCAGAGGTGGAAGGTTTGCTTGTGCCCTGGAGGTCCCGGCTGCAGTGAGCCGTGATTGGGCCACTGCACTCCAGCCTGGGCAACAGAGAAAAACCACATCTCAAATAAAAAGCCAAAACCAACCAAACAAAAAAAAGCTTTAAAAATTAAAAATCCTTTTTGCTTTTACTCTCACAAAGGGAAGACTTAAGGATTGGGAAAGTGTGTATGGATAAGAGGCCAGGTGGGCTGCCTCCCACTTGGGGACACTTCTTGAGCTCCCATCACACCTGCTCTGGGGCGTCAACACGTCTGGACGTGGCTTTCTGTGCCCCCGGGGGCAGGGCCTGTGGTGGGGGAATGCTGATAACTGGGAGGCTGGCTGCTGCCGCCCTTGCCTGTGTTCCTGGCCCTCCTGCACCGGGGTAGCTATCCAGGGACTTATTTGGAAAGTCCTGTGGTTGTGTCAGTTCACTGCAGTAGGACTCTAGCCCATTGATGTTTCCTCTTCTGCAGGGAAGACTATGAATCTGGCAGAGCAATGGCCTCTGCTCCTAGTATTCTTTTTTCCTGTTGTCAGGCATGGGGTCCTCGAGAGTGTCAGTTCTGTTACACTCAGTGGAGTGACTCCTTTCCATCTGTAGGCAAGCCAGAGGGCCTGTGCGGCCACTTGTCCCCTCTGATTCAAACAGTGCAGAGGGGATCATTGCGATTCTCTTCAGACTGAGTGACACGTCTCAGCAAATGACTGTGGACTCAGTAGACCAGCAAATAAGGCTTGTTACACCACACGGTTCATTTCTGTGTGAAGCAGGCAGAAGTAGGACTGAAGTGGAGCTGATGGAGAAAAGGCTCATAGAAGCGACAGGCCCAGGTGACGCGGGCTGAGTTGTCAGTGAGTCCCAGGCTCTGGGGGCTGCCCCTCCTGAAACTGGCAGGGGCTCAGAAGTGAGATGGGATCTGGGGGTATCTTGCCAGCTGATGCCCTTCCAGGGTAGTCATGATTATCGCGGTTACCCTCTGGCTAACTGGGCCTGTGGTTCTGTCTTCTCAGGTCTGATTGATGACTACAAAACCCTCCACGGCAATGCCCCGGCCCCTGGTACCCCAGCAGCTTCTGGGTGGCAGCCACCCACTTACCACAGTGGCAGAGCCTTTAGTGCCCGCTACCCTCGTCCAAGCCGGAGGGGCTACTCTTCCCACCATGGGCCTTCGTGGCGCAAGAAATACTCCCTCGTGAATCGGCCCCCGGGACCCTCAGACCCTCCTGCCGACCATGCTGTGCGGCCGTTGCACGGGGCCCGGGGGGGCCAGCCTCCTGTCCCGCAGCAGCATGTCCTTGAGAGACAGGTCCAGCTCAGTCAGGGTCAGAACGTGGTCATCAAAGTTAAACCGCCATCAAAGTCTGGCTCTGCCAGTGCCTCAGGGGCCCAGCGGGGCTCTTTGGAAGAATTTGAGGAAACCCCCTGGAGTGACCAAAGGCCCCGGGAAGGTGAAGGTGAGCCCCCTCGGGGACAGCTGCAGCCCTCGAGGCCAACAAGAGCCAGGGGGACCTGCAGTGTGGAAGATCCTCTTCTGGTCTGCCAGAAGGAGCCTGGTAAGCCCAGGATGGTGAAGTCAGTGGGCAGTGTGGGCGACAGCCCCCGGGAGCCCCGCCGGACAGTCAGTGAGAGTGTGATTGCCGTCAAGGCGAGCTTCCCATCCTCCGCTCTGCCCCCACGCACTGGCGTGGCCCTGGGCCGGAAGCTGGGTTCTCATTCCGTGGCCAGCTGTGCTCCACAGCTCCTTGGGGACAGGAGAGTAGATGCTGGCCACACAGATCAGCCAGTTCCGTCTGGCTCAGTGGGGGGCCCCGCCAGACCGGCCTCAGGACCCAGGCAGGCCCGGGAGGCCTCGCTGGTTGTGACCTGTCGAACTAACAAGTTCCGGAAAAACAACTACAAATGGGTGGCTGCCTCCTCGAAGAGTCCCCGGGTTGCTCGGAGGGCCCTCAGTCCCAGAGTGGCTGCAGAGAATGTGTGCAAGGCCTCTGCTGGCATGGCAAACAAGGTGGAGAAGCCGCAGCTCATAGCTGACCCAGAGCCCAAGCCCAGGAAGCCAGCCACGTCCTCCAAGCCAGGGTCTGCCCCCAGCAAGTACAAGTGGAAGGCCTCCAGCCCCTCTGCCTCCTCCTCTTCCTCCTTCCGTTGGCAGTCGGAGGCCAGCAGCAAGGACCATGCCTCCCAGCTCTCCCCAGTCCTGTCTAGGTCCCCGTCGGGGGACAGACCAGCAGTAGGACACAGTGGCTTGAAGCCCCTCTCTGGGGAGACCCCGCTCTCGGCTTACAAAGTGAAGAGCCGCACCAAGATCATCCGGAGACGCAGCAGCACAAGGTGGGCATCCCGGCCGGCTGCGGTAGAGTGTGAGGGGCTGTGAGGAGGGTTTGTTTGGCACCCCTAATGGATCTGCTGAGCTCGGAGCTTTGCCTGCAGTTGCGTTCACATTTCCAGCAAGAAATGAGGCAGGAAGTGCTGCTGTGGTGGTTTGGGCTTGCCTGGGGCCGGGGCCCTGGCCGGCATAAACTTAGGGGACAGGTTTCCCGTCCCTCACACTGCTGGCAAGCCCATCCTTTCTCCTGCCGGTGAGAGACAAGCAGCTCGCTGGGGGCAGCTTCCGTTCCAGTTGCACAGGGTTCACAGAGGGAAGGCTTTGTGCCAGGCCAGGCGCAGGGGGAGTAGCTCCCAGGGACCAGTCCAGGGTCCATGTGTCCCCAGGGGGATGGTGAGACAGAGAGCAGTGTGTCTGCCCCTGGCCTGGACCTGCCGGCCACGGGTCTGTGCTGGGAGGTGGACCAGAGCTCTGGGCCCTGCCAGGGGTGCCTGGTCTTTCCTGCATGCCCCGTGTCTAGGGCTTGGGCTCCAGGAGGCCTGGCCTTTGCTGGCCCTCAGGCTGAGGGCTGCTCCAGCTGGTCTGAGTGGGCAGGGGCCGGGGGCTGCTGGTAGGCGGGAGCCTCCTTAGGCATTCCTGGCTTTGGGCTCTGTGGCCTCCCTTGCGGAGTGTTGAGGCTGCAGTTGGCCTTTGGTCCCAGGGCGAGCAGATTGGTGTTAGGTCCCAGCCCCCTTGGCCAGGCAGCCAGGCAGAGTCACTCACTTGCTTGGCGCACATCTCTCCCGGCCTCCACCCTTGCGGACTTGTGATGAGACTCAGAGATGGTGTCATGGCACAGTGCTTGGTCTGGGCTCAGGGACTCCATGAGGTTGGCAGCTAAGGTGGTGGCTGCACCTGCTGGGCAGAGGGCGGGGGTCCTGCCTCTGTCATCAGACACAGTGGTGCCCTGCCGTCTGGTCTAGGTTGCTGGCTCGTGTAGCTCATTCTCTCTGGCCCTCGTCCCCCAGATAGGTGCCGTGTTGAGGCGCATGGGCACCCGGCTCCCACTCCTGGCTGTTTCTCGGTGGCAACTCTGCTCTAAACCATGCTGGCAGCTCCCTCTGTCCAGGAAGTGTGGAGAGGGAGCGTGGAGAAGCTGCCCCCTTACTGAGGGGCTTGGCAGGCCACTTGGGGCCGGTGGCCGCTCTCCTCAGGGATGTCGGCCCTTCTCTTTGCCCCACGTAGAGGCTCCTTTTTCCTGGGCAGATGGGGAGGGGGTGGACATGCGGGTGGGGACGGAGCACTGAGGCCCCTCTGCTCTCCCTGGGAGCATGGCAGCCTGCCCTAGTTCTGGGGTCATCTGGGATTGTGGATCCAAGCCTGCCGCCTCAGCCTGGCTGTGGAGGGTGGGCAGGGCCGCCATGGGCTGAGGGAGGCAGGGTCCAGAAAGGACCCGCTGTGGCCTGGTCCTGGCCTTCAGGAGCTGCTCCCACGCTCCTCGGGTCCTGGTGAGGAAGGGTGGGTGGGCAGAACCCCCAGGGCTTGTTGAGAGCTGCCTGTATTTTGTCTCCACAGCCTTCCTGGAGACAAGAAAAGCGGCACCTCACCTGCCGCCACCGCCAAGAGCCACCTCAGCCTCCGGCGGAGACAGGCCCTCAGGGGGAAGAGCAGCCCTGTCCTGAAGAAGACCCCCAACAAGGGCCTGGTACAGGTCACCACGCACCGACTATGTCGCCTGCCACCGAGCCGGGCCCACCTCCCCACCAAGGAAGGTATGCTGGGAGCAGGGGCGCTGGGCACTGGGGCTGGGCCTGCCTGATGGGATATGCTGGCGTGTTAGGAGCCATGGGCACCTTCCCTGCCTCATGCTGGTAGAGGCCCTGGCTGGGAGGGCACTGCCTGGCAGACGGTGGTGGTGGGCTGGCAGATAGAGGATAGGGCCCGGATGCTGCGCCCTGCAGTCTGGCTGTGGGATGTGCTGCTGGGCAGGTGCTGTGGCCTCTTCTGTGTGTCCCTTGGTATGGACCCAGCTGTGTCCCTCCTGAGGGAGGAGAGGGCGGCGGCTGCTGAGCCCTTAAGCAGGGGTGAAGCCCTCGCTTGTGCTGCGCTGGGCACCCCCAGGCCTCTGCCTCCTCCAGGGCCCTTCTGTGCTCAGCTGGCTGGGGCTGCAGGTCTACCTGCCCTGCCCTTTCTGAGTGTCACATGGTACTGTGTGAGTTTTTTGAGTGGCCTGAAAGAATTGGTCTGGTCTCCTGCTGTACCACTCTAAGTGTGCCCAGTCACGCCTGGAGAGAACTGGTCTGAGCCCCTGAGAGCCCCTGTGGTGGCCTGGGAAGGCCCCGGCCTGCAGATTGTGGGGCGTAGCCCCTTTGAGGTTGACCCCCACTGCGGTGATGTTTGCCAGGACACACTGGGGGAGCGGCCTCCAGGCGGGCACGTGGTTGGGGGTATGTGGTGAGGGTCTAGAGCCCTTGGGTGTGGCACCCCCCAGACACCGTGGGGGTCAGTGTGGAGCCACGTTCGTCTGTGTGCACCTGGTCCTGTGCGACTCTGGGGCTCTGCTGGGCGCGTTAGGGCAGTGACTTCCCGAGCTCGTGTCTGTGACATCTGGAGAAGGTGGGGCGTTGGGGATTGAGCAGGCTTGGACCTGGGCACTCCGACTGGGAACCGGTGCTCAGAAATCTAGCCAAGGCTGGGCGCGGTTGCTCATGGCTGTAATCCCAGCTCTTTGGGAGGCCAAGGTGGGAAGATCACTTGAGGCCAGGAGTTCAAGACCAGCCTGGGCAACATGGCAAAACCCCATCTTTACCAAAAATACAAAAATTAGCTGGGCATGGTGGCACATGCCTGTAATCCCAGCTACTCGGGAGGCTGAGGGAGGAGAATTGCTTGAGCCTGGGAGGTTGCAGTGAGCCGAGATCGTTCCATTGCATTCCAGTCTGGGCGACAGAACGAGACTCTGTCTCAAAAAAAAAAGAAACCCAGCCAAGCGTACCGTCATCTAGGGAGGCTTCAGACGGCTCTGGAAGGAGCTGGGCCTGGGCAGACCCAAGAGCCGTGTGGGGGCTGCCGCGGGAGGGCAGGGCGTTGGGTCCCAGGTGGAGGGCTGAATGGGGCGATGCAGCCGGGTGTTGCAGCACAGTGGGGTGGGAGGAAGTGGGGCTGGGGGCGCTGGTCGGCTGTACCCCGTTAGCCGACACCTGCTGCACGCCAGGACATGTGGATTTCATCCTGGTGACAGGGAGCAAGCAGAGACCCATGCGGTCCCTGGTGGCCACAGTGAGGTGGCCGGATGGTGGTTAGGTCGTGGGCTTATCTGGGAGTGGATGGTAGGGGTGGCTTGGACAGTTGGCGGTATCCCCTGGTCACTTGGGGAGGAGGGGTTGGGGAGGTGTCCAGCTCTGGGAGGCCAGCAGGGTCTGCTGAGCCCTAGGAGGCCAAGGCTTGCAGATGGCGTGGTGGTTGGGGTGAGAGGCTCCCCACTGGGTGCAGGTTCAGCCCTGCTCACCTGGCCTGCTCCCTCTTCAGGCCTCTAGTAGAGTGGGGCATAGGCAGGGGATGGGGGAGGTTGCTTCCTGCTGGTGGGGCCTTGCTCGGCGCCCCCCGGACTCCTGCCAGGAAGAGTGGGTTTGGGAGGCCACCAGCTTCACCGGCTGACCATTTCGGAGTGCACAGCTGAGGGGCTGCTGCGGTCCTGCCTCACTAGAGGGAAGGGCGTAATTGATCTCGTCGTTTTTTTTTTTTTTTTTAATGTTTTTAGAAACAGGGCCCTGCTTCCCTCCCAGGCCAGAGTACAGTGGTGCAGTCACAGCTCATTGCAGCCTCAACCTCCTGGGCTCAAGTGACCCTGCTGAATAGCTGGGACTACAGGTGCATGTCACTGTGCCTGGCTAATTTTTAATTTTTTTGTAGGGACAGGGTCTTGCTTTGTTGCCTAGGCTGGTCTTGAACTTCTGGGCTCAAGTGATCCTCCTGCCTTAGTCTCTTAAAGTGCTGGGATTACAGGTGTGAGCCACTGTGCCCAGCCAAACTCATAGTTAAAGACCAACGTGAGGCTGGGCGTGGTGGCTCATGCCTGTAATCCCAGCACACTGGGAGGCCGAGGCGGGTGGATCACCTGAGGTCAGGAGTTCAAGACCAGCCTTGGCAACATGGCAAAACCCCGTCTCTACTAAAAATACAAAAATTAGCTGGGTGTGGTGGCGAGCGTCTGTAATCCCATCTACTCGGGAGGCTGAGGCAGGAGAATCACTTGAACCCAGGAGGCAGAGGTTAGATCGTGCCATTGTACTCCAGCCTGGGCGACAGAGTGACATTTTGTCTCAAAAAAAAAAAAAAAAAAAGACCAGCGTGGCGGCTGCATGGAGTGAGAGGAGAGGGTCCTGTCTGAGGAAGGGGTGGGGAAGGCGTCCCACTCACTTGCCCACCACTGGCCCAACTGGCAAGCGTGGTTGAGTCACTGTGCCTGGCAGCCTGCCGGCTCCTGGGGATACTGCAGTGAAGGTGAAGAGATGATGAGGCTGGAGCCGCCTTCCAGTGGTGGAGACAGGCAGCCACTGGAGTGCTTGTACATCAGCCAGGAAGGTGCTCCTGGGTGGAAAATGCCTTCTGAGGAACAGGCAGGGGGAGAGCACAGGGCCAGCTGCAGAGAGGTGGTTGGCGAGTGGGAGGGCTTCTCTGAGGAGGTGACCTGAGCAGAGAGGAGCGAATAGGGCTCAGCTCTGAGGCCGAGGTGGAGGTGGGAACGAGCTTACTGTGTTCTGGAGCACAAGGAGGCTGTGGGGCCAGTTCACCATCTGGGAGTGTGGCTTGGAGGGGATGCAGCCAACGGGGCAGAGGGACCAGGTCCTGGGAAAGGGTCTTGTAGGCCACAGGAGGGAACGGGGGGTTGGTTCTGGTTACGTTGGGAAGCCAGGGAGGGACAGGGGAGGACCCTGGGAGGGGCGTGTCCAGGGCCCCGGGGTGTCTGGCAGGCCCGAGTGGGCAGAGTCGGGAGGACCTGTGCGTGAGGCCACTGACGCCAGGCCAAGGAGCGGAGTCCGCAGGCTCTCAAGCAGGCAGGGAGCCCGTGGAGATGTGCGCGGAGGTGAGAGGCCGAGCCTGCGTCCTGGCCTGGTCACTCAGGCGGCTGACCCCAGAGACAGCCACCGTGAGACTCCAAGCTGGCCGCAGGGGAGGTGGGCGTGGCCAGGGCGTCTGCTGAGGAGATGGGAGGCTGGGGCCCAGGAAGCTGTTGAGTGGCTCCCCCAGGTGCCCTCCTGCAAGGCCCACCGTCTCCATGCCTGCCTGCCTGCCTAGGAACTGAGGCCTGCCTGTCCTCTGCCTTGGCCAGTGGGCTTCTGGGCAGGGCCCAGCTTTGTTTCGTTGAACGCTGCAGTGCTCTGGTGAGCCAGTGAGCCCTTCCCAGGCCCTCCTTCAGCCCTCCCGGGTGGCCAAGGCCTCCATCGGCTGGGGTGTTCGTTCCTGGATGCTGGGGTCGTGTGGGCTGTGGATGGGGCAGCCAGGTGGGACTGCTCCTTCATTTGGCTGTTGGGAGTTTTCTTTCCCCATTTTCTGCCCAGCAAAAGCTTAGTTCCAGCTCCACCTCTCCTCTTCAAGGAGACGGCAGTGTCCCAGTGTCCAGCTGGGGACGACTGCCCTGTGGACTTATGCACCAGGGACAGGGGCTTCTGAAAGCTGCCAGGCAGCCCTGCTGCCGCCTCCCTCCCCCGCCGCACTTCAGCCTTGCCGTGCGGCCCAGTGGCCAGCAGAGGGCATGCTTGCCCCTCCTATCGCCTCCGTCCACCCTTTTTTGGTAATCGCGTAATTTCCTTTTTATGTGAAAGAAAGCAGATACCAAGTAATTTGCAGCAATAACCTGCTAATGCTGGGCCAGTATCGAAACTCCCCTGTTCATTTCAAGTGGCAGATAAAACGCTAATACATAATTATCCTTGCAAATTGGATTATTTTAAATAACCAAAAGGCTACGGCCAGGAGAAAGCGATCCCATCTCCCCTGAGTTACTATTGCAGCGTAATTGCCGCGTTCAATCAATTTCCCTGGCATTAGAAATTCCGTCACAATCAACATTAAGCTTTATTCATTGTGATGGCTAAGAGCCGGGCCATTTCTCCTCTTTTTCTTAACTGGCAAAATTAATCAGGGAAAAGATTTTAAACATTTACCCGTGCGAAAGAGGTCAGCCCTGCCACTATATTGCTCAGCAGATAAGGGGGCTAATAAAAAGAAAATTGAATTACTAATGATCACCAAGAACAGAGTATATAAAACCTGGCCATCGCCAGTTCAGGAAAAGGGAGAATCAATTTTCTTGGGACAAGGTGCGTTCATTTTTTATTTTGGCGCATATTATCAGCAATTTAATTTGAGAGGCATAAACAGGAGGAAACAGTTAGGGAATAATGAGCCTGGAGGTGTAAAGTGCCACAGGATATATGCTGTACACAATTTATTTGGCACAACAGATAATCGCTTTAATTGAATTCAAAAGTGCATTGTTCAGCAGCACTGTGGCCGCTCACGCCTGGGGACTGAGACTGTTTGGAAGGTTTCAGCCTGACTCTTCGGTGCCTCTCCTCCCCTCCCTGCCTCTCCCGGCCCTCCGAAGTCCTCTGGGCCTGGAGTCAGACCTCGGCTGGGGGCGGGGCAGGGGATTCCTGGGGGTCTCTTCCTCTGCTGTCAGTGTGCCCCTTGCCTTCCGTTTCTTCCTTCCCTTTTCTCCTGGGGATGGGTCTGTTGGCAGCTGGGGGATGAGGATGTGAGACACTGGCCGGGTGCCGAGGCTCATGCCTGGAATCCCAACACTTTGGGAGGCTGAGGCGGGTGATTACTTGAACCCAGGAGGTCAAGACCAGCCTGGGCAACGTGGCAAAACCCCATCTCTACAAAAAATGCGAGAATTAGCCGGGCATGGTGGCACACGCCTGTAGTCCCAGCTACTCGGGAGGCTGGGGTGAGAGGATTGCTTAGGTCTGGGAGGTTGAGGCTCTAGTGAGCCATGATCGCACCACTGCACTGCAACCTGGGTGACAGAATGAGACCCTGTCTCAAAAAAAAAAAAAAAAAAAAAGGAGATAGAAGACAGCCCCAGAAGGGTGGCCTGGGCGAGTAATGTTTGCTGGAGGCTGCAGTAGAGACCTGCCTGGGTTGATCTGTCTCTGGTGGACCGATGCTAGAGGGGGCATTTGGGCAGAAGAGAAGAAAACCTTTTTGGAGTCTGAAAAATGGTGTCCTGTTTGCCACTCACATAACTGTGGCAATCAGTGTTCTCGAGTACAGTGTTTACAGTACACACGGCTGAGCACTGTGGCCAGGCTCTCACTGTGGTGCGGGGGAAGTGGGGCCAGCTTCGTGGTACATCCTCCTGGGGCCCGTCGCTGTGCTCGGCCACCCTGAGATGACAGGCATGACTCCCTAAGCCTGGCCGGCCTGTGCAGAGGGATGCTGTCCAGGCTGTACACTCCAGGCCAGGCCAGGAGTGAGGGCCAGCTCTCCCACCCACCACCCTGTGCCCAGGCTGGGGAGCTTCTTGGTGGCGGGAGGTGATGGGATTCCTACCAGCCACATGGAAACGTCTGCTATTTTACGCCAGGGAAAAGTCATGGTAGGTGGGTAGGCAGTGGTGTCGTCATCTGCTGGAGTGGGAGGGCCCTCTCTGCTTCACCCACCCAGGATGGTGGATGCATGCCGGTGGCCTGCCCCCTTCCCCCGTGGCCTGGAATAAGCCCAGGGCCCTGCCTGGGAAGCAGCCGCCTTCCCAGACTTGTCGCCAGTGTGCTGGTGGAGGGTGCGGGCCTGGCAGGTCCTGGGCACACCTGTGGTGGACAGAAAGGGCCTGGCTTGCGTGGTGGTCTCGTGTGGACAACCAGGCTGGGTCGAGGCCTGCCGGCTGCCCAGGCTTTGACAGGAGCCAGGCCGGGCATCTGCCTCTGGCCCAGAGCTTGCTGTACACACGGAGGGCGATTCCTACCCGTCCCTCAGTCTGCCGTGCCCGCCCCTGGGTGTGGAGGAACTGCTGTCAGCATTTGCAGATGAGAAGTGGAGTCTCCACTCACCCCAGCTCACTGGCAGAAAGGGCAGGCGTGGGTCTTGGACCCACCTCTGGCTGGTGTCACTAGGTGCCAGGGCTGTCCTGCCTGGGTGACTCTTTTGGGGCCTGGATGCCCATTCCCCGAGTCCGAGTTTCTCTGAGGAAGTGCTTAGGGAGAGCCTGTGTGAGCTGTTGGCCCTCAGCCCCTCCCTGCCACCAGGTGGTCGTGGCTTCCCCCAGCCCCAGAGCAGGACCCAGGTGGGACCTGAGAGGCTGGGGTCCCTCAGGCACACGGCGCTCTCTGGATACTGGGTCTCACCCTCTAGCCCTGGTGAAGCCAAAGGCAGCCTCCCCAGAGCCCTGGCCGCCCGCCCAGTCCTGTGTGGGGTCTCCCCCCGACTGTGGTGCGACATTTCCTGGAACGCTGCCTCCTGACTTCTCGGTCTCAGAAGGGCCTGCCTTGACGGCTGTTCATGTGACCTCTCTGAGTCCTCAGAGGTCCCTGGGGCCCTCCTGTGTCCTTGGGTCCTCCCTGTGCACACGATCCTTTCTGTGTTGCCTCCCGGTGCCTTGGAGAGGGGGTGGTTTGCCACGCAGCCCTGGCATCAGAGGCCTGGGTGGATTCTGCACCCAGCCCGTGCTGTGGCTTTGCACTGTTTGGCCACAGATGCTTATGGGGGTGTCACTGAGCAGGCACCAGCTTGGGAGTGTGATGGCCCCCTACCCCTCTGTCCCTCTGTCCCCAGCGGCTTCTCCCGGTGACCAGCGCAGCCTGTGGATTCCAGTGCATGGGAAAAACCCAACCGCTTTCTCTCGACTGGCCCTGCCCCACCTCGAAGGCCCGGCTTGCTCCAACCAGGCCCAACCTCTGGCCAGGCCCGTCCCCCACCCTTAGGTGTGCACAGTTTGCTCCCCTCATTCGGGAGTCTGTGAGGTGGGCCGTGGTCCATTCTGCCAGGCCAGCTCCTCTAAGATCGCGTGCCAGCCACCCCGCCACCATGGGCATTCCTTCCTCCTGCCTCATGTTTTGTATTGCAGGAATTGCCGGCTTATTGTCCGTCCTGCCTGTTAAGAAGGTGCTGTGGGGAGCACCCTGGCCGCCCTGCGTGCACGTGAGCCTCAGGCTGCGGCAGCTCCTGGTGAGGGTGAGGCGCCCCCCCTCCCAGAGGACTGGACCTGGGCAGAAGGGAGGGCCTCGCTCCCTCAGGAGGCCCCATGGGCAGGCCATGGGCGGGAAGGTGGGGCAGTCACCATGCTTAGCGGGCAACCGAGGGGTGAGGGCCTGGCAGAGGGCTGCCCACCAGGAGGAAAAGCCACACAGGGCTCCCTGCCCTGACGCTGTCCTGCCCCTTTGAGATGTGCAGGCCGGTGGAGGTCGGCAGCAGCACTCAGAGGCTCAGTGAGCAAGTGGGCAGAGTGCCACCAGCCTCGATCCCCGGCCTCCAGCAGAGGGGCTGGTTTCTGTGCCATCCTCGCCGTAACCTCCTGTGCCAGGCTGCTGGGAGGCCTTTCTGAGCCTGGCGATCTCCCCGGGAGGCTGGCCGTGGATGGAATGTGAGGCATGGGTGGAGCCCTGACCTGCTGCACAGAGCCTGAGGATGGAAGCTTGACCGTGGAGGGTGTCTGTCGCTGCCTGGCCGAGGCGTGGCCGCTGGCCCCACAGCGCCTCGGCAGTGCCGCCTGGCTTCTGTTGTGAGTTGGCTGGGTCTGGGTCCCAGCCTTGTGGGGAGCTGGAGCGCTGTGGTCAGAAACAATATGGCTCCCCTGCCCTGCGCAGAGATGAGTGGCGGCCCCCGAGGAGGCAGGAGCACGCAGGGCCCGAGGTGCACCGCAGGGTGGTTGCCAGGGTGGGCTTGCTGTGTCTTGGCAGTGGGGGAGGGTGCCAGGGCCAGAGGGGCCGGAGACTCTCCCCTGGCCCCAGCGAGAGTGAGGAGCAGGCACCCTGTCCCATGCTGCTAGGTACTGGGGAGCAGCCCCATGTCCGGTGCTGGAGGCCTGGACCTTTGCCGGATGCAGGAGGCAGGGTTATGAGCCCCCAGGCGTGGTGTGGGCGTGGCCTGGCGGGAGACTTTGGCCCTGTCTGCCCGTTCTCCTTGCTGGTGCTCGGTGCCCTATCTGTGAATGGGGTCAGGAATGTTTGCTGTGGGGCTGAGCGGTGCCTTTGGGTGCTTTGGCCCGGTGTGATGTTCCTGCTGGGCTGTGCTGCTGGCCAGCATTGCCCACCTGGGAGGCTCTGCCTGGTGCCTCTGGGGTATGTGATCCACCATTGCTTGCTGTGTGCAGCTGGGCTGTTCAATTTTACTGCGGTGAACCCCGTGAAAGGGCATGAGAGCAGTTAGATCTGGAGTCCTGCTTTCATAAGGGAAAAAGAAAATGCTGAATTAGGCTTCAGGAAAGGCAGCCACAGCGATCTTTGAATCTTGCATAAATTATCAGGCATGCCGGCGGCCTCCAGTTTTGCGTGGGTTGTGGCTGTGCTAATTAATTACTTCACAGAACTGGCGTGGGATCGCGTGTGTGCCGTGGTGGTGCTGCACTGTGCTGTGGGTGCCAAGCTGAAGACCTGGGCTGCGCAGGCAGGGTGGCGTTCTCAGGAGAGCCAGAACTCATACCACCGTAGGACCCTGGGTCCCCACACTGGGGACAGCTTGGGCTGCTCCTTTTGTTGAATGGATTGAGGTAGTCCTCTTGTCCCTCTCTTCCCAGCCCAGGGCTGGCACATCCCCCCAGTCACGTGTCTTGGCAGACTTTGAATCAAGTGCAGGACACCTGTCCGAGAGCCTGGGTAGGTCCCTCACCCTGGTGGCCTCTCTCAGGAGTCCACCAGGCAGTGGGTGTTGGGGTGCAGGACACAGGCTCTGTCACCACCTGCTAACCCCCACCAGGCAGCCAGGGGCACGTTGCCAAGTGCTCGGGTGGCGGGTGGGCACGGCACAGGGCCGTCCCGATGGCCACCCCTGCTGGCCTGGTCCTCCTCCCACTCTGCCCGCCTGTCCTCTTCCTGTGCCGGCCTCTCAGGGGTCTATCTTCAGGCATGGCCAGCAGGGCTTGTGCTGCTTGCCTCCTGCTTGCCTCCTGGCGGTGTCTTTTCACCAGCTCTCGGTTCTCCCACCAAAGTAATGGGGGCATGGCTCTGCCAGCCTCAGCTGGCCTCCTGTTGAGGGACTGGGGAGTGGGTGTGGCTCTGGGCACTGAGGCGGCTTTCCAGCTGGGGACGAATGTGGCCTGCACCTTCTGGGATTTGGCCCCTTCTCTGCATGGGGTCAGGATGTTGCTGGGCCCCTGTTTAGTCCCCTGCTGGGGCTGTAGCCTTCTGTGCCCCATCTGCTGCCCGTAAGTGGCCCCTGCCAGCCTCCTCTGTCTCTCCACCTTGACCCTTGCCTGAGGGCCCCTGCTGTGGTCCCACAGGTGGGTCGTGGCAAAGCTGGGTGTGGTCAGAGTCCATGTGGACTTGGGCATCGTCTGGGAACCCCGTGATCCCCACTGGTTGTTTCCCCCTGCACCAAGTCCAATCGCGTGCTGGGCGGGGTCCTGATGGGAAGGAAGTCCTGGTTCCCTGAGGGGTCTCCTGCTCGGCACCAGCAGCAGGACTGGGAGAGGAAGCAGCCCCAGGCCAGTGTCTCCTGCCCGCAGGCACCTGGTCTTCCTGCCACTCATTCTCCAGAACTGGCCCTGCCCTTGCTCACTGGGCATCCGCTGAGCTCTGGGGCTATGTTGGGACTGTGACTGGTGGGCCAGCCTGGCGAGGCCCTGATGTCATGGGTGTGACTCTTGGTGGGAGGTGCTGGGCTCTTGCCTGATGGCAGACAGAGAATGTCCAGCCAGGGTCTCTCCAGGGTTCTCCCACTGGACCCCCACTGAAGTCAGTGCCCTCTGTGGCCCCACTGGGGCAGCAGCCTGCATCCTAGCGTGGGTTTTGGTGTAGCCCTGGGTGGACTTGAACTATGGTGGCTGTGGGGGTTCTCCAGGCCCCCCACATCGTCAGCACCAGTGCCAGCACCCTGGGCTCTGGGCCAGCCGCAGGCCGATGCCGCTGAAGCGGGGCCAGTGCCAGGCCCAGGCGGACGGCAGGCTTGGGGTTGTGTGGCAGGCGTGGCATCCAGCTGGGTGGGGAGGCCTCCTGGGAGAGTGGTGCAGAGGCACTGCCCGCCTCCATGGCCTGGCCCATTCCCTGTCCTCCTGTCCCATCCTGTCCCTCGGTACAGAACTGCTTCAGTGAATGGCCAGCTCTGGTCACTGCGTGGGTGCTGAGTGGCGGCATCCCAGCTGGTCAAACTGTGCTTCCTGTAGAGAGGTGCATGGGAAGGCATAGCAGGAAGACCAGGGCTGTCTGTGGCACCCTTGACTGGAGCCCCCTCTTTCCAGGGCTGAGTCCGGTGACCGCAGCCTCTGGTCCGTGTCCTCATGGGAGCAGGGCGACATGCAAGGAGCCCCCTCAGGATGGGCCCCAGGGACGCTCCTCTCTCGGCTCCCAGCTGAGACCTCTCCCTTTCGTGCTGTGGGGTCCCTTGGGTGGCTCTGCCTGGAAAGGGACACAGAGTCTCTGGGCTCAGCTGTTCTGGAAAGGGCTGGGCCATGTGTCCCTCTTCAGGGCTTCTAGATGGCCACAGGAATCCTGAAGAGGAGACCGCGCCCACGCCCGTGCCTGCACCACCTGCCACCCCTCAGGGCCCTCCTTTCTGGTCCCCTCGCCTGTGGCTCTCCGAGGCTGTGCTGACCCTGCTGTCAGGAGCTTTCACTCAGCAGGAGGCTGGTACTGTCACCAGCTCCTGGGGGAGCCTCAGGGCAGGCCGAGCGCTGCTGGGAGGTGCCACCCAGGCCAGGAGAAGCCAAGCAAGTGCCATGGCTGTGTCTGGGCTTGGCTGGAGATGGCGAGGTGCGACTCTGCCTGGCCTGGGCCTTGGGGCTCACGGAGAGAGTAGATGGCATTTCAAGGGAGGTGTGTGGCTAGATACGATGACCGTAAGTTTAGCAGCTTGCAGACATCAAGTGTCAAGTTAGCTGTTGGTTTGCTCGAGTGTGTATTACAGAGCCCTGGTCTCGGAGATCAGCCCTGGGGCCCCAAGCTCCCTTCTGGTGCCTTTGATCCAGGGGCTGGTACATGTGCCAGCTTCTGCCACTGGTTGGTCTGCACAGCGTGGACACAGAGCATGGGCTTGGGGCAGAGCGTGGCTGGCAGGTGCCCTGCTGTGGGGTCTTGTGGGCAGAAGCATCAGCTGCCCTCCCTATTCCTCTTGTTCCCCCGGGGAGCTGAAGGCCAGGGCCACACGGCCACCAGTGCAGCGCAGCGCAGCTCACTCCCCTTTGCCTCGAAGGTGCTGCCCAGTGCAGGTGTCAGGTGTGTGCCTGAAGCTCACAGGGGCCAGTCTCCTCCCCAAGGGCCAGGGGCCAGCTGCTGTTGGCCGCTTCCTTGACCCACCTCTGTGCGACTTGCCTGCTGCTAGCGTGATGGGCTGGGGGCCTGGCTCTGAGGCTGCGGCCTCTTGGCCCAGCTGGGGTTTCTTTGAGGCCGACCAGCTGGCGGTGAGCTCTTGGCCCCTCGGCCGGGTGTGTCTGACCAGCACAGTCAGGCATGAAGTACTGAGGCTGTCCTGCGCTTCCAGTGGCTTGGCTCCTAGCAGAGCATGGCACATGTCAGGGCCCTGGGAACCTTAGCCCAGACTCCCAGGGAGCTCTCCCCTAGGGCCTGGTGTCATAGACTGTTTGGCTTCAGTAACTGTGGACTCTGGGACTGTGTCCCCACCTGCTGGAGTTGTGGGGAGGACTGAGGGAGTGGGGCTCAGAGCCCACCACGATCTGCTCTGTGCCGGCCATGTTGCTCCAGGGCCCATCCTGAAACAGGCTGTGGGCACTGCAGGGGCACTGTGCCCGGTGTCTCTCCCAGGCACACTTGCCCCTCCTGCCCATTAGGGGCTGGGGAGGCTGCCCGGGAGAGACGGGGCCACCTGGGAACACGGACTTCTGTTCCAGGCTTGCGCCCTCCCCCGCTGGCTAGCTGTGTCTGGGAGACTCCTGGCATCCAGGCTGCCCCGGGGGCTTGGCTGGCCTTGGGTGCTCAGACATGGCCCTGTGGGGCCTGTAGTGAGGCCCCGTCCTTCACCCGCCCCCAGCCCATGCCAGCTTGCTCTCCATCATCCTGCGGCCCCGCTCTGACTCAGTTGGCCCTGGAGCGTTGTGCTGCGTCTCAGTGTGCTCTGGCTCTAGCAGGTCAGCGGTGGGAGGCAGCAGCTCTTCTCTTGCTGATTGCCCTCTCCGTTATCTCGGGGTGATTCAGGGGTGGGGAGCCTGCGGAGAATGCACTCCTGGTGGCGTGAAGCCTGGCGGTGGCCACTTCCCTAGAATGCAGCAGAGGGTCTGCCTGCCCAAGCTGGATGAGGACAGGGGTCCTCAAACGGATGTCCTGGAATTCTGAGCTGTGGTCTCCTACTGCCTCTGGGAGCTCACCAAGCTGGTGCCTGAGGGATGGTGGCAGTTGTCCTGAGGTGGCTTCCGTCTGTAGGGCCACATGGAGCTTGCAGCGGGGAGTGTCTTCCAAGATGGCTGCAAACACCACCCTCCCTGAGATCACCTTCCAGACAGGGCACCGGGAAAACATGAACTGCAGGGGCGTCGCGGCAGCATTCTGAAGCTGCCTGCTCTTGTGGGACCCCCATCTGGCTCTGAGCCGCTGGCGCTGCAGGTGAGCTTGGTTTCATCGTGCGTCTGTCTTTGCTATAGCCCCTGGGGACGTGGAGCAAGCCTGGAGGGTTGTGTGCAGTGGGAGGTGTGGGGGCCAGGTGGTCCAGCCAGGGTCTGCCCACCAGAGTGCTGGTTGACGAGGGAGTAGTGGCCAGCACTGCTGAAAGCAGGAGGAGGTAAAGCACCTCTTCCAGGGAGAAGAGGCCCAGTCTGGGGCACCTCTGGGCAGGGCTTGTGGCAGATTGCCCCGTCACTAGCCCCTGACCCTGAGGGGCCCTGGACTATCAGGATGAGGGGGCTCAGGTTCTGTGTATGTGAAGGGCTAGGCTGGATGGCTCCAAGTCACCCAGGACAGGACTCTTGCTGAAATCAAAGGGCAATATATATATATATTTTTTTGAGACAGGGTCTTGCTCTGTCACCAAGGCTGGAGTGCAGGGGCGCCATCTCACTGTAATCTCTGCCTCCCAGGCTCAAGTGATCCTCCCAGCTTAGCCTCCCAAGTATCTGGGACTACAGGTGTGCGCCACCACACCTGGCTAATTTTTGTATTTCTTTTTTTTGTAGAGACAGGGTCTCACCATGTTGCCCAAGCTGGTCTCCGATTCCTGGGCTCAGGCGATCTGCTTAACTTGGCCTTCCAAAGTGCTGGGATTCCAGGCGTGAGCCACTGCACCCAGCCCAATATATTTGTGTGTGTGTGTTTTTTTTTAAGACAGAGAGTCTTGCTCTCTTCCCTAGGCTGGAGTGTGCAGCGGCACAGTCTTGGCTCACTGCAACCTCGACCTCCTGGGTTCAAGAGATTCTCCCACCTCAGCCTCCCCAGTAGCTGGGATTACAGGCTCACGCCATCACATCCGGCTAATTTTTATGTTTTTGGTAGAGATGGGGTTTCACCATGTTGGCCAAGCTCGTCTCGAACTCCTGACCTCAGGTAATCCTCCGGCCTTGGCCTCGCAAAGTGCTGGGATTACAGGCGTGAGCCACTGTGCCTGGCTTCCAATACATTTTTAATGAGGCAAAGGAAATAGGCCTGTAGTGAGGTCAGGGAGTCTTCTGTGCTGTGAGGTGCTGTGGCCCACAGGGTTGTGTGTGGCCCATGTAAAGGCCTGTGAGGAGCAGCATGACGTTTGCAGTGAGCCAGGCTCTGATGAGGCCACAGGTCATCAGTTCTGTTTCGGGGTGAACTTGGATCCCTAGGGAAGGCCGACAGAGGACCAGGCGTCAGGGGGCTCAGCACTGGGCCACACGCTTACAGGGTGACCAGCAGCAGAGGGACCCCAGAGACACACCTGGGTGGACACACCCCTTCTAGTCTGACCCTTCCATAGAGGGCACTTTGCGGGTATCCCCTGAGCCCCCAGCAGGGAGGACTCCCATGGCAGCCGTGCCCACTGATGCTGGCTCTCCTTTCAATATGGGAGCCGCCTCTGTGGCCAGAGGCTGGGGCTGCATTGTTGGGATGGTGGGGTGGAGAACAGAAAAACCCTCCCTCCTGTTCCAGCACCCCTGAAAGATGCATGTGTGCTCAATTTACGTTCTTCCTGGGGACCCCTTCTGGGGGCCCCAGACTCTGAGAGCCCCAGGCAGGTGCACTGGTGGGGGAGGGGCTGAGTCCTGGCCTCACGGCTGTGGGGTGGTGAGAATGAAGTAAGGCGGTGCGGGGAGGCTGCTTGGATAGGGCTGGCCTCCCAGGAAGTCCTCCATGCCTGTCCCACCTCCTGCCTGCCCCGGTGGGTGCCTCTGGAGGGTTGCAGGCGTGGCTTGTTTCTGGGCCCTTTGAAAACACAAGTAGCAGATGCCCCATGTGCAGGAGGCCCGGAGCTGCTCCAGCCTGGGCTTCCTGCCCACACCCAGTCCTCCCGGCCTGCTGGGAGCTCCCCAGAGGCAGACATAGTGCTGGGGGCAGGGGCTGCCCATGGGGCACCAGGACTTGAGGAGCCCTCAAGACCTGGGAGGGGGTACCAGTGGGTGGAGTGTGGGGTCAGTCCCTTCAGACTTTCGAGGCTCCACCCACATATCACCACCTTCACGGCCTGGATCTTGGTGTGCTCGGTAGCCCTGTGACCTCGGGCCAGTGCCCCCACCCGCGCCTCTGCCCTGTGTCTCCAGCCTCCTTGCCTCGTCTCGTTGGCAAGGCCTCTTGGGAGGAGCCAGGCTGCCCCTGGGGTGGCCGTGGTTTTCTTGTTGAGAACCCTCTGGGCTGGGCAGGGGCTGTGGCGGGGCCGGGCCTGCCCCTCCCAGGGTCTGTTTCACTGCCCCAGGCCAGCTGTTTGCAGCTGAGAGCCCTGTGGGCCGGGCGGGCCGTCTACCTGTGTGGCTGTGAGTGTGTGTGGGAAACTTGCTGCTATGAAGCCTGATCCCCTCTCTGGGTATACGGGCCAGAAACCCAGCCATGGAGGGTGCTGCTGGGCAGAGCACCAGCCAACGAGGCAGGGAGGGGGCAGCTCCTGGCCTAGCTCCTGGGCAGGGGTGGGCCCTAGTGGGCACCGTGAGCTGCCTGTCAGTGGGAAATCAGATGTTCTGTCCCATGGGGCAGAAGGACACTGTGAGATTCAGCCCCACAGCCCTGTTAGCGGGGCAGTGCTGGCCAGCTGGGATCTGGGGTGTCTCGAGGTGGACGCTCACAAAACGTGGAAAGGCCTAGAACCTTGTGGCAAATGGAAACGGCTCAGCCTGGGCTCTGCCTGAGGATTGGAGGACGCAAAACTTGGCTCCAGCCAGAAGCTTACAAGGCTGGGTGATCTCGGGGTGTCTGGGTGGGCCCGGCTGAAACCAGCACCCTGCGGTACATCTCTGACCTGCACCCCGGTGCTTCCCAGCCGGTTCCCACTGCGTGGGCCTGGGAGGACGAAGCAGCACCAGGGCTGTGTGGGGGCGCAGGGTGGGCAGCTGGCCATCGGCTCCACCACCCCCAGGCTTTCCTGGTGGCCTCCAGCTGCCCCCTCACCGCATGCAGGGCTGGAGTGGCCCCGGAAGGGTGCTCTTACTTCCTCCCAAGTCGGGGTCCAGCAGGGGAGCCTGCCCCCAACCTGCCCTCTCCCGGGAGACATCAGTCCCCTGCTGAAGAGCTCTCAGCCTCTTCTTTGTTCTGTTGAGGGGGAGACCCCACCTGCCTCTTTCTCATGGTGGCCCCTAGGCAGCATTTTCATGATGCTGGCCATGCATCCAGGGCTGGGGCTGCCCTGCAGAGCTCTGGGCACCCCCACCGCTCCTGCCTTCTGCCAGGGCCCCTCCTTGAGCCCCGAAGAAGCCCACCCAGTTCCATTGTGCCTTCGTGTGGGAAGGAGGTGGGTGGGGCGAGCAGTGCTGTTCCAGTCCTGCCAGGCCTGGGGGGCGGCCCTAGGCAGGCTGGGGGGTGGTTTGCGTCTGTTGGGATGGCATGGGGCTGGCGCAGCTCCCCTGTGGCACCGTCGGGCTCAGAGGTGCTGGGCCGTGGCTTCCCACAGGGCAGGGCACCTCTGGGACTGCGGGGGTGTCCTGCGTCCCCTGCAGTGCAGCCTTTGGGCCCGTGATGAGTCCTGTGCATGGATGGAGTGGTGGCCTTGGCTGCCCTGGGGTCTGGTCAGGCTGTTGTCCCCAGGTGGCCTGAACGTGGGGCCTGCGGCTGTGAAAGGTGAGGCGGGCCGCTTGCCCCGTGCTGCTGTGTGGGCCGCTGTGGCGCATGTGCACGCACACAGCACGGCACGCTCGCCTGTCCTTCCCACGGGTGCCAGTGTGAGCACACGTGAACACTGGTCAGATCCTGCCTGCCGCTTGGGGCTTGCCTCCGGGCAGCCTGAGCCTCCGTTTCTGCGGCTGTGATGTGGGGTGCTCAGGCCTGGGGTAACGAGGAATGCAAGGCTTACTCATTTTTAACCTTTGCGCTTTCAAGACACATGAGCTCATCTTACCGAAAGATGAGCTCCCAACCCCAGGTCCCTCCCATTGCACTATGGTCTGGGGCCCTGAAGGCCAGGGCTGGCACTGGCCCCGGTGGTTCTCACCCACCCTTCCCTGTGTTGGCCCCGAAGGCTGGAGCCCCAGGGCATTGGCCAGGAGTCTAGTTAGGGGGAATGGAGCTGGTAGGGGGCCTGTCTGCAGCCTGCCTCCCCAGCTCCTACCCTGACCCGAATGCTGGGCCACTGCCTGCCTGGCCCTGTGCCCCACTGCCCCCAGTCAGCCGTCAGCACACTCGCTGCTACCCCTCTCCTCCCCTCCTTCAGAGGCCGGTGAGTCACCTTCCTGGGGAGGCCGGCGTAGTGCTCGCTGCACCCTGGCCTGGCCTTAGCCCCCATAGGGTCCCTCGCTCACTGTGCACTGGGGATGCATCACCGGGAGGCAGGCATTGCTGCTGGGGCTGCACCCCGTGCTTGGGGATGGAGGATCCAGAGGAGAGGGGATGGGCTTCCCTCAAAGGCAATGGGCTGCCTGCCGGGCTGGTGCCACCCCGGTCAAGGCCAGGGGAGCCTCTGTCCCTTGCCCCTGTGGCTCCCGTTGGGTGGGCTGAGGGCAGGGATTCCTTTGCTGCCTTCTCAGGGTCCCCAGTTGCACGTTTGTATGTGCCAGAGGGAGCACAAGCGGTCGGGCCAGTGTCCCTGAGACTGCGATTGTGGCTCCCACGTGCCATCTCCAGCTTTGGTGGGCCTGGCCCCGGTGCTGTGGCTGCCAAGACCAGCCCTGGAGGAGGCCCTCAGGGCACACCTGGTGCCTGGCATCCACGACCTCCCCTCTGCGGCCTGCCCACTGTCCCGCAGTCACAGGAAAGGCCAGGAGTGGCCCAGAGGAGAGCGGCATGTGGCCGGGGAGTCCTGGCAGCCTGCGGTTTCTGTCTGAGCGGGACACGTCGTTTCTCTCAGGGGCCGCTGCTTTCTGTGGAGGGTGTTGCCAGGACTCTCTCCAAAGAGTCTTTCTTGGGCTATGCTCAGAGGAAGCAGAAGAGGATTCCTGAGAGAAGGCCGTGCCACATGGCGGAGCTGGGTCTCCGTGCCGCCCGGCAGCCAGTTGGCCCCAGATCTGTTCCACTGACCTTGGGATCCAGCCAGGCCCAGCCATGTGAAGGTCAGGGGTGGGCTGGGAGGGAAGGGCCTCGGGCTCCCTGGGTTAGGCTGAGGCCGTTTCCAGCCTGGACTGCCCAGTGGAATCACCTGGGTCCCCCCAGACAGGAGCCTGACTCTGCGCTAGGCCATCCTGGCCCTGGAGCTGCCTGCTGGCCCACAGCGCCAGCCCCTCCTGCAGCACCAGGGCCATGGCGCTCATGCAGAAGGGCTGGGGGCCCTGTGGACCAGGAGACCTGAGGCTGTGCTGAGTGGCCGCCTCTAGGTCCTGTACCCTGAGACGTGGTGGCCAGGGCCTCGGGGCTTGGCCGTGCCTCACTCAGAGCCTGGAGCTGCTGTCCTGGCCCCGAGCAGGTCTGTCCTCTGGGGGCTGCTCTTCCGCCCTCGAGTATCTGAGTGCTCCCAGTAACTGTGTGTGCAGGTGGGGCAGGGAGCACAGGTGGGCCTGGAGATTCGGGGAGGGAGCTCAGGTGCGGGGCAGGCAGGAGCGGGGGGTCAAAGCAGAGACAAGGTGAAGAGGCGTTCTCAATCCGGCAGAGCTCCCAGCCCTGGGAAGGGCCCGTCCCAGGTGCCTCTTATGGCCAGACTGGGAGCAGGTGAGCCGCAGGCCTGGGGTTCTGAACACACAGGCTGGCTGGGGCTGCAGGCCAGTGGGGAGAGCTTGGGAGACGTCGTTCACAGAGCACGTGCCCTGGGCCCCAGTGCCCTTCTTTGTGAAGTGGGGACCGAGGCTGGGTGCACGCTTGGCCACACACACACCTGGCCAGGCCCAAGCCCAGCTGTCCTTCGCTGCAGCCTGCATGCCCCGAGCCTACCCCACCTGCTTGGAGCGCGGCCTGGGGTACAGGCCCAACTTGGTCCGGTTTCCTCCTGCTCCTCTGCACCCCTGCCCAAGGCCTGTGTTCACCCTTTTTGGGAACCCCCTTAGCTGCCTGCTGCACTGTCTTCTCCAGCCGTGGAGGGCAGGGAGGCCCCCTCCCTTCCCCTGCACCTGAGGCTGGGTAGAGCCGTGGGGAAGAGGGGAGGAAGCCCCACTCTCCATAATCTATAGCAACTGTCACGGAGCAAACTATTCCCATTTCATACAGACGGGTCAGGTGTCGGCGTGCGATCGATGGCTCGCGCACAATAATTAACGGGAACTAGCAGCTTGTGTTGCTTGAGTGACTTTAAGAAGAGTAGGGTCTCAATCTTCCCTTTAATAGGGCTCTGACAGTCCGCGGCAGCGGCTTCGGTGGTGCTGCGTCTCCAGCTGACAGTGTTGTCATTAAACACCAGGTAGTGTGGAACAACAGAGAGCACGGATCCCACACGGGGGGGACAGGGCGGCTGACAGCGGTCATTTGTCATCACTGAGCTGCCCAAACTCCTCAGACTGCACTGCGGATGGCTGCTTAGGGTGACTTATGGCCCTGTCGGGCTGCCGTTGTGATTTGATAATCCGTAAATGTTTGTCAAAGATGAATCCCCGGATCCCACGGGGCTGCGTCCCAGGGACGCGAGGCCAGGACATGAAAGCTGAGGGGCCATCCTCTCATGTGGCTGGCCACGTGCTGCACCCACCTGGGGAGGTGCTGGGGCCCAGCCTCCCAGGCAGTCCTGGCAGGGCTCCCAGGAGGGGCCGGATGCACCTGCTCCTCCTGTCTCGGGGCTGGGGTCCTCTGCAGTCTCTGTTGTGGGGTGAGCATGTGCATGAGAGTGAGTGTGTGTGTGTATGTGTGTGTGTGTGTGTGTGTGTGTGTGTGTGTGTGTGTGTGATTGCAAAGTTTCCTTTCGCGCTGACGAGGCTTTGAGGCAAGTTTTTCTGCCAATGTGGGATTCTGGCAGGGAGGGCCTAATGGGGGCAGCGAGCAGGTCTCTGCTCTCCACCCTGCGGAGCAGCCTCAGGGCGTGGGGCCAGAGGGTTCGAGGGTGCCCAGGAGGGCCCCAGCGGCCCCGTGGCCCTGCTCCTGGCCACCACCACATACAGGGGCTCCTTCCCTCTGTCTGCAGCGTTTGAGGTCCTGGGAGCCATCACATACAAGAAAAGTGGAGTGATTTATTAGACTCATAAAAATTCATACTTTGTGGTTCCAGTCATCCCACATCTGAGGCTTGTTAGAGTGCGGTCCTGGCAGCTCCTGCCGCGCCAGCGTAGGGGCGGGGCACTCACCAGCCGCCCCCTGCCTCGGTTGCCATTGCGGCTCATTTAGAGAAATGGACGGGCCTGAAGCACACCCAGCCACTCAAGGGGAGGGCCAGCAGGGGCGGAGGGCCCAGCCACGTCAGCAGCACACTCCCTGCACCTGCAGGGCCTGGGCTGGAAGCGGCAGGGCTGGCTAGATGCTAGGGTGCTGAGTGTGGGTAACCCCTGGGGCTGGCTCCAGGTGGGCAGTGAGCCTGTGCCAGCACAGCCAGGGGTCTGCCCACATAGATGGTGGTCCGGGTGCACAGGTAGAGGCGGCCGGTGTGTCCAGTCTCCATCCCTTCCAAAGGCACCTGCGAAGGCTCCTTGGCCCAGCCCCTGCCTGGCCCAGCTGTGCCATCTGTGGGCATCGTGGGCTGGTGTCTTCCTCTAGGCCTTGGCCACATTCCCACCTGTGGGCTGAGGGGCCGAGGTGCCCTCAGCTGATGTGGCTGGCATTGTGGGTTCTGTGTGGTGGCCAGGAGGGGCAGAGGTGCCTTCCTTCTCGTGATGGGGACGTTCTGCCTGAGCTGGCCAGAATCAGGCAGGAGCCCTACCCGAATCTTTCCCTCCAAACAGTGGAGGGGCCTGGGAGGCCCGTTCGTGGGGAGAGCCTGAGCCTCCCGTGGTGCCCACTATGATTCCACTTTTCCGCACAACTGCAGGGTCCCCACAGCCTGCCAGTGCCGTCTGCCGGAAGCTGATGTCACGCATGACTGGCCCGGTTTGTGTGCTCATCAGTACTAATCACTGCAGCCCCTCGCTGCGCCCCAGGGGCCCTGCCGATGACCTGCCTGGCTGGCATGATGGAGGGCCGAGGCGTTGCAGCGGGGGGAGTGCGTATGCGCCACAGGCTGGCTCCATCCTGCCCTGCTCGGTGTCTAGATGAGAAAAGCAGCTGGGAACTGCCCATGTGTGGTCGGGGAAGAGAAAAGCAGAGGCTGGGCTTCCGGATCGGGGAGCGAGGCGGGAGCCCCATGGCAGGCCTGGGCCCCAGGGACTGACCCTCATGTTTCTCGGAACCCAGCAGTAAGGACTGGTGAATCCAGACGGTGGGTGCAAGGCATGGCACGCTCCCTGAGCTCCCAGCATTCACGGGAGGGGTGTGTGTCTGCAGGATGGTGGGGGCACTGGCCGGGCACAGGCCTTGTCCTGCAGGAGCAGACACCCAGGACCACAGCAGATGCGGCGGCCGGGCCTAGCCGCACATGGGCCTGACAGGGAGGGGACTGAGGAGGGCAGAGAGAAGAAACAGACAAAGAACCAAGGAGGCTTTCCTGTCCTGCCTCGGAGAGTGGCCTTGGAGCGTGGCCATGCAGCCCCTCACTGCACCAGGTGTCAGTAGAAACGAGGCTGTTGGTCCTGCAGATGGGTGCCCGCAGGTGAACGTCCAGGCGGTGAGCCCAGCTCCTGGGCTGGGCTGCATTTGAACTGCATGGCCTGGCTCTGCGTGAAACTCGAGGGCCTGAGGGGGCGCGAGAGCAGGGTACAGGTTTGTGGGGTGAGCAACCCGGCCCCGTCCTGGCTGCTAGGGGCGAGAGCCACAGGATCGGGAATGACCATGCACGTGTGCTCACGCCTGTGTGCATGCCCACCGCCCACCGTGTGCATGTCAGTCTCTGCGTGTGCTCCTGAGTGCACTTGTGTGTCCTGGCAGGATCATGTTTGCTGTGTGGTAACACCGAGTGGACGCTGGGAGGCAGGCCCTGGGTGGGCCAATGGCTCCAGGCCAGCTCCACTGTGGATGCTGCAGACACTGGGGAGACCAGGGCCCGAGCCAGGATGGGGCCTGCGGTGGCAGCCCGGGTGGGAGTGGTGGGGACACACGGCCTGAGGCTCCTGGGAGAGAGGGCAGTCTCCTGTGGACCTCACGGTGGCACTTGAGGGCCAGAGACCTCCTGTTTGACCTCACTGCCCCCTGCACATGGTGGACCTCGGGGAAGCCGCTCCTGATGGCCCCTGGGGTCTGCCTACCCCTTCTTGGAGGCCAGAGCCCATGTCACCCCCAGTGTAGCCTTGGCCTCGCCACCTTCAGGACCTAGCGTGTGGAAGTGCCAGGGGTGAGCACCAGGCTACCAAGGTGGCGACTCTGTGTGGCCCCAGGGGACAACTCAGACTGGGCCGACTTCAGAAAGGGGCTGGTGGAGGGGCCCTTGTTGTGCAGCCCTGGCGAGCTACACTGGTCGGGGGCCAAGCTGGATTTCAGCTGCTCCATAGCCCTTCACCTTGGCTGGGCCACCCTGTCCACCCCCACCAGCCTCAGCAAAGGCTGTGAGGAGCTGCCAGGCCCAGGTGCCTTCCAGGAGGTGCCTCGGACTAGGCCTGGCTATGCAGGGAAGGGCATCTGTGCTCACAATGGGCAGAGCCTCCTGTCCCAGGAACAGCGAGAGCTGTTGCCTGAGCTGCCTTCAACGAGAGACAGTTCTGCGGACGCTGCCTCTGACTGGCTGCAGTAGCAGGCGCTGTACCCCAAGCAGGCCCGGGGGTCTGCGCCCCGCTCAGACATATGTCACGGTCTGAAATGCAAGAGCCCAGGGCTCTCGGGAACATGGGCCACATGCTCTGTTGGAGTTTTCATGGCTGTTTCTCCAAGAGCGCCATCAGCCACTGTCAGGGACGCTGCCTGACGGGACTCCTTGTGCCTGAGAGTCTCCAGCGTGGGGCCTGGTGTTGGGTGTGCAGCAGCCTTGGTGGGGGCAGGATCACCTGCGAGCTGCAGGAGAGGAGATGGGGACTCTGGGCTCACCTGCCTTGTCGGCTGGTCTGGAACTTGCCTGCCTCGTTCCCTGGGGCTCCCCCTGCTCCCCTGCCTTTGCCCCTCAGCAGTCTCCTAGCCAAGCTGGGAGGGGTGGGGGTGTGAGGGGCCTTTGAGCTGGACCTGCAGGGAAGGTGGGGCCTGCGCTTGGCAGGTGCTTCCTGAGGGCGGCATGGTCCCAGAGGCTGTGGAGCCAGCTGAGGCCGTGGGTGTGAGCATGGTGCCAGCCATGCAGCAGCACAGGGCGGGTCTGGCCCTGACTCCCAGTGCCCCCAGCTCTCCTCCCACGCCCCCCGCCCCGACTTCCCCACAGCGCCTGGGCACCCCCTGCCCAGGCTGTCCCCGCCTCTTGCAGCCCCGACTCCTCTGGCGCTGGGCCTATGCCCTGCTCTCTCCTCTCTCAGGAACCCCAGGCTCTGCTCCTTCCAGGCAGGCTCGGCTCTCCTGGAGGGGCACTTCCCGGGGTCCTGCCCGCTGCGTGTACCTCCCCGCGCCACTGAGCACTCTCAGTTGTAATCACAGCTCTAATTAGGCGATTAATCGTGGGAACTCTGCTCTGTGGGAGGAGACGTTGCCTCGTCCCTGGCGCCCTCTTGCGGCTGTGGGGCTGAAGGTGCAACCCCCTGAGCTCTGGGGTGGTCAGGCAGTGCCGGAGGAAGAGGCCCAGCCAGTGAGTGGGGCGGGGAGTGTGACTGGAGCTGTGTCCGGGGGCCGGGTGAACTCAGGTTTCTGGGGATGGCACAGGGCCTCCTGCCCTCTCTTTAGGCCGTGTCCTGCTTGCCTGTGGGGCATTCACGGCCGTACTGGAAGGTGCCATCCCCAGTCGGTGCTGCTGCCCGGCCCCTCCTGCCTCGTGCTCAGGGCACCGGGGCCAGAGACCTGGGCTGGCACAGAGTTGGCACCGCCTCAGAAACTGCAAGAGGACTGGAAAGACACAGAAACGGGTCACAGACACCAGGAAAAGTAGGTTTGCAGGCGTGCAAGCTGCCGTTAGTCAGAGAAGGACATAGGCAGTGTGGAGATGGTGAGGTGCCAGGGCAGCTGTTGATAAAAAGCAGATCAGGCAGTGTACAAAGAAGGTGGAATCTTCAGGAATTAGGGATGGGGGGCCTGACTGGCCGGAATGCCCTCAGCCCACAGCCCACAGCCATCCGTCACCCTGGGCAGCGCTGCAGTGGCCCCGGGGGCTGCACCTGGACTAGCCCCTTCCCTGCTCGCTCTCCTTGCATGCAGGGTCTGGGCTGCCCCAGGCCTGTTCTGTGGGTCTGGCCCATCCTGGCCGCTCGCTGCTGTCACTTCTCCCGGGAACATGGTGTGGTGCAAGGTGTCTGTCAGGCAAGTCAACATCATCCCTTCGTGGGCCCCACGCCGTCCTGTCTGCTGCTGTGGGGGTGGCTGTGGCTGATTCCAGCAAATTCCGTGCCAGTCTTGGCCTCCTGCTCAGCTCTCCCCGCTCCCCAGCTGGGATGAAGCCTGCGGAGGCTTGGGGAAGGGGCTTCTAGAACCAGGGTATTTTCTCGGGCTGGCAGCCCAGCAGTGACAGTTTTGCTGTCTTTGCGCTGGGCCCGTCTGCACCAGGGCCCACTCTCGTGCCTGCTATTTCTGGAGGCCCTGGTGCTCCCATCTCTGTAGCCCACTGTGCATAAGGCCCAGGGGCTGGTGGATGCTGGCCTGGGGCACGGTCAGAGGCCTTCTGGGTCTCCACCTCAGTTGATGGGCGAGACCCTCCCTGATGGACCCTCCCATCAGCAGGCTGGGAGCTGGACAGATAGCTGGACAGCTCCCCAGGATACTCACCTTGGCCCTGGTGGGCTGGACAGTGAAGTGGTGGAGCAGCCTTCTCTCCTGCTTGGCAGCCTCAGACAGTTCTTTGCACAGAGTAGTAATTCTAGTTTCATCTTCTTATTCATTAACCAATTGTGAAATTAGCAACTTATTTTCTTCCTAGTTATTTCCCTTTGAAGTTCCATAAAAATCTGAACTCTCCCTCACTCCTGCTCCACATAAAACAGAGCAAGGCTGCGACCCCCATCTGATCAGACCAGCCATCTGTGTTGGAATTGTCCGAGGAGAGTGAGCCGGGTGGGCAGGGCCAGGCTCTGCAGGACTCCTGGACCCCTGATGGCCGGGCCCAGCCTCAGCGGCCGCCCTCCTGATGATGCGTCATTGGGCATGTGGTGCTTGGTACACAGCAGGGCTCTCGAGGTGCCTGAGGGCTGTCCCACCTGGTCCCCGGCCTGAGGGCATGGTGCCGTGTGCAAGAGCTCAAACCCTGCTGATGGATGGGCTCATATCTCATTCACATATGATGCCAGCAGTTTCTTTGTAGTTTGTCTTCCATTGCGGTAGTAAAGTTTTTAATTAGGAAAGCTAATGAGATCGATTAGTCATTAGAAGTGACCTCTTGATGGCGGGCAGAGAGGGCTGCGTGTGTGGGGCTGATAACGCGGGCCGGGGCATCGCCGGCAATAAAGGCGCAAGGGGTTTGATGTGCGCGGAGTGTGCCACGGGAATGCATCACGTGGAGAAAAAAAATTACAGCCCTGGGAGTCTGTAATGAGGGGAATTAAACCAACATCCTATCTAAATAACACGATTATCTACACAAACCCCAGCCAGCCAGGAGGGATGGGCGCCTGGGCCTGTGTCCTCAGGGAGGAGGGCAGAGGCCTGTTTCTGCCTGGGTCCTTCTTGGCTACAGAGCAGCGTCCTGCAGCCTCCCAAGCCTTGCCACCTGCCCACGCCATCGCTGCACACCCTGGGGAACAGGGCCAGGGAGGGACCCTTCCTTCCTGCAGCCTGACTTTCTGGGTCCGTGTGCCATGCATGGTCTTAGGAGCCCTTGCTCCTGCCAGTCGCTGGGTGCCCAGCTCAGAATTCATCTGCTACTACCCATCTGTCCGGCTGTGCCCTGCTCATCCTGGGTTGTCATGAGCTTGTCCGAGCTGCCCATCTGGGAATGACAGGGACTGCCCATGGTCTGCAGGGCCAGGCCGTGGGGGACACGACCCTGCTGTGGGGGTGGGTTGCAGGCTGGAGCCCAGCTTGGGCCCACACTAGCTGCCACCTTGTCACTGTGAGCCCCTTGAAGTGCCCCCAGTCTGGTAGGGACTGTAGGAGAGGGGTCTATCTAGGTGACGTGCAGAATATACCTGCCCAGCCTGAGTGGGCTGTGACAAGAGGCTGGCGCTGCGTTATTACCGTGTGGTTTTCAGGAGTGACACTTGGGCACTAAGAAGTAACACGCAGTAAGGCAAAGAAGCCTGACCTGACCACTGCCAGCACTGCGCAGGAGTGTGATCATGGTGCCGCCGCCCGCCAGGCCCTGCCTGCCCCAAGCTGCCCCTCCTGGGCAGAAGTGTTCTAGAATGCAGAGTCCAGTCCTGTGTGCAGTCGGGGCTGGGAATTCCTAGAGGACTTGGCATGTGCTGGACCTGGGAGGGAGGGCGAGCTCTGGTTCCCAAGGTTAGAAGTGATTTTAGCCGAAGGGAGGCTGTGCATTTGGCGACGGGAATGGAGCTGGGCCAGGTCTGGGGGCTCCTGTACTTAGAATTTGGGGAAAGAGGTTGATGGGGAGGGGAACATGAACCCCCGGGGCCCGAGGGTGGCCCAGTGTCCCGAGTGTGGCCCAGTGTCCCTCCTGCCTTGCTTGGCCCCACCTGGCCTCTGAGCAGGACTGTACCCTAGCTTTGTCATGCTGTGGCTCCAAGGGGCCAGCATCGCCCCAGGCTCTGCGTCCCAGAGCAGCAGGCATTGGGCGGCCTGGGAGGCTTGTGGGAAGCCATGGTGGGAAGCAGGCTGCAGGCTGGCAAGTGGGCCATTTGGGCACTCTGGGGTTGGGGGTGGGCTGGTGGCAGCCCTGAGGCCCGGCCCCATGGCTGGCAGTGCTCCAGTGGGTGCCCTGACTGCCCAGGTGCCAAGGCTGGCCCCCAGCTTGGCCCAGGTGGGGCAGGAGCAGCCGGGCAGCCCATGCTCTCCTCAGGCAGAAGCAAGGAGCCTGCAGCAGGGCTGGAAGGTGGTGAGGTCACCTCGGGGTTATTGATAACTTAAGGACTTCTTACGTTCTCCAGCGCTTAGTTGAAACAAGCTATTATTGATTTTTTTGCTGGTTTCTCCTTGTTTGTAAGACCTTGAAAATACAATCGGCAGACTCTCTGATGTGGACTCTGGGGGACTCTGGGGAAGGCTTTGATGTCATGTTGGGGCCAAGTGTTCCTGACTTGCTCCTGTGCAGGCTGACAGGTGCCTGAGTAGAGGCTGCAGCTTGGATGGTGCTGGGGGAACGCCTGAGGGAGGGGCTCTTTGCTGACATCTGGACAGGGCAGTGTGGGCAGGAGAGTGAGCGAGTCTGTGGAGAGATGGGCTAGAAGCTCGGCCTCAAGGAGGGGCCCTGGCTGCTCAAGGTCCGTTGCGTTTAGGGCTCTGGAAAAGAATTTGGGAAATGGTAACAGTTACTGGTCCTGTCCAAGGAGCAGGGTGCCTCGAGGGCTGTTTGGCTGTGGGGGCCAAGAGGGTGTGTCCTGGGCAGTCAGGGGTCCCGGGCACAGGGGAAGCTGGGCACTGACTGGAAGGAAGTGAGGTCCCCTGGGCTGGGCTGGGTGGGGTCCTCCTGTGGGCGACCCTGAAGGGGGTGGAGGGGGGCGGGGGCCTCTTGCAGCAGCCCCTGAGCCTTGGGCTGCCAGGGAAGCTGTTGGGAAGGCGGGCCTGTGCCCACTGCTGAGTTAGCTTTAATGATCTGGGCAGTCAGAGCTGTACATGATGCAAGCTGGGCAATTAGACGCAACCCTCGAAGCTGTGGGTAAATTGCCAGCTATCAAGTGGAAGGGAACTCGGGCAAAAGATTCCTGTTAATTGCATGAAACATTCAGCAAGAAAAAAGCCGTCGTGTCTATCACCCTGCAAAATGTTATGAAAACAGTGACTAAGTACATAAGTCTGTCTGGGCACAGCGGTGAGGAGGTGCCGCTTGAGGAGGTGAGTGCTCCAGCGCCCCTCCCCTGTGCAGGGCACAGGCCAGGAGCCTCCCAGCCCCGCCCCTCTGGCCTGGGTGGAGGTGGCCCATCTGCCTTCCTCACTGCTCTGCTGGAAGTCAGTCAGCCACCTCGAGTCCCCCTGTTGCGGATACTGTCTAGGGGACTCCAAGGCATCCCCGGCTGCCAGACCCCTGGCTTCTCCTGGTTTTCCTGTGGTGTGGGCATTCCCTTGTTTCTCCAGATGGCTGGAGGGTGTGCGGGGCTGGTGCCCGCCTCTCAGAGGCTGCACTGGCTAGCTCCTGAAGCGTCGGCTGCCAGGCGCCCTGGGGATGTGTGTGCCACATGGGTTGAGGGTTTTATCCACGGGGCGATGGAGGGTCTTCAAGCTCCGGCGGAGGCGGTGGGCAGAGCTGGCACTGTGGGTGGCCTCTCTGACCCTACCCTTGCCGGCCTTCCCTGACCCATGTCTGTGCCCTGGGTTTTCTCTACAGCGTCCAGCCTGCATGCCGTGCGGACTGCACCCACCAGCAAGGTGATCAAGACCCGCTACCGCATTGTCAAGAAGACGCCGGCCTCGCCTCTCAGCGCCCCGCCCTTCCCCCTGTCTCTGCCCTCCTGGCGGGCCCGGCGGCTCTCACTATCCAGGTAGGAAGGCTTCCTGCAGGCTCCTGCAGGCCTGGGAACTGGGCTGTCTGGCCCTGCCCTGAGGGCTGCAGGGTAGAATCCAAGGGCCAGGGGGAGCTGAGCACATCCCAGAACTGCTTGGTGTTGGGCTCGTTGGCTGGGGACCAGCCTGATTTTTCTGTGTCTTTAGCAATTTCTGCACCAAATAGGAGGCCAGCTTGTGTTTACCACATACACGTGAAGACGGACGGACACACATGCACACACATGCTCTGCTGTTCTCAGCAAGCCTATTAGCTGGTGAGGGCTCTGTGCCATGAAAGCTTCTGCTGCCCAGACGGTCAGGGCCCACGCCATGTGCTGTCTGAGCATCTCTCGGGGAGAAGCTTCTGGTGGGAGAGGCTGGGCCTTCAGTGGTCTGTCTGGAAGCTGTCAATGTATGATTGTCAAGGCGGTGATGTGAGCTACTCCTTGCCCTGCTGCTGGCTGCCTGTCCGTGTTCTGGCCCCCACTCGCACTCTGACCTCGATGCAGGCTGGGAGGGCGGCTCTGTCGGCAGGGAACAGCTTTTGCCCTCCTGGGGCCGCTATCCCGGGAGGCTTTGCCACCTGCTCAGTCAAGGTTGCTCAGCCTCTGGGCCTCAGGAGGCCTGGCTCTAGGAGGTTGGCCCCTTCCTTTGCTGTGGTGGTGGTGCCCCATCTCCAGGTTGGGAGAGGGTAATAGCTCTGGCAGGCAGATGGGAAGCAGGCAGTGGCAGACCCCTCCCTCTGTCTTCTGACCCTCCCCGCGGGAATCTGCTCCTGGGGGAGTGGCGTGGGCCAGAGATGGTGGGCAGGGCCTCAGGGCGAGCAGCCACGGCCCAGGGCACGGCCACCCACCGGACCGTAGCTGCCTGGTGGTTCCCTGCTGCTAGCCAGAGGTTTCCAGGCCTGAGGCTAACCCCAGGGGATCCACCCACCAGTATGGACAGCCCTACCCAGCTCTGGAGCCTCGTGGCAGGTCAGCCAGCTGGCGAGCCCACCAGGTGGTGTCCTGCTGCCTCCCGTATCACCAGGCCACACTCAGCTTGGCCCTGCTGCTGAGTTTTCTGGAGGCAATAGCTGGAGTATATTTTAAATTAATTTTACTGCACTTTTTGTAATATTTTTGTTTTAAATAGATTTATAAGCATCTCGGGGGCTATTTCTGCAAATTTATGAAGATAATTTTTATTCTCTCGATAAGGTTAAATTTACACCTGCTATTTCCATATTAATTCACATTGCTAAGTGGATCTAATTTTCTTCCGTTCTTCTATCTGGTGAGCATGGCCTTTCCTAATGCAATTTCCCCCACACTAAATCACTGTGATCGGGAGTCATGATCGAGCTAAATTAACTTAAATTAATTTACTTAATAAGAGCCCCGGATCATCGGGAATGAGGTTCAGATTTATGGATTCTCCGCTCCTGCTTCCCGTCCTGTGGTCGTCGTCAGCCCGACGTCGAGGGTCCACCTCTCCCAGGGGTGCGGCTCGGGGCCAAGTGATGATTTTCCTCAGGGCGGACCCAGCAGGGCCTCTCCTTCTGGATTCTGAAGGCCAAGAAGGCGTCTGGTTTGGGTCCGGCTGGTCTGGTTCCTGTAGCTGGGCCTGCCCAGGAGGGCCCTGATGGTGTTGTTGCACAGAAACAAGTGCCCATGCCCTGGGGCTGAGGAGGCCGGGAGGAGGAGGAGGTGGCAGCCGGCCCAGCGCCCAGGGCCTCCTGTCGGCGCCATGTGGCTGAGAGCAGCGGGTCAGCTGATAGGCTCCCTCCAAGTTCCCTGTCCTTCCAAAGTGAAGCCTGGCCAGCTGCCCTGCAGGGAGCGGCCGTGACTCTCTGAGTGCCCTGGTGTAGGGGCTGCACCACAGGCATGGGTGGGCAGGAGGTGGAGCAGGCATCGCCTTTGATGGATCAAGGGCCCCAGCACCAGAAGCCTGAATTCAGCCCACCCCTGGAGGCCCTGGCTGTGGTTGGTGGCCATGGGCTCCAGGCCTCAGTGTCTTCTCCGTGTGTGAAGGCCAGGCTGAGTCCGCCCCAGGATGCACATGTGGCTGAGGGGGTGTGTGAGGGGCCCTCCTTGCTTTCCTGACCGCCTCACCCCAGTCCTGTTCCACTCCTTGCCAGGCGTCTGGGACCCTTCGGGACACGAACCCTGGGCTTGTGGATAGGGTGTGGGAGTGGAGTGGGGAGGGTGCTGAGCTGAGGGGCACGACTCTTAGGAAGTCCTGGGAAGAATGGCCACCAGTGGGCTGGGCCTGCCTCGCCCAGGGTCACCTGCCACCTGCGTCCCAGCATGGCTGCCTGGCCTGCTGTTGCCTGTTTGCGTGCCTGGGCTCGGGGTTGTTTAGGCAGAAAGGGCGTCTGGGCCAGCGGCTGGTCTAGCCTGGCCCATGCGCCATCTCCGGTGCTGCATCAGAGCCAGGGCTGCCTGCATGTGGCTGGACCCTCAGCCCTCCCTCGGCAGGCCCAGGCCACCATGGACTAAGGGCTGCCATGGAGAGGAAGAAGGCAGGCTGTCCTGCCAGTTGGCTGGCTGGAGCCTGAGACCAGAGCTCTCCTTGGGCCCCAGCTCCCTCTCCCATCCCTGGAGGGGCTGGCGGGCAAGCCCCAGCAGTCCTGGAAGCCACGGTGGTCAGAGTTGGCAGGGGCTGGTGGACACGCGGGAGGGGAGGGAGGCAGGGTGACTAGTGGCTGAGGGACAGCGCCGGTGTGGGATGCCCCAGCCGACCCCTCACTGTGATTGGAGATCTGGTCACCCTGAGAGGAAGTCATCTAGGCCTCTTGCCCTCAGAGCCTTAGCATCTTGCTCTGTTGCTGAAGCAAACCCGCGAGTTCCGAGCATGGAGCCGGGCCTGCTCTCTGTGAAGCTGCCAGCTCCTGGGAGATGGACGAGGCCAACAGCACTGCTCTGGGAGGAGAGGGAGCCGCTGGCAGAGGCTCTGCGAAGGGACGGCAGTGGGGAGTACAGTGAGGCCCAGGGGGCTCTGAGTGTTGAGGGAAGGCCCTGGGGGTCTGTGTGTGAAGGCCAGGCTGACCCTGCCCCAGGATGCACATGAAGGTCCCAGGTGCTGGGAGTGGCTGAGCATCTTGGGTAGGGTGTAGTTGGGGGCAGCGCAGTGCAGCGTGAACCTGACAGCCCGTCCCTGCCTGCTTGTACCATGCGAAATGGGTAGGGTCTCTAGGCTTGATTGTGGTGGGGTGTTCAGGACAGGGCCTGAGCTGGAACCCCAAAGACGGAGGAGGGGGCAGGACCTCTACCACCCGTCCTGAGAGGAATGGGACTGGGCCCTGCCCAAGGTGGGGACAAGAAACAGTAACACAGGCTGCCGCAGTGAAGCTTGCACAGCTCTGCTGCTGACAACAGCCCTCACCTTGTCCTCTCTCTGACCCTGTCCCTGGGACCTCCCCTGCCCTCTTTTCCCGTCCCCTCCCCTTGGCTGTGATGCTCATGGCGGGGACTGCACCGCCCTGAGGAGGCACGAGAAGGGGCCCCTCTCCTGGCCATGAGCCCCCAGGACCCCTCTGCAGTTCCTCTCAGCTTTCGGTTGGAGAGCCCCAGGCCCTGAGCTATTGGCCCTAGCTCTGCCCTGGGCACTGGGGAGGGCTCAGGGTGATTAGGCCTGTTCCCTCCTCTGGGAAGCTCTAGAAACTCCCCTTCCCTGCAGCCCGAGGGAAGGAGGGTAGGCAAGTGAGTGCCCGGCCTGAGTCTAGGCCTCTGCCCTGTCCCAGGGGGTGATTTGGCACACGCGCCCTCTCTCTCCCCCTCCTAATTTAAGTAGAAACTTACTGTCGGCCTGGTGGTCATGTTGGGCCCATGTGGAAGGCTGGAGGACAGCGTCAGGGCCCGTTGATGGCTGGGTTTGTAATAGGGGCTGGGGCCTCTCCTCCCTGTCAGCGGCTTTCTCTGGACCTGAACATGGAGGAGGCGGTGGGGAGCCAGCTGGGTGCTGGAGGAGGTAGGTGGTCGGGAGATGGCTGGGTGCTGGAGGAGGTGGTCGGGGGATGGCTGGGTGCTGGAGGGGATGGTGGTGGAGCCGGCTGGGTGCTGGGGGAGGTGGTGGTGGAGACAGTTGGGTGCTGGAGGAGGTGGTGGTGGAGACAGTTGGGTGCTGGAGGAGGTGGTGGTGGAGCCGGCTGGGTGCTGGGGGAGGTGGTGGTGGAGCCGGCTGGGTGCTGGGGGAGGTGTTGGGGAGATGGCTGGGTGCTGGAGGAGGTGGTCGGGGGATGGCTGGGTGCTGGGGGAGGTGGTCGGGAGATGGCTGGGTGCTGACCAGTGGCCTCAGGTTTGTGGCCGGCCAGTGCTCGTCGTTGTCAGATGGAAGGCAGAGGCTGCTGGGCAGTAGCTTCTGGGGCTTCTGTGTGCTGCCAGCCAGGGTCTCTGAGGATGGGCACACCATTGAGGCACACGCCAGACATCATGTGTGGAGACTGGGGTGGGGCAGAGGGTGGGAGGAGAAAAGGAGCAGTGCCTGTATGCCAAGGGCAGAACGGGACTCCTGCCTCAACGGGTGGCATCCACGGTGCCACCTGTGCTCCCATCAGAGGCCGCGTTGCCCTGGCCTGCAGATGCCCGGCCATGTGGCTGCTTGGGGCGGGGCAACAGCTGACGGGGGCATGCTGGCGGTGTGCTGGCCATGTGCCACCTCTCCCCAGAAGCTGAGGCATGGGACTGGGTTGTTCTGCTGAGCGTGGTGCCCGTCGCATCTGCCAAATACACAGGACGGGGCTGTTGCTCTGGCTCGGGGACCCTGGGAGCTTACTGTACTGCTGCCTTACGCATACCTCGGCCATGCCACAGTGGTCCCTGAGAGCCGGCCTTGGCCAGCCCTCCCCCGGGCCCCAGGACTGCTGCCTTGAAGTGAAGCCTGTCCCAGAGGGCCTGGAATGCAGGGGTGCGAGGCAGAAGGTCAGTGAAGGGTTTTGGAGGAGTCACCCTGAAGGCTGAGGCTCTGCTGAGGGGATTTAATTTTTTTGTTGTTCTGAGATTTGTAGATTTGCCGGTGCCCTCACCAGCTCCAGCAAGTTCATTAATCTGAACTGAAGCTGAAATGTGACTTATATCCCTAACTGCTTGTCACTTTTTTTCTCTTTCCAAATTCATTTGACATGAAAGTGCGAAATAAACAGAAGCTGCTGTGCTTAAGCAGATGAATCGGAGGCTTTTCCATCTGACTACAAATGGTCCTGTCACGAGGCTGCCTCTCACTGGGCTGCCTTATTTTATTTTATTTTAGTTTGTGTCTGTGCGGTAAATCTTAAGTAATCTGTGCAGTTTTGACGAGAGTTAGGCCAGGATTTTGAAGGGCTCTGAAACGCTTCTCCAAAGTGGCGTCTCATTAAAGAGGAATTCAGCCTGGGGACGGGAGGGGTCCTCACTGCGATGCTGCGCTCCCCACGCGTGTCTCCTTAATGAGCAGGTGTGCCTGCACAGCCTCCTGGGACGCCAGCCACCCTGCCCCACCTCCTGCCCGTCTTCTGGTTTGGGCACTGTCTTCGTCGGCTGGGGCCGTGTCACACAGTAGCACAGACTGGGGCTTCAGCATCAGACGCTGACTTCTCACAGTCCTGGGCCGGACGTTTGAGACCAGGTTGCTGGGCAGACTTGGTGTCTGGCAAGGGCCTTCTTCCGGGTTTACAGACAGCTGTCTTCCCACGCATCTTCACATGGCCCAGGGAGAGGCAGGGAGAGCGTGGTGAGTGCGTGTGCACTCTGGGGTCTCTTATGAGGATGCTCGTCCCATCATGAGGGCCCCACCTCAGGACCATTTCACCTCATCACCTCTGAAGGCCCTGCGTCCTCACGCCATCCCGCTGGGGTCAGGGCTTCAGCATCGGGTTTCGAGGGACACAAACATTCAGTCCACAGCAGGGTTCTCGCCATCTTCTGATGTGCCTCAAAGGGTGTGCCAGTCAGAGGACCGTGGGATGAATCCTAACGTAACACCCGCGCCCCGGGGCCGGGCATGATGGCTCACACCTGTAGTCAGAGGACCATGGGATCCCAACGTCACACCAGCGCCCCGGGGCCGGGCATGATGGCTCACACCTGTAGTCAGAGGACCGTGGGATGAATCTTTATGTAAAACCAGCGCCCCGTGGCCAGGCATGATGGCTCACACCTGTGATCAGAGGAACTTGGGATGAATCCTTATGTAAAACCAGCGCCCCGTGGCCAGGCATGATGGCTCACACCCGTGATCAGAGGAACTTGGGATGAATCCTTATGTAAAACCAGCACCCTGTGGCCAGGCGTGGTGGCTCACACTCATAATCCCAGCACTTTGGGAGGCCGAGGCAGGTGGACCGCTTGAGCTCTGGAGTTCAAGACCAGCTCGGGCAACATGGTGAGACCCCATGTCTACAAAAAGTACTAAAATTAGCTGGGTGTGATGGCTTGTGCCTGTGGGTTCAACTACTTGGGAGACTGAGGAGGCAGGAGGATCACTTGAACCCAGGAGGTTGAGGCCGCAGTGAGCCATGATCATGCCACTGTACTCCAGTCTGGGCGACAGATCAAGACCCTGTCTCAAAAACAAAAATGAAAAACCCCAGCACTCCATCATGGCCCAACTCTGGGTGCCCTGGTGTTGAATGTCTCCTCCAAAACTTATGTTGACATCTAACAGACATGGCCGGGTGCAGTGGCTCACCCCTGTAATCCCAGAACTTTGGGAGGCCGAGATAGGCGGATCACTTGAGGTCAGGAGTACAAGACCAGCCTGGCCAACATGGTGAAACCCCGTCTCTACTTAAAAAAAAAAAAAAAAAAGGTCGGGCATGGTAGCAGGCACTTGTAATCTCAGTTACTTGGGAGGCTGAGGCCGGAGAACCGCTTGAACCCAGATGCAGAGGTTGCAGTGAGCGAAGATGGCGCCACTGCACTCCAGCCTGGGCAACAGAGTGAGATAGTCTCAAAAAAAAAAAAAAATAGACATTGTGACGTGACGGTGTGGGGAGGTGGGGTCTGTGAGAGGTGATTGGCTGTGAGGCTTCCACCCCTGTGGATGGGTCAGTGCTGTGTGGTGGGAGGGGCCCCTGATCAGAAAGGCAGGGTGTGGCATGATTGCCTCTCAATCTCAGGCACCTGCTTGCCTTCTGCCATAAGAAAACCCTCACCTGGTGCCGGCACCATGCTCTTGGATCTCTCAGCCTCCAGAACTGTGGGCCAAAGACACTTGTTTTCTGTATAAATGACGCAGGCTGTGGTATTCTGTTATAGCAGCAGAAAATGGACTTAGACTCCAGGGCTTGCTCTGCATCTGGTGAGAGCCAGAGACGCCCTGCCCGCCTCATCCTGGCAGTGTGCAGATGCTCTGCTCAGCCAGCCCCAGGCCCGGGACCCTGTTACAGGCTGGCATGGGGAGGTCCTAGACACCAAAGGGGTGTCAGTGTGTAGCGTCAGTTGTTGAGTGCCCGGCACTGGATGGGTGGGGCTCCCCCCACCCACAGATACCTGGGCAGCAGGCAGCTCCAGAGTTTGAGCAGGCAGGCTCTGCCCACTGTGCTGTCCTTCTGTGGGGAGCGGTCAGGAAGCAAGCAGACAACAGAAGCAGATAGTTCTGTGGGTGGCTGCTGCCGGATGTGCTGAGGCCCACCCAGGATGGATCTGTGTGGGGCTCAGAGAAGGCCCCTTTGAGGGCAGGGGCCTGTGGGGGGTTGAGAGGCCAGCATGGCCATACCACGAAGGGTTTGGAGTGTTTGCAGAGAGGATAGGGGCTGGGGGGTGGTGTCGAAGGTGGGATTTGCAGCCCGGCCGCTGCTCTGGTGGGGGGCCAGGGGTTATCAGGGCAGGGCCAGCCCCCGGTGAGGAGCAGGCCAGCTGAGAGGCGGCACTGCTGCGGGCCTCCTGGGCTGTGAGGGCCGGTGTGGCTCCAGGGCACGTTTCCAGGGTGTTTACTGCCTCCCTGCTACCTCCCCTCTGACATGGAGCCTGGGGAGCTTGGGCCTTTGCCAAGAGTGCTGAAGCCCTGTGTCTGCCCGTGTCTAGCTTGGCCCGGTCCCCAGGGCCTCCGTGGAGGGTGGAGGTATCCTGTCTGTATCCTTGCTGCCCGGTGCTGGCTCTACTGTGAGCAGCTCACACAAAGAGCCTGGAGAGGCCCTGAATGCTGGAGAGGGCATTCAAGGGCGGCCCTGAATGCTGTGAAAATGCTGAAGAATGATAGCATTGTCGCTTCTGGTTTTGGTTAATGGAGTTGCTGAGTTTCGACTGATTTTGTTAAAAGCAAGTGTTGGTTTCGTGGGAGGAGAGATGCACCCACTGTGTTTGCACTGAACACCGGCTGGGCGCAGGTCTAGGTGCCCACTCAGGACAGAGGGGCAAGACCCAGGGCCAGAGCACAGAGGGGGCGGGGAGCCCTGGGGCCTGGCTGCTGGGCGGGAGGGGCTGGGAGCCCTTGCCACTGCCTTCCCGGCTCCCACCATGCTCTGGCCCTGGGTGTTGATGCCCTGCATGGCATCCTCAACCTCCAGGCCCCCTCATCCCTCTGTCCAGAGAACCCAGGACATGCGGTTCTCTTCGTCCTGGGCTTCCCTGACGGCCAGGAGTGAGCCTCTGCTCCCAGGCCCTTCCCTCTGCTCCCAGGCTTCCCTCACAGCCAGGAGCCTCTGCTGAGTCCTTCAGTGTTTGCAACCTTGGGCTTGGCAGTGGTCCTGGCCAGCAAAGGGCCCAGAAATGCGGCTTGCGTGGTTTCGGCAGCTCTCCGCCCCTTCTTGGGGGAGGCTCACGTTGGTGGCTTGCATTTGAGCCATGGCTCTGCCTCTGCCCCTGCCCGCCCTGTGCCCCTCTTCCCCGCCCTGTACCCCCTGCACTGCCCTGTGCCCCTCTGCCCCGTCCTGTGCCCCTCCGCCCCGCCCTGTGCCCCTCCGCCCCGCCCTGTACCCCCTGCCCTGCCCTGTACCCCTCTGCCCCGCCCTGTGCCCCTCTGCCCCGCCCTGTGCCCCTCCGCCCCGCCCTGTACCCCCTGCCCTGCCCTGTGCCCCTCCGCCCCGCCCTGTACCCCTCCGCCCCGCCCTGTGCCCCTCCGCCCCGCCCTGTACCCCTCTGCCCCCGGTTCCCATCCCCCTTGGGCTGCTTGGTCCACACAGCAGTGTGGGGGCCAGTAGGCCCAAGGTGGTGAGTGGGCAGAACACGGGGTGACCCCCTTCAGCCGGGGAGGACAGGGCTGCATGGGGCAGGAGGCTGGTTGGGAGCACTGCTGCCTACTTGTATGTCCTAGCACAGCTCTGGGGGCATCCTGGAGCCACCACAGCCTCCACGGCCCTTCCTCGCCTCCGTGGCAGGACAGCAGGCTGGCCAGGCAAGATGACCGGTGAGCGGGCCACACTCAGAGGCTGTGGACTCAGGTCAGGGGGTCTGGGTGCAAGTGACCCTAAGTACCGGGATCTCCTGATTCCCCCCGAGCCAGAAGGGCAGGAAGGCTCAGCCCTGCAGGTTCTGGGAGAACGCGGCCTGACAGGGCTTCACATAGAGGGGTGGTGCTTTGGGTTGTGATTTTTAACTGGGTAGGAGCCTTGAGTCTATGGGGTTTTGTGGCTGCTGCCACTCAGGCTGAGGTCTGGCTTCTTGACCTTCTTTCCAGGGTCCCCCAGGCAGGTGGCTGTAGCAGGCTGCGTGACACAGCCCCTGCCCCGGGCCCCGGTGCGTGGCCCAGGCAGTTCCTGCCGTTCTCCTTGGCTCCTTCACTTGCATTCGCTCACCCGGTGTGTGTTGAGGGCCTGATCTCTGTCTGGCCCTGCCTGCATGGAAGCTATGGCCCCGTGGGGACTTAGGGACAGGCTTTTTGGGGCCTCTTCGTGCTGTGGTGCCTGCCAGGCAGAGAGGGGACTCTCTTGGGGAAGGAAGCAGCTGGCACAGCACCGGGGAGCCCCAGAAAGCCCTGTGGGAGGCACAGCGTGTTCGAGTGCAGAGACCTGGCCAGGCCTCGAGCTGCTGGCGGCCCAGATAACACACGTGAGACCCGGAGACCACTGAGGGGACCTGGACTTGGCCGTACCAGACAGCCATGTAGCGACGGCCCTGGTTCAGCTCCTGCTGTGGGGCTGCTGGCCGGCAGGTGTGACATCTGTGTTCAGGCTTGCCCTGGCCCCTGGCTGCCCAGGGCCCTCCTGACCGCAGCATTGCGTCTGTGCTCTGCCTACTCCAGGACTCCACTGAGACCTTGGCCTACCGGTGGGTGCAGTCAGCACCAAAAGACCACAGCTGCCAGGATGGGACAGGGGCAGGCGGTGCTGGTCCTGGGCTGTTGCCTGTCGGAGGTGGTACTGCTCTGTGGCTCATGGCCCATGTGGACCCCAGGCTGCCCCCCTGGCTTTATGGCTGCACCTTCGGGGGCAGCTTCCTGCTGCTGCCCACCCAGCTGCAGGGATGAGGTGGCTGTGACTGGTGGCGGGGTTGGGGGGGATTGGGAAGGCGGTGCTGCTTGATGGACAGGTGGATGCAGAAGCCTTGGGGCAGGCCTGGGTGCCGAGTCTCCCTGTCCTGGCTGTTCTGGGAACCCCTGGGAGGGAGGAGAATAGTTGTGTGGCTCCTGGGCTCTCTCCTCTTTCCTCTCCTAACTAGCTTCTTGCGTTTAATTTTTTGGGATAACTTTTTGTTTTGATATACTTTTACAGAAGTTGCAAAAATACCACCCAGGACTTCCTTACTGAAACTCACCAGTTGTTTATATGATATTTTATCGCATTTGCAGTATTGCTTTCTCTCCCTTTATAAACGAGCTTTTGCACAGAAGCGGAGCCCTGGTGCCCCCGGAGCCTGGTGCTTTGGGGTGTCTCTGTGACCATGCACAGTTCTCCAGTGCAGGAAGGGCTGGGAGTCTGGACAAGAGAGGCCAGCTATTTTGTGCACTGTCCTTCCACTGGGCTTATCTGATGTCTTTTTGTGATGAGATGCAGATTCGCAATTTTGGCGGGAAAGCCATGGCAGCACTGGTGTGGCCTCAGGCTGCCTGGTGCAGCAGTGTTGGCCTGACCGCTGGGTTTAGGCCATCCGGCAGTTTCTCTGCGGAGCAGGTTACTTTGGGCAATTGTTGGGGAAAAGTGTGAGGACTGAGGGAGCATCCTGTTTCTTACCGGACTTCTGTCCACTCATTCTAGATGTTGGGATAACTTTCCCACCCCTCCTTCCATGCTGTGAGTGGTGGCTTTCCCTGTCGCCTTTGCCCTGCGTCGTTGTTGATTTGCTTTAACGGCGTGGACCCAGGAGTCTTACTCCACTTGATAGGCTGTAATCTGCTCTGTTATTCTGGTTCTCAGGTGGTCCCAGCCTTGGCTGGTGGAAGCCGCTTGAGGCTGGCCTGCGTCCCTTTGATGTGTCCTCTCATTCCTGGGCACGTCATCACGTTCTGCACGGCAGGTGCTCCAGGCTCACCGTGGAGTCAGCTGTTTCTCTGCAGAACCCCGGCTCCTTGGGGGGCAGTGGCTCTCGGCCCTCCATGGCCAAGAATCATGCAGCCACAGGTGTCAGTGGTGCTAAGGTCTTGGCCTGGGGGCACACGCTGCTGCCCTCTTGAGTCAGAACAAGGGCGTTGAGTGTCTGCTCCCACTCCCATGCACACCCGCACCCTGACAGCACAAGTTCCACTCCATCTCTGCTGGTTTACTCAGCCTGCCCTCATTCCGTGTTCCTGACTCTTCTCCAGCCACGAGACACCTGCCCCATCACCCTCAGTCTGTCTGCTCATTTGCTCAGGCCTAGCACACAAGTTCCAGTAGTATTAACAGATACCACGGAGCAAAGCAGGGCCACTAACTAGAGGTCCACATGTGTTCATAGTTCTTTTCTAGGTAGAATTTACGTATAGTGGGAGGCATAAATCTAACAGTCTGTGAGTTCTAACAAATGAATCACCAGGCGCAGTGGCTTGCACCTGTAATCACAGCACGTTGGGAGGCTGAGACAGGAGGATAGCTGAGCCTGCGAGTTCAAGACCAGCTCGGGCAACATAGTGAGACGTCTGTCTCTACAGTTAAAAAAAAAAAAAAAAGAAAGAAAAGAAAAATTAGCCAGGCATGGTGGCATGCACCTGTACCCCAGCTACTCAGGAGGCTGAGTCAGGAGGATCGCTTGAGCCCAGGAGGTCGAGGTTACAATGAGCCCTGACTGACACTGCACTCCAGCCTGGGTGAAAAAGTGAGACTCTGTCTCAAAAACAACAACAGAAACCCCAAAACGCATGCACCTGCGCAACGCATACCTCGTCGAGATAAAGAACGTTGCCATTGCCCTTCTCTGTCCTCTTCCCGGTAGAGGCCTCCATCCCCAGAGGCAGCCCCAGCTCTGAGTCTCTCACTGTGGATTAGCTGCCTGTTCTGGAGCATCCTGTGGCTCTGAGTCTGTCACTGTGGATTAGCTGCCTGCTCTGGAGCATCCTGTGCCTCTAAGTCTCACTGTGGATTAGCTGCCTGCTCTGGAGCTTCTGTCAATGGAGTCAGATGTTCTCGCATTGCTTCCAGCTTGGCTCACTCACTTGGCATCTGATTCAGGCTCGTGTCATTGCTGGCTTCACAGTGCATTTCCCATCCTTGCCAGGGAGCCTTCCTTTCTTGTTCCGCACTTTATTAATTTTACTTGAGTCACTTGCAGTTTGGGGTGACTGTGAGTAGAGCCTGCTGAGTCCTTGTGCAGCTCTTTCTGTGCACCTGTGTTTCCATGACTGTCGCGCGTGGGATCGCTGGGACGTAAGACATCTGCTGACTTGATGTGACATCACCAAACTGCTTTCCAGCGTGCCGCGACCCTTTCTGTTCCCCTCAGACGTGGTGTTACCGCCTTTCTAATCTGCATTCTCACGTGTGTGGCCTCTCACTGTGGTTTTCATTTGCGTTTCCCTGGTGTCCAGTGATGTTGAGTACCTGCTCGGGCTAACGTAAGGCCACTGGTGGTCTTCCCGTGTGAAAGGTCTGCTCAGGCCGTTTGCCCGTTGGTGGCCGGTATTCTGGCTCCTCATTCTTGACTGCAGGAGGCCCCCTTCCCCACCTTGCTGAGCCAGCCTTACCTGGTGGAATGAGGCCTTTGTTCCTGCCCAGGGTCTCAGGGTGAGTGTGGGGGCTCCTGGCCCTCTGGGGGCTGTGTTCCTGTGCTCCCATCCCCTCGTGTGTCTGCCCACAGCACCCCCCTCCCCCGACCTGCCGCTTCCCTCCTGTCCCGGCCGGCCCTCCTTCCCGGCTGGCCCTCGCTCTGGGTTCTGCCGGCGCCGCTGTGCTCTGAGGCCCTGACCTGCCCGGGCCTTGTGTGGGCCTGTTGGCAGGGGTGGCCACAGGCTCCTGCACTGTGGGGTGAGGTCCTGTGCTCACCCCTCGGGGGTCATCTGCCGGAGCCCCATCCTCCACGCTGGCAGGCATTTGTGCTTTTCCCACCCAGAGCCTGGGGCCTGCTCAGAGGGAGGGCTGGCGGGCTGCCACCGGTCCCGTAGCCTGAGCTGCTCACTCACGCTCTCTGAGATACTCTGTCATTTGAGAAAACTGGTAAAGAAATCAAAGCAGGAAGTTCGGCCTGAGGGTGGCAGGAAGTCTCTGTTGAAGCTGGGTCCAGGGCGCTCTGGGCCTCTGTGTGGGGTGTGGGTGGGCACCAGGCGTGGTCAGCCTGTGGGGTCTTGGGGCCCATCCTGGCCCTGGGGAGGCCTGTGGGGATGGCCCTCAGCGCTCCCCTTCCCCTCCCACTCCCCAGGCTTCCCCACGTGCTGCTGAGGCAGGACTCCGGCAGGTTTTTTAGAGTTTTATTTTATGGGAACAGGCGGTTACGGCTCCCCAAGTGCTGTAAAAGTTAATGTGATGGCCTCCCTGTGCCTGTGCTCATTTTTATAATTTTTTATTTTATGAAACAGGACAGGGAGCTTAGTGACTTATTACTATTCATTTCGTTTCAATGCAGTAAATATTGATTCAGTTGGGGGTTTTCAATTTAAACCACTCGGCGATTATATAAAATATTACTGGCCTCTGAAATTATGCTTACCGATCCCTTCGGCTGCTCATTAAGGAAGGAGTGCAATTTTTAGATCCCTTTTGCCTTCATCATTCTAATAAATGGGCTGAGATACGGTTTTGCACGGAAGGTGCCACAGAAGCTGCTAGCAGGGGCTTGACAGCATGGATGCAACTCTTAATTTGGAAGTTGTTTCAAAGTGTGCTGTGGTTATTTATTTATTTCTCTGTTTGTTTGAGGCAGGCAGGCCTTTCGGCTTTGTGAGTGGAGTCCTTGGCAGTGCCCATGGCAGCAGGGCTGAGCTGGCATCCCCCCGAGCCTGCATACCTTCCACCTTCTCCAGGTGTGGCCGAGGGCCAGACCCCTCCTGCAGCCTCGGCCTTGGTGGTTTGGGGTAGGGAAGAGGGAGGAGAAGCCAGTCTTGCCAGGGCCTGAGCTAGCCCGCATCCACACCGAGGCTGGGATGTCCCTGAGGGACACCGCTGATCCTCTGGGACTTTTTCCGGACAAAGGGAGAGGGACTTTTTCCTGGAGATCTTAGACCCCAGCCCTTGCTGGCAGGCAGGGCAGATCTGGGCCAGGACACAGGACCCTGAGGAGGGAGCCCCTGGGCCAGGACACGGGACCCTGAGGAGGGAGCCCCTGGGCCAGGACACGGGACCCTGAGGAGGGAGCCCCTGGGCCAGGACACGGGAGCCTGAGGAGGGAGCCCCTGGGCCAGGACACGGGAGCCTGAGGAGTGAGCCCCTGGGCCAGGACACGGGACCCTGAGGAGGGAGCCCCTGGGCCAGGACACGGGAGCCTGAGGAGGGAGCCCCTGGGCCAGGACACGGGAGCCTGAGGAGGGAGCCCCTGGGCCAGGACACGGGAGCCTGAGGAGGGAGCCCCTGGGCCAGGACACGGGAGCCTGAGGAGGGAGCCCCTGGGCCAGGACACGGGAGCCTGAGGAGGGAGCCCCTGGGCCAGGACACGGGACCCTGAGGAGGGAGCCCCTGGGCCAGGACACGGGACCCTGAGGAGGGAGCCCCTGGGCCAGGACACGGGACCCTGAGGAGGGAGCCCCTGGGCCAGGACACGGGAGCCTGAGGAGGGAGCCCCTGGGCCAGGACACGGGACCCTGAGGAGGGAGCCCCTGGGCCAGGGCGCCTTCTTCCTTTGCTGTTCTGATCAGCAGGATGTGCGTGTGGTCAGGTGCCCACGCAGGTGTGGGTGCGAGGTGAGGCCCTCCCCGGGCCCCTCCGGCATCAGTCCCTGGGGAGCTGAGCATCAAGCTGGCAGTGGCTCTGGGTCCAGGTCTGTTTGCTGGCTCCGTTCCTGACGCTACAGGTGGGCAGCTCTTGGCAGGCAGTTCAGGATGGTCCTGTGGTCAGTGCTGCAGAGGTTCAGGGCCAGTGTGTCCTGGACTGAGGGTCCAGATGGTGGGGGATATAAGGCGGGCCAGGGCCCTGGGAGTGGCCTGATGCTGAGGCCCTGGTGGGAGGAGGGAGGTGGCCGCCACCGGATCCCCCCCACTGGGCCAGTCCGTGGTGTGTATCCCCTGACTGTGGTGTTTTCAGTGGGTGGCCGGTGAGGAGGGGGCGCCTGGAGGCCTCCAAGGCCAGCACACTCCTCCCCCCGAGGCTTTGCCGCCCGACCTGGGCCTGCTGGTCCCTGCATCTCTGTGCCTCTTAGGCCTCCACCCTTTGGTCCCATGCAACGTCTGTCTTTTCCTTCTTGTTTCTCCTCTCCATTCCCTCTCGGCACGCATGTGTCCGGCTCTCTGTAGTGTGCCCTCTTTCTGCTTTCACTCCTTCTCTGCCCTCCTCCCCAGGGATACGAGCCACGCTTAGGTGCTGCGCCTGGTGCACCAGGTGGAGGCAACATGCCTGTGGGGTGGGCTGCTAGAAACACGGTGGCTGAGGGCTTCCTAGCAAAGAGGGAGGCCAAAAGGAGTAGGTGCTGTGAGTGGTCCAAGCCAGGCCCAGGGCCGAGGGTGTCCTGTGCCTGCAGGACTGAGGGAGTCATGCCCTGTTCTGCTCCTTCTCTAGGGCCCACCCTGCACCCGGCCCCACAGCCCTGCACGGCCTCTGCCTCCCCTGCCCCTGAGGGCAGCTCTGCTCAGTCCACCCCATCCCTGCTGTGAGAGCATGGCCTGCTGGGCGACGGTGGCAGAGGGACCCGTGAGTCCAGGACAGGGGGGTCCTCTCTGTACCACTGTGACCAATGCATGGCTCCAGGCTGGGCTGGCCTGAGGAGCTGGTGATGGGGCATGTGCCCCGAGCCGGGTGTGGCACACTGCGTCTCCAGCCGTGGGGCTCAAGATGCTGCTTTGCCCTTTTGGGCTGGCTCCTGTGGGGTCATACGGGTGTGAGCCTCGCCCAGGCCCGGCTGTGAATGGCTGTCCCTGTCCCTGTTATGGGCAAGCCCTTGGGACAGGATGCAGGAGCTCCCTGGTGAGATGCTGCTGCCACCTTGGCGGAACCGCAGGCCACAGCGTGGTTCCGTGTGGGCCGGCAGTGGCATCGCAGGGACAGGCTGCAGGGAGTGTCTGGTGACAAATCTGGAGGGAGCCTTCCTTCAGTTTGCACAAGGACCTTCGGGGAGGGAGCTCAAGGGCCCCCCGGGGGTTCCTGTGGGATCCGTGGAATTCCCCTCAGGCCGGGGAGGGCGGAGCCCCCTGTGCCTGGGCCCTCCTGCCCCATCTGCCCAGCCGTGGATATGTGTGTGTCTGCCAGTTGGTGCCTGGGCTCCCTGGAGGGAGGGGCAAGCATGGACATTCCTGGAAACTGAAAAACCACCCCTGACAGGAAGAAATAAAATGTCCTTGTCACCCGGCGCTACCTGGGTGCCGCCGTTTTAAATACCACTTTACCTTGGTTTTAGAGGTGGTCGTAAAGTATCATTTACATAGTCAATATTTATTTGTTTATTTATTTTGAGACGGAGTCTTGCTTTGTCACCTAGGCTGGAGTGCAATCTCAGCTCACTGCAGGCTCTGCCTCTTGGGCTCAAGCAATTCTCCCACTTCAGCCTCCGGAGTAGCTGGGATTACAGGCACCTACCACCACTCATGGCTAATTTTTGTATTTTTAGTAGAGACAGGGTTTCACCATGTTGGCCAGGCTGGTTTCAAACTCCTGACCTCAAGTGATCCGCCTGCCTTGGCCTCCCAAAGTGCTGGGATTACAGGCATGAGCCACTGCACCCGGCCATCAGTATCTTATTTAACTTCTCGAATATATCAATCCTCCAGCCAGATCTCACCCCAAAACATGATTAACCTCTCAAGGCTGGGCTGAGTATCTGGCAGATGGACAAGGGTGGCACATCTGCCTACCTTGTCCCAGGGCCCCACTGGGGAGGAGGGTGACAGCAGGTTCTCTGGGCTGGGCCCGGGTGGTCTCTGGGCTGGGCCTGGGTGGTCACTGCAGTTGGCATGTGGACAGTGCCTGACAGAGGACTGAGGCCCCCACAGGGGACAGGAGTGTTCAGGAGAGCTGGGCCTGTTGGGGGTGGGAGTCCTTAGCCTGGCTGCCCCCAACCCTGGCCTCCCTACCTCCTTTCTATTGTATTGCTATGTGGGCCCTCAGAGATGGGACCGTGGGTGAGACTCCTGCAGGGTCCAGGCCCCGGGGGGCCTCCCAGCTGCTGAGCACTGTGCAGCCCCACCCACCTGCTGGGGAGGCTCCCACCTTCCTCATGGCCCCCTTCACCCCCGCCGCCCCTGCCCCATCCCCAGTACCTGCCAGGGCCCTGTGTGTCAGGTGCTTGCTGGGCGTGGTTTAGGAACCACGGGTGTCTAAGGGTGTTTCCCTGGAACCCTGTGGCCTGGAGTGTGGGTGTGGGCTGCAGTTCCAGAGACCCGTGGCTCAGGGACAGGCCCAGGGACCGGCCCAGGGACCACAGTGGGTAGGATGCACCCACCACTTTCCTGACTTTCCTGCAAGTCAGCAAGGGTCCCGCTGCCCCGTCCACTCCCCAGAGTCAGGCGCGGTTTAATTTGCGGTTGGACGTCTGCTAAGATTGCGTCCACTTCCCAAGTCAGCACTTAATTGGCAAGGCGCTTGATTTAACAGCGTGGGAGCCTCCACCGGAAAAATGGCTTGAATAAATCACCGCCTGACGCCAGAAAATAGATATAATCTCAGCATTAACTACATTAATAGTAGCAGGAGCCGAATTAAGAAAGCCATAAAGCATAGGCGGGCGGGCATAAATTATGGCCCAGCTCAGTACCCTCAGTGCTCTGGCTTGCCTGGGGCGGTCCTGGGGCGGGACAGGGGCAAGGCGCCCCCTTGCCTGCGGAGGCTGCTTCCAGCCAGCTCCTCCCCTGGCCCCTCTCCCCTGGCCAGGGCGGTGGGCGGGGCCAGGCGGTGGTGGGCGGGGCTCCGTGGCCCAGCCGCGGTGGGAGGGCGCATCCCCCCAAAGGTTGGCTGAGGGGCCCCAGCTCCCTCCTTTCCATTGGCTGCTTGTCCTCCAGGACTCCCCCACCCCACCCTACCCAGCTTCTTGGAACCAGGCCCTGGCTGAGCCCTTCCCACCTGGGGCGTCCCCTGCCCAGTGGGTACTAGCAGTCATGGAGAGTGGCAGAGCAAGGATAGGATTCAGTTAGGGCATAGGTACCAGACCCAGCTCCAACCTTTCTCTGGTGTCTGCAGCCTGGAAGGCTCCCTGCAGGCAATGACATTTGGCCAGGTAGACACAAGCTGATCCCCACCCAGGCCCCACCTCACTCCTCTCATTGCTGGTCTTAGGCCCTTCCCAGAGAAGCGCCTTCATCTGGATGAACAGTCCTGGGGGTCAGCGCTGCCACTGGCTTGGGGGACAGAGGGGGCATGACTGCTGGCCCTTCCGGGCCTCGTCAGCGTCAGCAGCCACGGGCAGAAACATGGACAGCGGATCTGAGGAGGGTGCCATCCAGGCTTAACTTTAATTCTTGGTCAAGTTCAACATGGTTTGTGTTCCCTATTCGCTTGTCTCCAGCTGGCTTGTTTCTTATGGATTCATGGAACTCCAAGTGTTCAGGGGGAGTCGCCTTTTTGTCATTTTCCTCGCTTTGAATTTCGTGAGGATGTTTGCAGAAGTTTTTACTTTTCTGTGCACTTAAATCTGCCAGTCTCTTGAGATTTCATGTATTGATGTGCTGAGAACAGCCTTTCCTACCTAAGATGGCATGAGTTCTGGAAGCTTCCCTCTGGCTCTTCCCACTCATGTCTACCCCATGAGCACCTGCTTTTCTGCTCTCTGCCTACCTTGATTGGCTTTGCCTGTTCCTGAACTTCGTGGTGATGGGGCCGTGTAGCGGGTGCTGTTCTGTGTCTGAGCTTCGTGGTGATGGGGCCGTGTAGCGGGTGCTGTTCTGTGTCTGAGCTTCGTGGTGATGGGGTCGTGGAGCGGGTGCTGTTCTGTGTGTGAGCTTCGTGGTGATGGGGCCGTGTAGCGGGTGCTGTTCTGTGTGTGAGCTTCGTGGTGATGGGGCCGTGTAGCGGGTGCTGTTCTGTGTGTGAGCTTCGTGGTGATGGGGCCGTGTAGCGGGTGCTGTTCTGTGTCTGAGCTTCGTGGTGATGGGGCCGTGTAGCGGGTGCTGTTCTGTGTCTGAGCTTCGTGGTGATGGGGCTGTGTAGCGGGTGCTGTTCTGTGTGTGAGCTTCGTGGTGATGGGGTCGTGGAGCGGGTGCTGTTCTGTGTGTGAGCTTCGTGGTGATGGGGTCGTGGAGCGGGTGCTGTTCTGTGTGTGAGCTTCGTGGTGATGGGGCCGTGTAGCGGGTGCTGTTCTGTGTGTGAGCTTCGTGGTGATGGGGCCGTGTAGCGGGTGCTGTTCTGTGTCTGAGCTTCGTGGTGATGGGGCCGTGTAGCGGGTGCTGTTCTGTGTCTGAGCTTCGTGGTGATGGGGCTGTGTAGCGGGTGCTGTTCTGTGTGTGAGCTTCGTGGTGATGGGGTCGTGGAGCGGGTGCTGTTCTGTGTGTGAGCTTCGTGGTGATGGGGCCGTGGAGCGGGTGCTGTTCTGTGTCTGAGCTTCGTGGTGATGGGGCCGTGTAGCGGGTGCTGTTCTGTGTCTGAGCTTCGTGGTGATGGGGCCGTGTAGCGGGTGCTGTTCTGTGTCTGAGCTTCGTGGTGATGGGGCAGTGTAGCGGGTGCTGTTCTGTGTGTGAGCTTCGTGGTGATGGGGTCGTGTAGCGGGTGCTGTTCTGTGTGTGAGCTTCGTGGTGGTGGGGTCGTGTAGCGGGTGCTGTTCTGTGTCTGAGCTTCGTGGTGGTGGGGCCGTGTAGCGGGTGCTGTTCTGTGTGTGAGCTTCGTGGTGATGGGGCCGTGTAGCGGGTGCTGTTCTGTGTGTGAGCTTCGTGGTGATGGGGCCGTGTAGCGGGTGCTGTTCTGTGTCTGAGCTTCGTGGTGGTGGGGCCGTGTAGCGGGTGCTGTTCTGTGTGTGAGCTTCGTGGTGGTGGGGCCGTGTAGCGGGTGCTGTTCTGTGTGTGAGCTTCGTGGTGATGGGGCCGTGTAGCGGGTGCTGTTCTGTGTGTGAGCTTCGTGGTGATGGGGCCGTGTAGCGGGTGCTGTTGTGTGTCTGAGCTTCGTGGTGGTGGGGCCGTGTAGCGGGTGCTGTTCTGTGTGTGAGCTTCGTGGTGGTGGGGCCGTGTAGCGGGTGCTGTTCTGTGTGTGAGCTTCGTGGTGGTGGGGCCGTGTAGCGGGTGCTGTTCTGTGTCTGAGCTTCGTGGTGGTGGGGCCGTGTAGCGGGTGCTGTTCTGTGTCTGAGCTTCGTGGTGGTGGGGCCGTGTAGCGGGTGCTGTTCTGTGTCTGAGCTTCGTGGTGGTGGGGTCGTGTAGCGGGTGCTGTTCTGTGTGTGAGCTTCGTGGTGATGGGGCCGTGTAGCGGGTGCTGTTCTGTGTCTGAGCTTCGTGGTGGTGGGGCCGTGTAGCGGGTGCTGTTCTGTGTCTGAGCTTCGTGGTGGTGGGGCCGTGTAGCGGGTGCTGTTCTGTGTCTGAGCTTCGTGGTGGTGGGGCCGTGTAGCGGGTGCTGTTCTGTGTCTGAGCTTCGTGGTGATGGGGTCGTGTAGCGGGTGCTGTTCTGTGTGTGAGCTTCGTGGTGATGGGGTCGTGTAGCGGGTGCTGTTTTGTGTGTGAGCTTCGTGGTGGTGGGGTTGTGGAGCAGGTGCTGTTTTGTGTGTGAGCTTCTTGGTGGTGGGGTCATGTAGCGGGTGCCATTCTGTGTCTGACTTCTTTTGTTCATCACTTTTCATGGACTGAATTGTGTCCCCCACCAAGTTCATAGATGGAAACCCTAACCCCCAATGTGACTACGTTTGGGGATGGGGTCTTCAAACAGGTAATTGAGGTTAAATGGGATTATACGTGTTTGGCCCTGATCCACTAGGACTAATGTCCTTACAAGAATAAAAAGTGCCACCAGGGGCACATGCCCAGAGGAAAAGCCACGGGAGGACAGTACAAGCCAGGAAGGGAGACCTCACCAGAAACCAGCCTTGCCAGAGCCTCGGTGCGGCCCCAGCCTTGTGAGAAAGTGTGTTTCTGTTGTCGTAGCCGCCCACTGCAGAGCATTCCATGGCAGCAGCCAGGCAGCCGTAGGCGCCCACGTTTCTCACTCCGCTACATTGCCGCGCCTGGCGGGAACTCATTCTTTTTCCCTGCCGTGTGGTGTTCTGTGATATGGATACGCCATGTGTGTCCATCTTGCAGTTGATGGGTGGGTATCTGGAGTCTCTCCCATCCTTGCCAGTTATGAAGCTGCTGTCTTGGGTGTGTCTCTGGGTGCTGGTAGCCCTCGTTTGTGTGGAGTTGCTGCCTCAGAGGGTGATGGACACTGAGCTTTGGAAGCTGTCCCAGGTAGCTGTCCCAGCCTGCCAGCAGCAGCATGTGAGCATTGTGGCTGGCCCGTGGCCTTGGCCAGGATTCTCAGGCCCGTGTCTCCTGTTCTTGCCATGCTGGGGGGTGTGGGGCCTCACGCCCATCCCGCTGGCTGGCATTGCTGGGCATCTTTTTCTTCACTCAGGTCTCCTGGTGGTGCCCTTCTTTACTGTAAAGGGCCTCTTTGGGTGTTGGCCTGTTTTTGTGTGATTTGCCTTTTGGCTGATTTGTGGGAGTTTGTTTTTGTTGTGGATGTTTTCCGCCCCACACGTCTGCTTACAGCGAGGGACCTGCTCTTCCACGGCATCTGGTTTTTTAGCCTTTTATGAGTAGTGCTCTTTGTGTCCTGTTTAAGAAATATTTGTCTATCCCACATTCATGTTTTCTTCTAGAAGCTTGGCTATTTTAGCTTTTATATTTTAAGCCTGAGGCTTCTTGAATTAATTTTTACCTGTGGTCTGAGGTAGGGGCCAGAGTCCTTTTGTCTCCCCATGGAGACACATGTATTGAAATGAGATCCTGACCCACTCAGGTGCAGGGGCGCCTGCGTCACTCGGGTGAGCAGATGTATGGGCTGTTCCCAGACTCTCCATCCTCACTGTTGACCCACTTGTCTGTGCCCTTCGTTATTCCTGAATGCTTACTCTTCCAGACCACCTTAGAAACACTGGACCGGGTTCTCGGCCTCACCAAGGAACCAGCCTCCAAATCATAGATTTGCATTTTCTTCTTCTTAGGATTTCAGCCACACACACAACAAACACTTCAGATCCCTGGCCCCGCCTGCCTCCCTCCTGTTCTCAGCACCAGGGGGACTCATGCTCCATAACTTCCACATGTTGGCCCGGCGCCCCTGCTGTAGAATTTTTCCTCAGTTATTTGAGAGTGTTTCTGGCTTCTCTTCTTTGTATGTTCCAACTGGTGTTTGCCACTGTCTTGCAGGGCTTTGGTTTTCACACATCTTTGCTTCATAATCAGTTCTGGTTACCCCTCTGAAGTGAGTGGGTTTTTATTGTGGTTTTCCCGTGGTTTTTGCAGATACCACTGTCCTTGCAAGGGCCGCATGAAGTTTGCTGAGGTCACCACGCCTTTCCAGGGAGCTGAGCCGGATTTGCTGTGTGGTCTTCGGAGGGGCTGTCCCAGGGCCTGGGAGTGGGGGGATGTCTGCTGTGAGTCTCTTTAGACAGCAGTGACCTGAGGGGTCCTTGAGGGCCTAGGCAGGATTCCTGGCCAGCCTGCCCCTCAGTAGCTGGCACAGACAGAGTGGGTCCTGGGCCGATGACCCAGCCCAAAGGGTGGCACAGGTGCAGAGGGTCGCGGGCCCGCCAAGGACAGCTGCACCTGGCCGCCTGGCACCTCTGCCGGACGAGCTGAACTCGGCACTCCGGGGCCATGAAGTCCCACTAATACTTGTTTTTTTGCAGCTGACATACAAAACACCAATAGCTTCAGCTGAAATGGATTTTTAAAAGTGTCATTTTATGGAGAATTTTACTTTCCATCTTGTTGTTTATTAGGCTCTTAAAGGGAAAGCTTGTAATGCATCCATTGATCGAAATACCAATTGAATAGATGTGAGCACATAAAATACATAAAATAGTCCCAGCCCCTCATAATGGAGCACGACGTTTGTAACGGAGGCAGTGTCATTAGTATTGCCCCCTGCCACCCAGCCAGGCTGCAGAGGCGCCTCCGAATCCTTCTTATTCATTACTGGGGTGAGACGGGGCAGGGATGGCCCTCGGAAGGACCAGTGCCCAGTGAGGAAGTCCTCAGATGTCACAACAGAGCCTCCACCCCACGAGTCAGCCCAGGGGCCGGGGGAGCCAGCCGTGCTCAGCCTCAGCTGGACCAGTCGCACTCAAGGCTGTCCCTGTCCTCAGGGGCCCCCAAACAAGGCTGCTGTCCCTAAGGCTGCATGGCTCTTTCCCCTCATGGCGCCCCTGGCCGCTGGTGCAGGGCTCTCAGCTCCCACCCAGGCCTGTAACCCTGCCTGCCTGCTGAAGGTGTATCCTGGAAAGCCAAGCGGCTGGACGGTCTCTGCAGGCCCCCATACTGGGAGGTAGATGCTGTGGGGGTGACAGCGGGACTAGAGAGCCCATCTGGCCATGGTGCCGGAGCCCCTGCTGAACAGCAGCTACTGCCCCAGGTACCTGGAGGCCCCTTGGAGCTGGTGAGGGCCCCACGGTCTGGGTATAGGGGTTTGGAGGATAGGGGGCCAGACTTGTGAGGAGTAAGTTAGAAGAGGGTTCTTTCTGTGAGATGAGGTGGCCATAGCCATCGTGAGGCCTGCGTGGCCACCACGTAGTCAGATTTCAGCCCTGGCAGCCACAGGCCCTTGAGCATTTAGCCCTGCCCCTGAGATCGTGGGGGCAGGGTCCAGGAGCCGGGAGCCCGCCTAGCACCCCCACTGCACGCCTCTGCTCTGTCTGGCCTGAGCGCCCCTCCCTGCCGGCCCAGCTTGGGCCCCTCCCATGAGGGACTCTGTCTTCCTCCTCCGGAACTCAGGACATTCTGTGAGTGTCTGTCCAGTAGAACCACCTCCCCTGCATTGCCCCAGCCTCACGGGCTGGGCCTCTCCAGCCAAGGGCCCCATGTAGCCTGGCCAACCCATTCGGGGGCCGCAGTGGCTCAGCACCAGGAGAAACCGGGAGGGAGGCTTCCAGCCAGCCCCACACGCGCACACGCATGGACACACATGCATGCTCGCCCTCCCGAGCCAGCACGGTGATGGGGGTGTCAGCGTTTCCAGTGGAAAGCCCCACTTAAGCAGTTTAGTGCCTGTCATGGCGCAGCTCTGCCTGACCTACTTGGGGATTCGCTGCGGCGCCGCCTCCCCCCGGCCGCTCCTCTTCTGCTGACTTCGCACTCCCCGCTCGGGCTCCAAGCTTCGAAAAATTGTGCTCCATTTCCTGAAAATGCTTCTCCGGTTGTTTTCTCTGTGTCTCAGCTGGACTGCCTGTTTACTGCACGTTGCCACTGGCCTGGGCGGCCTGGCCAGGGGCTGCTGGGTCCCCGGCCCACACACAGACACAACCCCGGCCTAGAAGGCCCTGAGGTCGTGTCCCCGTGGCCCGGTACCTGCTCCTGTGGTCCTGCCTCTTCTGGCTGCTAGGGCCGGGCCAAGACCTCGCTCAGCCCTTGGCCTCTCCTGCTGTCACCATACTTATGCCCCCGAGGGTCTTTCCACGTCTGCATATTGCACGTCCCTGTGTCACGTCCGTAGCAGCCTTGCCATCGTCCTGGGGAGACAGGGACAGGCTCGCCCTTCTCGGAGCTCTCAGGGCATGTGTTCTGACCATGCCTCCCTCCTTGAGCCCCGCTGCTCCCTTTGTTCTCAGAGAGCCCATCTTGCCCCAGCCCGCATTCCCAGCGCCTGGCCCTTGCTGCCTGAGCCCACTCCTTGTATCTGCTGACCAAGCCCTGGCAGCCACCTCTCTGCCACAGGTCTCCTTCCTGAGTGTCTGTAACTGACCAGGGCCTCCTGACCCTTCCCCACCCCACACTCCTCCCTTAGGACCTCTTAAGGTCCTGGGAGCCCCAGGGTGGCACACACTTGGGTGTGTTCTCGCAACACACATTTACAGAGCCCCCTGCGTGCCCGGCACATCCGCAGGGCCAGGGGTGCAGCAGTGGTCTTTGCAGATACGGCCCCTGTGCTCATTTTCCCCAGTGGTAAGTAGGGCCGGCCTCCCCAGTGCTGTGACATCTGCACTTGGCCTCAGGCCTGCCCTGGGATCTGGACAGAGGGACAGCACGTGCAAAGACCTGGCGCCAGGAGGGAGCACAGTGCTTTCCAGAAACCAGAACTTCCCAGGAGAACTGGAGTTCTAGGCTGGAGAGAGGCTGCATGGGGGCTGTGGCCAGCAGGACCTGAGTGCCTGGCCCTGCAGGGCTTTCTAACCTGGTCATCTTGAGAACGAGGGGACCCACTGCAGGGTCTTGGCAGGGACTTGATCAAATGTGCAGCTTTCAAACCAACTGGCAGGGTGGGGTGGGTGCAGCCCCCTTTCAGCTGTGAACCAGGGCGGAGACCCAGCTGGCTCAGTGCCGGCCTGGGGCTCTGCGTGGCATGTTCAGGGCCTGGGCATTGCCTCGGGGCAGGGCTTCTGCCAGTGGTGAGGCTGAGGGCCCTGGGCAGGGGGTCCGAGTGGAGGCTGATGAGGCCCCTCATGGGGAGAACTGCTGACCGACACTGGCTGCGGGGCCTGGCTGTGGGAGCAGGAGGGCCAGCTAGTGCTGGAGTGTGTTTAAAAGACAAGACTGGAGCTGGATTGGCAGCAGCCGGAGGTGCAGAGCGACAACACGAGGGTCCTGGAAGGTCCCCATCGTCCCTGTCTGCCTTCAGTTTCCCTCCCAGGGTCTGATGTCCCCTCGCCGGCTCCACCGTGTGGCGGCGCTTGGCAGGAAGAAATCTTCAAATCCCAGCCCTCCCTGCTGTGGAGCCCCTGGCGGGTCTGGAGGGTCTGGGAGCAGCTCTCCCCTCTGCTGGCCTCGCCTCTCCCGCCCCTGGTCACACAGCGACCTCTCTGTTCCCAGGTGTTCTCCTCAAGCACAGACACAACCTCACGGAGTTCTCAGGGGCTCACGTGGGGTGGGATGTCACCGAGGCTGGCATGGGAACTTCGGTGGCGGGGAGGGAAGGATGCTGAGGGGCTGCTATGGGGAAGGAGCCCCTGGTTCCCATCAGCAGCTCTCCTCCAGATGAGGGTCTCTGGCCCCACTGTGGTCTGTGTTGGCCTTTGTGTAGCCGCTGGTCGCACCACTGGGCCTGGGAGCTGGGTTGGGAGGTGCTCCGGAGAGGCCCAGCCTTCCCAGGGCTGCCTGCAATCTGGCCTAGGCCTCGAACCCCTGGCCACATGACCCAAGGCCTTGGAAGACCCTGTTGAACAAGCCACAGAGCCTCAGGGAGGGTGTCCTGGGCAGCATGTGTCTGAAGGTGCTGTGGGACTGGGCAATCGGAAGATACAGCTTTTGGGCTTAAAAGCTGCCTGTCTGTGGCCTGGACCCTCGGGTCCCACCAGTGTGTGTCCCGCCGGGGCATCCTGGGTGCTGGGCTGCTTCCCGGGTCTCTAGGGTGGAGGAGGCCTCCCCCAGTCCCCTTACCACCTCTGCCTGAGTCAAGAGACCGGGCCCCTTCCCCAGCCTTCCTGCCATGCCAGTGTGCCAGTCACGCTGACTACCAGGCCCAGCATTCTCTGATTGGTCTCAGAGCTGGGTCGCATGGCACGGAGACACCGCAGGCAGTGCCCATGGCAGGGAGCAGGACCTGAAAGGGCCCGGGTGCTCAGAGGGCTGGACTCACCCGAGGAGCCGCATTGGTTTGTCAGATGTGTTTCTGCTGAGCTGGGGCTTCTGCTGCTGGGAGCGCAAGTGCTGAGGCTGTCACCCTGGGGGCAGGCAGTGCACTGGGCCTGCTTGCTGTGCATGCACTGCCCTGACTGCGAGGCCACTGATCTGGGCCACGTGTATGTGTGCATCTGTGCCCAGGATCAATGACGTGGCCTGGGGTGAGGCCCCTCTCAGCCTGCACGGCCCACATGACATGGCGCGGGGGCTGCTCTGACCTGCCACGGGCAGTGCCCTCGGAGTGGGTAGAGTGTGGGTGTCCAGGGTTGGTCCTCAGAGTCCTTGCATGGGCCACTTGGCAGCAGTGGCCCAGGCCAGGGCTTGCAGGCCCGGGAGCCTGGCAGCTGGCAGGCTGTGCGTGGGCATGCCTTGTGGATGCCGGCAGGGGATGCACCAGGTTTGCCCCTGGGCTTTCAGGAAAACCAAGACCTCAGAGTGAGCCTCTCTCCCATCTTGCCCAGGCCCCCAGCACCACTGAAGTCCTGGGGACAGGTGACAGGAGTCCCTGAGGGTCGAGAGCCAGAGGTCCGCCCGGCCCCCACTGTTGCTACCTGTGCCTAGCGAGGCTGGCAGCACTCAGCAGGTCCGAGGGGCCCAGGCTGAGGCAGGACAGGGGCTTTCAGAGACAGGAGGGCCTGGGCTCAGCCCTCTGGGCACCTGTGGTGCCCCTCGCCAGCCCGGGCAGCCTCTGGCCTGCAAGTTTCCAGCTACTCCTAAGGCAGTACTGCACAGACAGCTTCTTCATACACCTGCTTTTGTAGTGTGTGTGTCTTTCTCCCCATTACTGCTGCTTTTCATTTAAAATGTTATCTCCCCCTCCTGGCCTTTGTCCCCCCCCAGGGAGGAGAGGGGAGGCCCAGCCTCGCCCTGGTGTAGTCAAGGTTATGGTGATAAATCCTGGGGCATTGTCACTTCTGTTCGGAGTAAATTGGCTGGCTGCTTTTGGGCTGAAGGAAAGATAATTTGCTGTAGTATTTCAAATGGATTAGAAATGGATTTGAAGGGAAAGTTCATGCCTCCCATTACAAAGGCGAGAAAGAAGACTATCTTAAGGCACTGTTCCCTCCCTGGCCTTCATTATCCACGCTTAATACCTTTCCTATTTTCCAGCGTTAATGAAATTTCCTGGCAGCGTGGGCCTGCCGGACGGATGGGAGAGGCCTTTAGATCTGCAGCTCCCGTTGCGGAAAAGGAATTACAGAGCCTTCCGTGAGGGCAGACGCGCGCTCCGGGTCCTTGGCCCTGCTATTATCTCATTAATTTCATCCCCCTTCTCAATGCAGTTCGTTTCCAAAGGCCATCCTCTCCATTAGGGTCACAATTTACTGGAGTGCTGTGACACCCACGGCCGTGAAAAGCTACAAGGCCCTCGCCCCATGCCCTCCCAGCACCCTCCTGCTGTAGGTTCCAAAGCCAGCCAGGCAGCCAGGGCGAGGGCAGGGGTGAGGGCAACCCTAGACAGCTCTCCGTCACCCCCGCCAACCTGCACAGGCCCGACGTTCTGCCACAGCATCTTCCCAGGATGCAGCTTCTCGGAATGAGGCTCTTGGGCTAGGTGTGCTGAGCACCAGGAAGCGCCCTGCCCCATTCCCGGGAGGCCCTGGGCTCCCAGGCTATGGTGGGCAGTGGGGGGCTGGGAACATTCCCAAGCATGAAGAGCGGGCGCAGATCCCGGGACGGCTCAGCAGGGGCTGCCACATCTCCATTCCGCCCAGATCCTCTAATGTCCTCTGGGTGTTCTCACACTCCAGTAAGGTGTTTTTTTTAGGAGGGAAGAGAAGGGGACAAGCTAATTGTTCATGTTCATCCATGAGAATGAGCAGGGGCGGCTGGGCGCAGTGGCTCATGCCTGTAATCCCGGCACTTTGGGAGGCCAAGGCCGTCAGATCACCTGAGGTCAGGAGTTCGAGACCAGCTTGGCCAATGGGGTGAAACACCATCTCTACCAAAAATACAAAAATTAGCCGGGCGTGTTGGCACATGCCTGTAATCCCAGCTACTCTGGAGGCTGAGGCAGGAGAACCTCTTGAACCCGGGAGGCGGAGGTTGCAGTGAGCCGAGATCGCACCATTGCACTCTAGCCTGGGTCACAAGAGCAAAACTCCATCTCAAAAAAACAAAAAAATAAGAAGGAGCGGGGGCATGGCTGCTGTAGTGCCCAGCCAGGCCGAGGTCCTGAAACAGAGCTGAGGGGCGGCCCTGGTGGGTGGGGCGGTCCTGGAAGCTTCCAGTGCCTGCTGACCCCCAGAGGCCCTGATGCCTCTGCCCCACGGGCCCTTCCCTGGGCCTGGCCAGCTGTGGCTGCCCCTGGGGGAGGGGAGCAAGTGCTGCAGCCCGGGCCTCGCCCTCCATCCGGGTGCCTTTGGAGAGCCACACAGTGAGTGGGTGGTGGCCTGTCCCCATGTGAGCCTCAGTCAGGGGGACACTCCTGCAGGTGAGTCCTTGCACACCTGGGTTCTGGGCCTCCCTCCCAACCATCTCCTCAGGGAGTCCTGGCTGGACCCAGGTGGAGAGCTGGGTTGGCTCTGTTGCCTGCTCGTCCTTCCTGCTTTGTGGCGGCCAGGGTTGAACCCAGCCTGTGCCGTGGGCGGGGTCAGGCATGCAGGATTGGGTGCTTCCCCCGAGAGTGCAGACTTACCATCTACTCACTGGAGCCTGTGGGGAGGCAGGGAGCTGGGGGCTCCCGGGAGCAAGTCCAGGCTGGCCCTGAGCAGCCTTTCCGGGGCGAGGACCACAGTTAGCTTTGGCCCCAGTTGTATGATGGCCAGAGGCTCTGTGAGTGGCTGGTGCTGCGGTGGGGGGGTGCACCCTGGCCACCAGCCCCCTCACCCTCCCAATGGTGAGACCCCTGAGGCCTGTGAGTACTGTGGGGCTGGTGCAGGGCCCTGGGCTCAGCCTGACTGGGATTTGGGGTCAAGCTGAGTGTCCCCCAGGTAGTGGCCGTAGCTCCTGTGGAAGGTCAGAACCTGCCTCTGAGCCCCCCAGGCTGATGGGGTTCTCCAACTGAGAGGCTGGTGCAGGAGGTCCTGCCTGGCCTGCCTCCCTCCAGGCCTGGTGCCAGGATAAGCTGAAGGTACAGGCCATGCACCTGCTGGGCCTGCAGGCACCTGGAGGCCGGGGCTGCACTGGGACCCCAGGGTCTGATGAGAGCCTGGAGGTCTGAGTCTGGCTGGCAGGATGCCTACCCTCCACCCCTCTGGCCCAGACAGTGCCCGGCTGGGGGTTGGGGAGCAGCTGGAGTGTGCAGGGCGCAGACAGGATAGGTGGGAGGTGGGGGCCAGCAGACCACTCAGCACTGCCAGGCCCCTTGGTGGGCTCTTTCCCGCCAAGATTGGTGTTTGTGAACTTGAATTTTAATTAAAGGAAACTGGGTTAAGTGCTCCAGCCGCCGTGCTTGTACTTACACTGCAGCTCCCATCCCCGGCACCGGGCTCTCTCTGCTCCCATTCTCTCTCTAATGGGCCCTTGGAGGCCCCCGGCTGCTGAGAATTACCCCAGCTTGCAGGCAGAGGGACCAAGGCCCGGAGGGGTTGCAGGGCTGAGTGGTGGGGATGGCGGTGGAACCCGACAGAAGGGCTGCTCCATCCCCAGTACCACCAGGTCTGTTGGCTCCTCGTGGGTGGCTTTGATGGATATGCTGCTGTCCCCCTGTACCTGCCCCATCCAGCCAGACAAGCGAGCCCCACCTTCATGCATGCTGCGGGCCTGGGTCTAGGGGGCACCCCACCCTGGCCCAGACCAGCTGGAAAAGGGTCTCCTGCGGCTGTGGATGGGTTGGGGGGCTCAGGTACTCCACAGCAGAGAGGGCTGTGTAGCTGCAGGGCCATGGGGACCAGTGTGGGATGGGGAGCGTAGAGCAGGGGCACAGCCCTGTGCCAGGCCTGAGCTGCCCGTCCTCGCCTCCCACTTGACTGGTCCCTTTGCTGCCTGCGCACCCATGGCTGCCCAAAAATGTCTTGCCCAGATTTGCTGGGGGTGTGGTATCCACCTCAGGGGTCATGGCAGCTTGAGCAGAGCGTGAGCTCATGTGGAATCAAGCTCAATTTGCCAGGCCCTGAGCCCCCCACCTTGGGGGCTGCTTGCCCGAGGGTCCGCAGGGCTGTGGGTGTGGCTGGCAGCTGCAGGGAGGTGCCTCTGGAGTGCAGCTCAGGCCCCTCTTGTCTTACTCTGCCCCTTGGCTTCCTGGAGGCTGTGGAGTATTTGGCAGGAGTGGGGGCTGCCAGGGCTCAGGGTCTGTCGGCCTAGGTCTCTTCCTCTAGCCAGGGTCATCAGCTCAGCTAACTCCAGGGGCTGTCGCGGCCTCTTCAGCCCTTGGACTTGAGGCAACATCAGCATTTCCCTCAAACAGCCTGGCCCGGGGTCTGTGAGGCTGTCCCCATGCCCTCTCAGTGCAGGGCTCTCTGAGCTGTGGATGAAGGGGAGGCAGGACAGGGTGGAGGAGGAGAAGAGGCAGGGTAGCCTGCTGACCCTATGGTGTCTGTGGTCCTGACGGCCAGGGTGGTATGTGCTGGGGCCGGTTGGTAGAAATAGCCCCAGCCTTGAAGCCGACTCAAGGGAGCCTCAGCCCAGGTGCCAAGGGCCAGGTGTGCTTCTCACCAACACGCAGACACCTTGCAGCCCCTCTGCCCTGCAGCCCCAGGGACCCTTACCCTGCAGCACACAGCCAGGTGGTCAGGGCCCAGGGGTGGTTATATCCACGGGGAGGTGTGCACTGGAGGACGACGCTGCCCTCTCACCGTGGCTTCTAGGGGCGCATGAGTTCCCAGCCTCGTGGGTGGGGTCGGGGGCGCCACCTCCTGGGACTCCTTGTCAGTGTTCCCTGATGACGGCCAAAATGTCCCTGAGGTGGGGGTTGGGGGCCAGAGGGGGACAGAGGTCTCTTGGCAGCTGGGCCAATGGCCCGTGGTCACCCAGCTGGAGTGTGTACCCACCGCAAGTGCTGCTCCCTGTCCCCCTTGGGAGGCCAGGCCTGGGCTCGGCCCCTGGCACTGACCATCAGAGCTGTAGTCTGTCCTGGGGCCAGGTTTGACGGGCATTTCCTGTCTCTGCAGGTCCCTGGTGCTGAACCGCCTGCGTCCAGTTGCCAGCGGGGGTGGGAAAGCCCAACCGGGCTCCCCTTGGTGGCGGAGCAAAGGCTACCGCTGCATCGGAGGGGTCCTCTACAAAGTATCTGCCAACAAGCTCTCCAAGACCTCCGGCCAGCCCAGTGATGCGGGCAGCAGGCCCCTCCTGCGCACAGGTGAGAGGTGAGGGCGGGGGCGCTGGGAGATGACACCGACCGGCTAGCGTGTGGTGGGCATTGCAGGCCAGACCCCCTAACCTCCAACATGCTGTGGCTGCTCTGGGCCTTGGCTCACGCCCCTGTCTTGGGGAGGAGGTCAGGGGCCTCATGCTCCCAGGGAGCCAGTCCAAACAAGCACTTCCCAAATGGGTCACGTCCCATCCTGGGAGTTAATTTCACTCTTCCATACACCCGGCGCCTTCGTAGCCATCCCTAGTGAGACCAACAGGGCAGCCGGAGAATGGAGGGTGCCAGGAGGCCTTCCTCTGCCATCCCCCAGGAAGGGCCCTGGAGTGGCGCCCACCTCGCGTGGCTGAGCGGCCCCTGATTTTCTGTGGGGTGGGGGAGAGTTGCTCACAAGCACCATGTTTCGCTTTTGGAAAAAGGATGATGCCAGGTACGGCAAACACGCCCGGGCGAGCGCACACCTGGGGCCGCGGCGCCCGTAATCGCATTGGCGACGCCTCGACAACTGTGTCTGGAGGCAGCCGGCGCCGCCACCTTGCGCCCTCCCAGCCCAGGGAAACAGGCTCAGGAGAAGGAAATGCTTTGGATTCACTTATCCTACAAATTAACTAGAAAAATATTTTGGTTTCAGTCCAATTTTACCCCCTTTCTTGTCCATCAAAAAAAAAGAGGGAGATTGCAGGTGGTGTTGGGATTGCAGAGGCTGGGCCATGCTGGCTCCCCGACCCGCCTGGGACCTAGAGAGAGAACAGGTTCAGCCCCTGGAGGAGGTAGACTCCGACGGCAGGGTCTGCGGGGGTCAGAGGAGAGGCAGGAAGCGTACCTCCCTGGAAGCCAGCCTCACTGGCCGCCCTGCCTGGCTGTGTTCCTAGCATCCATCTCTGGGCTCCAGGGGCTTCTGGGCTGTTTCCTGGGCAGAGTCGCTGGGAGCAGCACGGGGGCCCTGGCACCTGCCCCACAGGGCTCTGAGCCACACTGTGGCTGGTCAGTGCCCATGACCATGCCTGTAGCCTGGTGGCTGGGGCTGGGGGGTCCTGGTGAACTGGGCAGGAATAAATCCCCACTCGCTGAGGATCTGGTGAGAAGCCCTGGGTCCCTTCCTCGGCACTGTGTCACCCCTGTGTGTGCCTCCCACTCACTGAGGATCTGGTGAGAAGCCCTGGGTCCCTTCCTGGGCACTGTGTCACCCCTGTGTGTGCCTCCGCTTCCCCACCCGTACCTTGAGGGACTGGGCTGTGTGATTTGTGCGTGTGGTCTCATCTCTGCTACACCCCGGGTGCTCAGTGCAGGAGCTGGCTCAGAACATGGGGGCCTTGGTGAGGCTTTGCCCCTGGGGGATGCTGCCGTGGGTTGGGGGATAGGCCTTCCTGTCACCCAGCAGGGCCTTCTCTGGTTACCTCTGATCCTCGGACTCTGGAGCTTGGTGGCCTGTGGGGCTACACACAGCTGTTTGTATCGTGGAGGGGAGGGGCCTCGGGCTTCTCTCCAGCAGTCATTTCCCTGAGTGAAGTATAAGCCCCTGGCCAGTCTCTGGCACAGCAGGTCCCAGGCGCCTGTGGCCGTCCACCAGCCACCAGCCATGTGAGCCAACAGGGACCCTGACCAGTGGAGCTCCCGGGGCCAGCAGCAGGTGCTCTGAGGACATCGTGCTTGACCCCCAGGGACAAAGCCATGAGGTGCCTCTCTGCTCATGCCGGGTGGTCCCACCTTCCCCTGGGCCTCCTTGGCAGAGGCCAAGCCCCACGTTGGCTGGCACTGTCCTGAGTGCACTGACACTGCAGGCACAGTCCTGGCACTGGCTTTCCTCTCTGGTCCTAGAGGCAGTGGGCAGAGCAGCCAGGCTGATCCCTCTGCCCAGGGAAGGGCACCCCGAGCCCTCACCTGCCTGCCTGGGTGGGAGGGTGCCCTGCATCTCCCATGGATGCTGCCTCTGACGTCCCTAGTGCAGGGAGAGGCGTGGGCTGAACACCAGTGAAGATTCCTGGGGCCCACAGGTGTAAATACGCAGACTCGTGTCCAGTCAGGTGGTCAGGGAGGCCTTTCTCATGAGCTGAAAACTGAGAGGGCCCAGAAGGGACAGAAGCAGCAAGAGCATCCTGAGGCCGCCATGCAGAGGCCTGGGCAGGAGTGGGAGGGGGCGTGAGGCATCGCAGGACCCTGTGCACAGCCAGCAGGGGGAGGAGATGGGTTGGGGGCAGGCGGGGTCTACCTGGCACCACTGCACCCACATTCAGAAAGCTCCCGGTAGTCACGATAGTAGTACTGACTGAGGTTGATAATTAAGTGGCCAAGACAGCAGCCATGGAGACCATGATGTCCTGACGTACGCGAGAGCCCCAGGCGGCCAGGATAGGCAGCAGAGGCTGCTCCTGGCAGTCAGTCTGCAGGCCCTGCCCTGCTCTGCGGAAGCTGGAGCCAGGGAGGGGATGCCTACTGCCCTTTCCAGAGCCAGAGCCCATCCCAGGGAGGACCCACCCACTCAGGGAGTGGCCCCCACTGCAGCAGCTGCATCCCACTCCCTGCACAGGGCCAAGGCTGGCCCCGCCTGTTCACCCAGGTCGCGGTGCGTCCTTGGGATTCTCCCTGCACCGTGCACCCGCGGGACCCACGGAGGGGCTTGTGGCATGGGTCCGTCTCCCCGCACCGGGGCCCTTGGGTCGTCTCAGCCCTCGCCGGGATCCTGTGGCCCACGTTTGTTGGGCTGGGTGGGCCTGTGTGGGGAGGTGCACCTGCCATCCCAGCTCTCCCATCCCTCAGTGTCCACAGAGACGCCTGTGGCAGGCAGCAGGTTTGCACTTGGCCCCCTCAGACACGGTGCCCACCACCCGGATGGCCCAGGGTCTGAGCTTTGGGGAGGAGGGAGTGCATAGCCCTGGCCCGCTCAGCAGTGGGGAGGAGAGGGAGGGGCTGCACACTCCTCCCTGGGAGGCTGTGGTGCTGCTGTGTCTCCCCGTCGGTGCCAAGTGCTGAGCTCCGCAGAATCTCGCCTTGCCATTTACACACATGGCAGAGCCCTGGCGGGCGCAGAGCCCCTGACGTCACCACACTGTGAACAGTCTATCCCGGCCACCCTTGCTGACTGGCCTCTGCCTCCGTTGGCCCTTCCCTTGGCCCAGAGCCATCAGAGAGCCAGTCTGGTTCCCCCAGCCCTTCTGGGGCATGTCTCACCCCTGCACCAGCAGCAACCCAGAACTCCTTCATTCAGCCTCAGCAACGCCAGCAAGGAGGGTCTGGCGCACAGAGGCTGGTGCCAGCCAGGGCAGGCAGGGGTCCAGGGGCCTCCTTGCTCCCACCCCTGCCCCTGGGGAGGCCCGCCTGCCATCGAGTAGGGCTATGGCCTCCGGTGTCCCGCTGGCCAGCCTTGGTGGCGACTGTGGCAGTCCTGGGGCTGTGCAGAGCCCAGTGAGGCCGCACTCGCCCTTTGGGTCGACAGGCGAGGCCACAGCTCCAGCTGCCTGGGCCACCACCGGCCCCGCCTCGCCATGAGGAAGGTAGATGGCTCCCAGCTGTGGGATACCGCTGACCAGCCCACTTAAGAGGAATAATAATTAAAGAAATAAATTTCCTCCCCTGGTGTCAGCAGAAATTTGACTTCAACAAGAAAGTGCAGCAGCCTTCTTGGAAGGGGTGGGGGTGGCTGTCCTGGCTGACCCCCTGGGCTCTGGGCCCCTGACGGCAGAGGACAGTATGGCTTCTACCCCCAGCTTCCCCAGTCCCTGAAGCCGAGCCCTCCCTCCTGGGCCCGCCTGCCACCTGAAGGCCTGAGCTCCAGGGTCCCTCCCCACAGAATCCTGTGTGGGCCCCCAGTGAGCATGGCCCATATGTGGCCACCATGAGCCTGATGGCTCCTGTGGTGGGGCAGAGGCCCCAGTCTCTGGCCACAGGGCTGGCCTTGGCTTGTTCTGTGTCCCCAAAGCCCCCAGCCACCTGTGGCCGTGGCCCTCCCTGCTGTGGGCCAGCTGCTGCGTGTTCCTGGCACGTCCGGCCTCTGCGCCTCCCCTGCTGGTCACCTGCCCACCCTCCCTGGGGTGACGAAGGCCCTGTCGGCTTGCCCCCGCCCCACACTGCCTCTTCTGGGGCACCCTCTGCCGCTGGCTGCCTTCTCCCAAGGGCACAGCCTCCATGTGCCAGACGGACGTGCCCTGGAGGGCCTGGTGGGCGCGCTGTGAGCAGACCAGGGCTTGGCGCAGCCCTGCCTAACTTCTTGGGAGAGTGCTGGCCTGGGAATTGGGGCTGCCTGCGTGCCCCGGTCATCGTGGATGTTGTCCCTTGGGCCAGGCAGCAGCTGTCCAGTGGGTGCTGGCCGGAGCAGGGCCTGGAGGTGCTGAGGAACCTCTGACTGCAAGGCCCCCACCCCGCTTGCCTTGCAGAGCCTGACATCCAGCGGTGCCCAGAGCTGGCACTGGGGCACCGAGCAGGGGGTGGGGCTGGTGGGAGCCGAGTCTATTCTGAGAAGATCCCGGGGAAGTGAAAGTTCTCTGGAATGCATGGCGCCTTCTGCTGTGGAGCTGCTGGGGGTTATTCAGTTGAACTTTTTAGCACTTCTCAGGCAGCCCTTGCTTCTTTTCCAGCCAGCTATTTTATGTGCATTTTTTAACACTGCAAAGCATTTGAAAAAGTGCCTCCTGTTCTTGTCAGAACTCCTGCCGTGAGCCTCACACTGGCATTTTTTTAAAGAGCACAAAGTGGAAAGGGAGGTAACCCCTCCTGCTGCACCCGGTCCTGCCAGGCGGGCACGTGATGCCAGTGTGTCCCTGCCTGGAGCAGATGGCGTCGCAGTGTCACTGGCAGCCTGGGCGAGAGACTGGGAACCAGCAGTGCCGACAGACCGCCGCATTGCCGCGTCCCTCACCCCACAGGCTGGCAGGTGTGAGGGCGTGCCCGTGCCGTCTGGACTGGGCCCTGCTGCCCACCCGGGGACAAGGGTCCCGGCCTGAGAACGGGGGCTGCCCTGAGCACCCCCGCGTTGGTCCCTCCGCACCAAGACCCTCATCACCCTCCCTTTGCCCCTGGCCCCCCACACGCCTCAGGTTTCTGCGTTCTTCAACGCCCCCTTTCCTGCCCCAGGTACCATGACTAGCTCCTGCTCCTGCCCCAGCCGGGCTCGCTGGCCACTCAGCTCTGGAGCTGCCCTTTTGAAACTTGAGACGGGCTGAGTGGGGACAGTAGGCAGGGCCCCTGAGGGTGAAGGGCAGCAGCACCACTGACCCTAGCTAGGGAGCACTGGGCTGGACGCAAAGCACAAAGCGAGGAGTGGGGGGGGCTCCAGCCTGGGGGTGCGAGGGAGCGGAAGCCTTGGGTCCTCGGGTGGGAGTCTGCGGCTGCTGGGCCATCTGGGAGAGTGAGGACGAGGCTGCTCTCTGGTGCTCAAGAGTGGGGCAGGTCTGGCTATTTGGGGCTGGGCGGCTTTGGGACATCCCTTTTTAAACCAGGATGGCTTTGTCACCACCTCAGGTCCCCAGAATTTCTGAGTGATGTCACCTCTGCCTCTTAACTGCAGTGTCCATTTCAGCATTTGCCCTGTAGGAAATTGGATCTGGTCTGGGAAGGATCATGCGCGTATTTGAGGAACCCGGGAAAGCCGCCCTCAGCAGGCTGGTCCTGCCCTGCCCACCCCGTGATCCTGGGTGACCTCTGTCTGTAAAAGGCAGGCAGGGCTGTGTCACCGGAGCAGACCCTCCTCCTCCAGATGGCACCCCCTCCCCGCCTCATCCCCTTGGCTCTCAGGCCTGGCAGCACTCGGCCATGTCCAGCCCCAAGGTCCATTTCCTTCCTGCCACCACCGCACTCCCAGGCCGCCCTCCCAGGCCGTGGTGTGCGGTTTCAGAAAGGCGGGGGTGGTGCTTATGCTTGGGGTTTTGAGGAGCATCTGATGAGGCACCTCTAAAATTTAGAGTAACAGACACTAGCCAGGATCTGCCAGCGCCAGCCCAGGGCTTCAGGGACAGGTGCCCTTCCCCCAGACCTCCACAGCTGCAGTGGGCAGCTGGGCAGATGCCTCCGCCAAGCGGGCTTTGCCCCCACACCTTCTCTGCTGCATGTCTTTAGTTTTATAGCCCTCTAAAAGTCAGAAGCCATTCTTGCTCCCAAAAGGCCAGACCATGTGTGCCCCATGGGCCATATTCACCCCCTGGTCTAAGTGACCCCGCGGGTCCTGCCAGCCCAGGCCCTGGCAGAGGGAGGTGCTGCTGTTAGCAGCTGTTCTGTTTACAGGGCAGCTTCCTGGGTGGCCAGGGCTGAGGAGAGAGCCAGGAGCAGTGTCCATAGGCCAGTCACTGCCTTGGCCCAGGGTGGGCACCCAGGGACATGAGGAAGCCAGCAGGGGGGTTCCAGCCAGCAAAGCGTGGCCCTGGGGAGCCTGGCCAGGGAGGCAGCAGGGACAGGCGGGCGTCTCCAGCCCACGTGGCCAAGCCCTCCGCGGGTGCTGCCTGGCTTTGCTGGCTCTGAGGGCAGGGACAGGAGCCCTGCCCGGACCCTGCCCTGGAGAGGAGCTAGACACAGGGCCCAGCAGCTCCCCACTCTCAGGTGCTGTGTCCCCAGAGGGGCCTGGCAGGGCCCAGGGCATCTGAACCACTGTGGGGAGGGGAGCTCTGGGCAGTTTCCTGGAGGGGAGGCTGTGCCTGAGCTGAGTGTTGGGACCCCTGAGGGCCTCGACTAAGGGGGTCAGCAGGGAAAGGGCGTGCGGGCCAGGCTGTGGCCTGCTATGACCCGTGCCTCTCTCCCCCACAGGCCGGCTGGATCCTGCAGGCAGCTGTAGCCGTTCCCTGGCCAGGTAATGCCTTTGGGCTGGGCAGTGGGTGGGCTCCCTGCTCGCCCTCAGGCTCACGCACCTCTCTCCCCGTCTGCAGCCGGGCAGTGCAGCGCAGCCTGGCCATCATCCGGCAGGCGCGGCAGCGCAGGGAGAAGAGGAAGGAGTACTGCATGTACTACAACCGCTTCGGCAGGTGCAACCGTGGCGAGCGCTGCCCCTACATCCACGATCCCGAGAAGGTGGCCGTGTGCACCAGGTGCCCTCCTGCCCTCGCTGTGGGCCTGGGGGAGGTTCTGTGCAGGGCCCTGCCCTTGGTCCCTGCCGGCCCTTCCTCATACCCGTTTCTCCTGGTGCTGCAGGTTTGTCCGGGGCACCTGCAAGAAAACGGATGGGACCTGCCCCTTCTCCCACCATGTGTCCAAGGAGAAGGTGAGTGCGGCGCTGGTGGCCCTGCTCCCGTGCACCTTTCTCCGGGGCCTCAGCCACCTGGCCTCCGGGCAGATGGTGCCCACAGCTTTCTCTGGGTTTGGGACATGCAGATCCCTGCCCTGGCGTCCTTAGAGTCTGCTGTACCGTCTCTACCCCATTGCAGGCTTTGCAGCTGGGCTTCCTCTTCCCCGGAAAGCAGCGCTGATAGGGTCTCTGCTCACCACGCACAGGGGTCTCTTTTCCCTTCTCCTGGCAGCACCAGGCCTCACCAGATCCCCAGGCCCCCCTTACACATGCCTAGGGGAAGGTGGTCCCACAGGTGCCCCTGTGGACCCAGGGCTGAGGCCTCAGGGCCTCTTCAGACTGGGGTTGGCAGGAGGGGGGAAGCTGTATGTGAGGGGGCTGGGTGGAGAGGCTGCCTGGGCAGAGGGCGGGAGGGAGGGGCTGGAGGGAGAACAGCTGGACTCCTGGCTCATGTGGTTGTCCCCGCGGCCTGAAACCCAACAGACTTGCTTTGAGCCAAGGTGGGTCCCCTGCTGGGAAGCAGCAAGAGAGCCCTGGGGCTGGGGGGGACATGTGTAGCTCCTGTGCCCCGGACTCAGCCACGGTGTGACCACAGCATGCGAGTGGAGTGAGGGCTGCCTTGGGTGAGGGAGGCGGTGTTGGGCAGGGGTGCTGCTGCCGCAACAGCTTTTCCCCTTGAGGAACTTGAAAAGAATCAGCATTTTTCTCCCTAATAGAGCTTCGGAACTCTGTTGTGAGCAATTTGGAAATTCACATCGAGTTTCGGGTTCATTAGCTCCCAGCTCCAAAGCCAGAGCACATTCCAAGCTGTCTAATGTGGACGCCCCGCACCAGTGCCCTGAATTAATGTTATTGTTATTTGTGTGGACGTGGCGGGGTGCAAACAAGGTTAATTGAAATGAGAATGCAGTTTCCTCTTGATAACAGCCCCGCTCTGACAGCCAAGAGGAGCTCCGTTTGCTGTAGAGTTGGCTTTATCATCCCTTTTTATTAGAGCTAATTTGGGCTCTATATCAAAAACCACATTAAGGGAATTGTCTACAGCCCACCACCGCCAGCCCCAAACGGCCCCCAGCCCCTCTCCCCTCTGCGGCTGCAGTTAAAAGACAATTAGAAATAAACTCCCGCTCGTTAAATCACCCTTTGTTTCTTTGCCTTCTCCCTCCCTCCCTCTCAGCCCTGGCCGCTGGCTCTCTGGACCCCTTCTTCCCTCCTTGGCCTTAGACAAGTTCCTTTCCCATCCCCAACCTTGCCCCAGAAAAGTGACTTTTTAAAGCCTCTGGGTCTGCCCAGATCCCCCAGGGCTCCTCAGGCCCCAGCAGCTCTGAGCAGGCTGGGAAGGGGAGGGGGACAAGGGTAGTGGGAGCAGGGAGGGTGGTCTGACCCAGGAGGGAGGAAGGCCCTGGGAGGGGAGCGGGAATAGCCTGGGGCAAGACTGGAGACCCTGGGGTGCTGGCAGGGGCTCTGTGGGGGCTCCATGCTGAGGCTGGACGGTGACATCCTTGTTCTGGACACCCAGGCAGCCCAGGAAGAGCCCGTGGTGGCCCATGAGGGGCAGGGAGATGTCTCCTGGAGATGGCAAGAGACCCCCTGCTTCCCTCCCTGGGTGGCCCTAGCCCAGCCATTGCTCCTTAGGCCTGAGGTTCCCCCAAATGGGAGGAAAGTTACATTTTTTCCCTCTCCCAGCCCAGTGGTGATAACAAGCACTGACTGTGGCCAGCGGCCCTGTGCTGGGGAGGAAGACGCTGCTGGACCCTTCCTGCTGACAGCCTTGGCCTCCACGGTGCTGGCCTGCAGCCAGTGCCACACCAGCCCTGCTTCCAGGTGGCTCCTGCCCACCTAGAGCCCAGGGACACTGCCTGTGGCCCACGGGTCAGGTGCCTGGAGAGGGAGAGCCCTCTGTTGGCTGCTGGCCCGTGGCTCGTCCTCCCACCTAGACACTGGTCCCCATGGCCTGAGAGGCTCCAAGGGCAGCCCTGGCCACAGGCTAGTGGTTGGGAGCCCTGGCTGCCATCTTGCCCTGGACGGTGGGCAGGCTCAGAACAGGTGAGGGACTCAGAGGAGGGCGCCCCTGAGGCTGAGCCACAGGGCTACAGGGCTGCTCCATGCCTCCTCTGGACAGAGCACGGCAGGGGTGTGGCTCACCTGGGGAGGCTGGGGCCCACTTCTGAGCAGCAGCTTCCCTGCCCCGCAGGTCGTGGTGGCTGCCCTTCCTGCCTGCTGGTGCCGCGTGTCCATTTCTCTCTCGGGCGGGGCCGTAGGAGGGTCCCCAGCCACCGTCTCTGGGCCCTGGAGGGTGGCTGCCTGCTGGCCCTCACTGCCGGCCCTCCCTGCAGATGCCGGTGTGCTCCTACTTCCTGAAGGGCATCTGCAGCAACAGCAACTGTCCCTATAGCCACGTGTACGTGTCCCGCAAGGCCGAGGTCTGCAGCGACTTCCTCAAAGGCTACTGCCCCCTGGGTGCAAAGGTGAGTGGTCTGTGGGGGCCCGAGTGGGCGGGGTTCCTGTGGCTTGTTGGTCCTCTGCTCACTCCTGGGTACCTGCCGTGGTGGCTGGATGACCCATCTGCAGCCCTGAGGTGGTCAGTGCCATCACGTCCACCTCACAGGTGACTCAGAGAGGTCCAGCAACTTTCCCGGGGTTGCACAGCACCAACACAGGGCGGGGTTTGAACCATGGGAAGGTGAGGCGCAGAGGACCTAGACTTCCAGGTGCAGCACTGGTAGCCCCAGGAGCTGGCCCCCCATGGTAGGGGTGTGGTGACTGGGCCGGAGCAGCTCCTGGGATGTTGCTGGGGGCGGCAGTGCAGTGAAGGGGATATTGGAGGCCAGGGAGCCCGCAGGGCTGCAGGATGTGGGGCCAGCAGCCTCCCCAGGAAGGCAGGGGGTGGACGGGACACTCCCACCCAGCCTGGGGCAGAGGGGTGGGCCAGGCAGAGCCAAGGGGGCCGCCTGAGCCGTGGCTGGCAAGGGTGGAGTGAGCTGGCGCTGGAGCTCATTGCGGGGCACCACTGCTGGGTGGAGAATTGGGGACCTGGGCTGTAGCTGATGGCTGCGGCTCCCCTCTTCCTAGGGGCATGACTGACTCCTGTGTTGCAGAGGCACTCACAGGCTCACCTGTCTGGGAAGTTCCCGGCAGTGCAGCCAGCTCCTCCCCTCTGCCTCACCTGCCCTCCTGGGCTTCAGCAGGACTCCCCGCCACAAGCAGCGTGGCCTCAGCATCTCCAGTGGGCCTGGTCCCGGGTACAAGCCCCCTCTACCCCAGCCTCTCACGCCTGTTTCTCTCCCCGCCCTGGGGGCTCCTGCACCTGGCCTAAGGCTTGTGGCTGAGGCTGGGGGCCTCCTGGCTCAGGCTGGGGAGGGGCCAGAGCTGGGGGACCTGGAGATGCTCCTTGTCCCTGGCATCTTGGGAGGGAGCCCCGGGGCCTGCAGCACGGCTCACTGCCACCTGGACCTCACACTTGTGTTGGCGCTGCCTCAGGGTCTGCAGCCCCCGTGAAGCCGAGAACACCAGGCACCCCAGGAACCCTTTCTCAGCCCACCCGCAAGGACACCGGGCCCGAAGCTCTGGCGGCTCTCCTGCCCCTCCCTTGCTGGGTTCACCTGTGGGGTCCTGTAGAAGCTGGGCCACGCACTCCTTCCTGTGCACAGCGTTCTGTGGTGGGCCGGGCCCTTCCCAAGCATCCTCTCCCTCATCCTCAGTCCTCACACCCACTTCCCAGGAGGAGTCAGCCTGCAGCCCCTGCTGCCGGGCCAAGGGTTGGCCAGGCCGGGCTCCCCAACCTGAAACCTGGCAGGCAATCCCCTCCGGGGAGGTAGGGCCTGGCTGGGGCAGCCCCAGACCCTGTGGGGGCAGTGGCAGGATCCCCATGGAGGCCATGGCTGATTATTGTAAAATGTTTCGATTTAAATGAAAATATCAAAGTGATATTTAGGTCCTGCTTCTATTAGTGGAAGTGCTTACTGCTGCCTTTCCGTGTGTCCGCGCCGCGGCGCCCGCATGATGGATAGCAGCTTGTAATTATATATGGGAAAGCGCTGAGCCGGCCAGATCCAGCGGGGACAGGCGGCAGCCCGGGCCTGCGAGGGTTAATTTTATTCTCTAAATAATGTGAAAAGTGCTGAATCGTCACCTTGCGCCTGAAGTAGAAGTCCTCAAATGGGCCCCAGAGAGTTTATAATATTCCACTGAATCAAGTGAAATTGTTAACCTTGCTTCATAAAGCGATGGCTTGTTAAAGAGCCACATTCCCTTTCCTTGTGAATAATTTAGGCTGGGAGTAAATCTCCGCTCCTTCCCCTTTTGGGGGGCCACGGCTGTGGCTCAGGGGTCAACCTCTGCCAGATGCCGCCTGCCCTCCTAGATATCAGGACGGGGATGACTTCAGACTGCCTGTTTGTACACACCTGCGGGGTCTGCCACGTCCTGCCCAGACCCGGAGACGCAGAGTCCTCCCCAGTAGGCGTCCCTGTCCTGGTGCAGCGCTGTTTTCCTCCCTTGCCTCAGGCGCTCGCTCCATCCTTGTCAAAGGGATCTCCCCGGCTGATACGTCTTGCTGGGGGGAGACTCTGAGACTAGAAAACTCCACCTTCTCCCCTTAGTCTTAATAGCCAGCTGTGTCTGTCTGCTGTCAAATTCTGATCCGCGGCCGGCGTCCTTGAACGGAAGAGTTTTCCCTCCTCCGTGCTCACCGCTCGCCTGTTTGTCCACGGGTGTGTCCGGCTGTGTCCATTGCCGTCCCCTTTTAATATGCTGCCCTGCCAGGGCTCCTGCCCTTATGATGTGCCTGACAGTTTCTGCACCCTTGCTTGCTTTCTGGCACCCAGATGCTCCCAGCACCCGGCGGCTCTGGGACAGCCGCTCCTGGCTCCTTATGGGTGTGTTTAAGACTCAGGGTCTGGGCCGGGCGCGGTGGCTCACACCTGTAATCCCAACACTTTGGGAGGCCGAGGCAGGTGGATCACCTGAGGTCAGGAGTTCAAAACCAGCTTGGCCAACATGGTGAAACCCCATCTCTACTAAAAATACGAAAAGTTAGCCGGTTGTGGCGGCAAATGCCTGTAATCCCAGCTACTCGGGAGGCTGAGGCAGGAGAATTGCTGGAACCCGGGAGGTGGAGGTTGTGGTGAGCTGAGATTGCGCCACTGCACTCCAGCCTACGTGACAAGAGTGAGACTCTGTCTCAAAAAAAAAAAAAGAGACTCAGGGTCTGGGCGCTGCTCCTGGTGGCTCTAGGTGGGACAGCTGCTCCTGCAGGGCGCCCTGGTTCCTTCTGGGTGTGTTTAGGACTCAGGGTCTGGGCGCTGCGTGTGCTTGTTGCAGCTAGGGTGTTGGCTGCTGCCAGCGCCCCCAGTGCACAGGGCTGGGGAGCATCGTGTGCACGTGTGCAGGGGTGACAGTGACTCCATCCCCACCTCTGCATTGAGAGCTCCTGCACACCTTGGCCCTCCTGCATCTGCAGTGCCTGCTCCGTGAGCCTCCGCGCTGCCGTTTTCCCCACACCCTGTGTGTGGTTGGTGCCTGTCTGCAGGGAGCTGTCGGGAGAGGGAAGGCCCTGGCTGAGCCTTGGGTTTCAGCTCCCCAAGTGCGAGCTGAGACCTGAGTCACCTGGGATTCCCCTCACGCACACCCTGCCTTCATCCTCCAGGCTTGCAAGGGCTCCTGTGTCCTCTGGACAGCGCCTGTCTTGGTTTTGTTCACATACAGCGCTTCTCTGTTGGTGCCTTGCTTTCGCCAGTGCTGCCCTTTGTTAGGCCGAATCCTTCGTCCTTTATGAGGCAAGGTCCTGACATCCTTTGCCCTGTGATTTGTGCTCGGGGTCTTGTTTAGGACCAGTCTCCACCCATGGTCACAGAGTGCCTCCTGCATTGCCTGATGCTGGCTCAAGAGGCAGCTGTGGGTGTCGCTTGTCCCTGCACGGTTACTTCCTCCTCTGGCCTCAGTCTCCTTTTATATACAGTCGGGATAACGGCACTGCCTATCTCAGAGGGTCGTGGCGACTCTTCAGGGGGCCACAGTGGGCCTGGCAGTGTCCTGGGTGGCCCTGGCACAGGGAGGCCTCCCTACAAGTCGGCTGCCGTTTGCTGTTCTTCATTTGCGTGTTGTGTGAGGTGGGGCCTCACTTAGTTTTTCTTCATGTCGTGGGTGCTTTCCCTCAACGGTGATCTAACCCTTTGATCTGTGGTGTCAGCTTTAAAAAAAAAAAAAAAGCAGCTTAACTGAAGTACAGTTTCCCTCCCACACAATTCCTCTGCTCTAGGTGTATGGTTCTGTGGGTTTGAGTAAACTTAGAGTGGTACAGCTGCACCACAGCGCAGCTTTCAGTTGTTTTCATCGCCCCCCAGAATTCCCTCACTCTTTTCATCATCAGTCCCGGCCCCTAACACTCATCCACTTCTGTCTCGGTAAGTTTCTTCTGTGGGCCTTTCGTGTTGCTGGAATCATACAGTACATGGTTGTTTGGCATCTTTGATTTTGCATCATGTTTGGAGGTCTGTCCTGCAGCACCTCAGCGCTGCACCCGTTTTTATTACAGAGTCAAGCCGCTGCAGAGGCTCTCCACACTTTCTTTGTCCGTTCGGGTGGTTGCCAGTTGGGGGCTGTCGTGAATAATACTGCCTCGAATGTCCGCGCTCCAGCCTTTGTGTGGCCGATGCTTTTGCTTCTCTTGGGTAGACACCTAGGAGTGGAATTGCAGGGCCATAGGGTCACTGCAGGGCTACAGGGTCACTCTAGGTTAACAGCCTCCTGTTTTCTAAAACGGCTTCACTGTTTGACACTCCTGCCGGCAGCGAGCAAGGCTTTCGTCTTGCTTACTTCCTCGCTAGCTCTGGGTATCTGCCTTTCTGGCACACCCGTTCTGGTGGGCGTGGCGTGCCGTATCCCTGGGGTTTTGGTTTGCATTTCCCTGATGGCCTGGATGCGCAGAGCACCTGGGTGCTTATGGGCCATTCCTATCTTTTTTTGAAAAACAGCTTTGTTGAGATATGATTCACGTACCACATAATTCACCCATTTTAGTGTACAATTCAATAGTTTTTGGTATATACTGTGTTACTTTTTAATTGTGGTAAAATATATATAACATAAATTTTGACCATTTTTAAGCGTCAAAATGGCACTTAGTTCAATAGCTAACTACATTCACAACACCGTGGAAACATTCCAAAATGTTTTCCTCACTCCTGACAGAAACACTGAGTATTCAGCAATGACTCTCCACTCCCCGCTTCCCAAACCCTAGTTAGACACCTAACTAGTTAGTGAAGGCGCCTCCTCTAGCTATGTCCTCTAAGTGGAATCGTACATTCTGTCCTTTGGTGTCTGGCGTCTTTCACGCAGCGTAATGTTTCCAGGGTCTAGCTGTGTCCCGTCAGTGGAATCATCCAGCATCTGTCCTTTGGTGTCTGGCATCTTTCACCCGGCATAATGTTTCCAGGGTTCACACGTGTAGCAGCACCTCATTCCTTTCTTATGGTAGAGTAACATTCCGTTGTGTGTGCACTGCGTTTTGTTAGTTCCTTCGTGTGCTGGTGGTTATGTGGCTACTGTGACTGGTGCTGTAGTGATTCCTGACAGCCAGGTATCTGTTTGAGCCCCGCTTTCACTTCCTTTGGGTGTATATTGAGGAGTGGAATTGCTGGAGTCTGAGTAATTCTGTGTTTAGCTTTCTGAGGAATCGGCAAGTGTTTTCTGTTGTGGCTGAACCACTTTACGTTCCCAGCAACGGCGCACGGGTTCCCGTTTCTCCACACCCTCCCCACCACTTGTTGTGGTTGAATTTCTTTATTCTAACTTTTTTTGTGTGTGGATTCTTTAGGGTTTTCTTACATATAAGATCATGTCATCAGCAAACAGATAATTTTACTTCTTCCTTTTCAATTGGGATGCCTTTTATTTATTTATTTATTTATTTATTTATTTATTTATTTATTTTTGAGACATAGTCTCACTCTGTCGCCCAGGCTGGAGTGCAATGGCATGATCTCGGCTCACTGCAACTTCCGCCTCCCGGGTTCGAGTGATTCTCCTGCCTCAGCCTCCCAAGTAGCTGGGACTACAGGTGCATGTGCCACCAAACCCAGCTAATTTTTGTGTTTTTAGTAGAGACAGGGTCACACCATGGGGCCAGGCTGGTCTCAAACTCGTGACCTCAGATGATCCGCCTGCCTTGGCCTCCCAAAGTGCTGGGATTATAGGTGTGAGCCACCACGCCCGGCCTCTGGCTAGAACTTTTAATACTATATTGAATTAAAATGGCAACTGTGGGCATCCTTGTCTTTTTCCTCATCTTAGAAGAAAAGCTTTCATTTTTCACCATTGAATATGACGTAAGCTATGGGCTTTTATGTATAGAGTTTACCACACTGAGGAAGTTGCCTTCTATCCTATTTATTAGGTTTTTGGTTTTTTTTAAACATGAAATGGTGTTGAATTTTGTCAGGCCTTTTTGTAGATCAATTGAAATGATCTTGTGGTCTTTTTCCTTTATTCTATTAAGGTGGTCAGCTCATGACTCTGACCACATTGAATCACAGTCAGTCACAATCTCATTAATTGATTTTTGTGTATGAAACCATCCTTGCATCTGGGAGTAATTGGTTATGATGTGTAATCCTTTTTTTGGTTTGTTTTTGAAATAGAGTTTTGCTCTTGTTGCCCAGGCTGGAGTGCACTGGTACGATCTCAGCTCACTGTAAACTCCGCCTCCCAGGTTGGAGCAATTCTCCTGCCTCAGCCTCATGAGTAGCTGGGATTTCAGGCACGCGCTGCCAGGCCCAGCTAATTTTTGTAGTTTTAGTAGAGACGCGGGTTTCGCCATGTTGGTGAGGCTAGTCTCAAACTCCTGACCTCAGGTGATCAGCCCGCCTTGGCCTCCCAAAGTGCTGGGATTATAGGCGTGAGCCATTGCACCTGGCCCTTGATGTGTAATCCTTTTAATGTGTTGCTGAATGTTATGCTGAGGATTTTTGCATCAATATTCATAAAATATATTGGTTGGTAGTTTTCTTTTAGTGTCTTTGTCTGGTTTTGTTATCGGGGTACTACTGGCCTCACAGAGTGAATTAGGAAATGTTTCCTTCTCTTAAACATTTTGTAAGAGTTTGAGAAGAATTGGTGTTGATTCTTCTTTTAAATGTTTTAGTAGAATTCACCAGTGAAGCCGTCTGGTCCTGTGCTTTTCTGTCTTTTTTCTTTTCTTTCTTTCTTTTTCTTTTTTTTTTTCTTGAAGAACAAGGTCTCGCTATATTGCCCAGGCAAGTCTCGAACTCCTGGGCTCAAGTGATCCTCCCACCTCTGCCTCCCTAAATGCTGGGGTTACAGGCATGAGCCACTGCGCCCAGCTGTGTCCTGGGCTCAAGTGATCCTCCCACCTCTGCCTCCCTAAATGCTGGGGTTACAGGCGTGAGCCGCTGCGCCCAGCTGTGTCCTGGGCTCAAGTGATCCTCCCACCTCTGCCTCCCTAAATGCTGGGGTTACAGGCGTGAGCCACTGCGCCCAGCTGTGTCCTGGGCTCAAGTGATCCTCCCACCTCTGCCTCCCTAAATGCTGGGGTTACAGGCGTGAGCCACTGCGCCCAGCTGTGTCCTGGGCTCAAGTGATCCTCCCACCTCTGCCTCCCTAAATGCTGGGGTTACAGGCGTGAGCCACTGCACCCAGCTGTATCCTGGGCTCAAGTGATCCTCCCACCTCTGCCTCCCTAAATACTGGGGTTACAGGCGTGAGCCACTGCGCCCAGCTGTGTCCTGGGCTCAAGTGATCCTCCCACCTCTGCCTCCCTAAATGCTGGAGTTATAGGCGTGAGCCACTGCACCCAGCTGTGTCCTGGGCTTTTCTTTGTTGGGAGATTTTTGATTACTGACTCAGTCTCCTCGCTGTGTAGATCTAGTTAGATTTTCTACTCTTCAGTCAGTTTTGGTGGATTGTGTATCTCTAGGAACTGGTCCATTTCATCTAAGTGGTCAATTTTATGTGTGTATAATTGTTTGAAGTATTTAATAATTGTCCTTTTGATGTCTGCAGAATCTGCAGTGATACTGGAAATTTCATTTCTGTTACTGGAAGTTTGTGACTTCTTTTTTTCATTGTCTGTTTTACTAGAGGTTTGTCAATTTATTGATCTTTTCAAAGTACCCATTCTTTGTTTTACTGATTTTTCTCTTTTGGTTTTCTGTTTTCGATTTCATTGGGCTGTCTGCTCTTATTATTTCTTTCTTTCTGCTTACTTGTGGTTTATTTTGCTGTTTTTTTTCCTCTACATTCTTGAAATGGGAGCTTAGATTATTGATTTGAATAATTTGAATATTTTCCCTTTTTTCTGAGATAGGGTCTCACTCTCACCCAGGCTGGAGTGCAGTGGTGCAATCATAGCTCACTACAGCCTCAACCTCCTGGGCTCAAGCAATCCTCCTGCCTCAGCGTCCTGAGTAGGTGGGACTATAGGTGCATATCACCATACCTGATTAATTTTTTAAATTTTCTGTAAGACAGGGTCTTGTTCTGTCACCCAGGCTGGTCTCAAACTCCTGGCCTCAAGCAGGCTTCCCACCTCAGCCTCCCAAGTAGCTGAGACTACAGGTCCCTGCTACCACACCTGGCTAATTTTTGTATTTTTTTATAGGGATGAGGTCTCGCTATGTTGCCCAGGTTGGTCTCAAACTCCTGAGCTTAAGAGTCCATCCGCCTCAGCCTCCCAAAGTGCTGAGATTATAGGTATGAGCCACCAAGCCCAGCTCCTGTGATTTTTTTTTGTTTGTTTTACTTCCCTTGAGATTTTCTCTTTGCCCTATGGATTATTTAGTAAAAGGCATAAGAGTCATATGATCTGAAGAGAAACCAGAGTATTGCCTATGGATTATTCAGAAGTGTGTTATTTAGTTTCCAAGTGTTTTGAGATTTTCCTGTTACCTTTCTTTCATTGATTTCTAGTTCGATCTGTATTGATTAAAATCATACAGATTTTAATTCTGAGTTTCTCACGGTTTGTTTTATGGCTGAGGATATAGTCTATCTTGGTATATGTCCCATGTGTACTTGAAAAAGAATGTATATCCCACTGTTGTTGGTGCTCTGTAAATGTCTAATAGAGCTTGCTAGTTAAAGGTGCTTTTGAGTTCTCTATATCCTTGATGATTTGCGGTCTAGTTTTCAGTTGTTGAGAGAGGTGCTGAAGTCTCTAACTATAATTGTGGATTTGTCTGTTTCTCCTTTCATAGCTAACAGTTATTGCTTCATGTATTTTACAGCTTTTTTGTTTGGTGCATTTACATTAGAATTGCTGTGCATTCTTTTCGTTGTTGTTGTTGTTGTTTGTTTAGAGACTGGGTCTCGCTTTGTTGCCCAGGCTGTAGCTCAGCGGCACAATCACAGTTCACTGCAAGCTCAAACTCCTGAGCTCCAGCGATCCTCCCACCTTAGCCTCCTGAGTAGCTAGGACTACAGGCATGCACCACCATGTCTGGCTACTTTTAAAATTTTTTTTGTAGAGATAGGGTCTTGCTATGTTGCTCAGGCTAGTCTTCAACTCCTGGCCTCAAGTGGTCCTCCTTGGCCTCCCAAAGTGCCGGGATTATAAGTGTGGCCCTACTATGCATTCTTGATCGATTTACTCTTTTATTATTATATAATGTTTCTGTCTCTGATGATTTTCTTTGCTTTGAAGTCATCTTTTTCTGATATTAATATAGCCACGCCTGTTTTCTTTGAATCAAGTTTTCATGTCTTTTTTTCTCTTTTTACTTTAAATGTATATATGTGTCATATTTGAAGTGACTTTCTTGTAGACAGCAGATAGTTCAATCATGTTTTAAAATTCACTCTGCCAATCTCTGTCTTTTAGTTGATATATGTAGGACATTTACATTTAATGTGGTTATTGCTATATTAGGGCTTAAGTGTATCATTTGATTTATTTTGTTTTCTATTAGTTCTTTTTTTCCCTGTGGGTTTTCTTCCCCCTGCCTTCCTATGGGTTACTTGAACACTTTTTAGAATTTTTATTTGATTTACTTATAGTGTTTTTCAATATAGATCTTTATTCAGTAGTCTTCCCTTCTCTGTGGGGGATACATTCCAAGATCCCTCATGGATACCTGAACCCATAGATGTCATGGAACCCAATTCCATCATTTGGAACATGTTTCTATTATCTTCCACCCACAAATCAAACGCTTTTTTAAGTCTTTTTTTTTTTTTTTTTTTTTTTTGAGACAGAGTCTCACTCTGTCGCCCAGACTGGAGTGCAGTAGTGTGATCTTGATCTTGGCTCACTGCAACCTCCGCCTCCTGGGTTCAAGCAATTCTTCTGCCTCAGCTTCCTGAGTAGCTAGGATTACAGGTGTGTACCACCACGCCTGACTAATTTTTATGTTTTTAATAGAGACGGGGTTTCACCATGTTGGCCAGGCTGGCCTTGAACTCCTGACCTCAAATGATCCACCCGCCTAGGTCTCCCAAAGTGCTGGGATCACAGGCATGAGCCATCACGCCCGGCTGCCTTTTTAAATCTTAACTAAACGTTTATCACACACTGTAGCCCTAACTTTTGCAGTTTGCAGTGTGACAGCAAAATTAACATTAATTTCTTTTTTTCTTTCTTCACAATTTCTTGGATAGAAGATTCATTCTTACTGTAGATCTCAGCAACCTCAGAATATTATATTATTATTATTATTTTGGGGAGGGGGGGCAGAGTCTCGCTCTGTCACCCAGGCTGGAGTGCAGTGCAGTGGCACAACCTCTGTCCACTGCAACCTCTGCCTTCCGGGTTCAAGCGATTCTCCTGCTTCAGCCTCCCAAGTAGCTGGGATTACAGACACGCGCCACCACGCCTGGCTAATTTTTGTATTTTTATTTTTATTATTATTTTTTTGAGATGGACTCTAGCTCTGTCACCTAGGCTGGAGTGCAGTGGTGCAATCTTGGCTCACTGCACCCTCCATCTCCTGGGTTCAAGTGATTCTCCTTTTTCAGCCTCCTGAGTAGCTGGGATTACAGGCCCCCGCCACCACACCCAGCTAATGTTTGTATTTTTAGTAGAGATGGGGTTTCACTGTGTTGGCCAGGGTGGTCTCGAACTCCTGACCCCCTGATCCACCCGTCTTGGCCTCCCAAAGTGCAGGGATTATAGGTGTAAGCCACCACGCCCAGCCTATTTTTTTTTTTCTGAAGTTGAGAACTTTGACCTTTTTACCTAAAGGAAGCATTTTACAGCTTCTCTTATCCAAATTGTTAGCATCACTACTGTTGCACTTTGGGGCCATTTTTTATGAAAATAAGGGTTACCCGGACACAAGTGCTGCAGTACCACAAGAGTCAGTGTGATGAGGGAGACAGCTACTAAGTGACTAATGTTAGGTCGTGTATACAGTGTGGAAAAAGGAATGATTCATGTCCTGGGCAGGACAGAGCATGACGGTGCAAGATTTCATCACACTGCTCAGAATAGCATGCACTTAAGCATTTATGAATTGTTGGCTGGGCGCGGTGGCTCATGCTTGTAATCCCAGCACTTTGGGAGGCCGAGGCAGGTGGATCATGAGGTCAAGAGATCGAGACCATCCTGGCTAACACGGTAAAACCCTGTCTCTACTAAAAACACACACAAAAAAAATTAACTGGGCATGGTGGCAGGCGCCTGTAGTCCCAGCTACTTAGGAGGCTGAGGCAGAAGAATGGCGTGAACCCGGGAGGCGGAGCTTGCAGTGCAGTGAGCCGAGACTGCGCCACTGCACTCCAGCCTGGGTGACAGTGAAAGACTCCATCTCAAAAAAAAAAAAAAAATTATGAATTGTTGGCCAGGCACGATGGCTCACACCTATAATCCCAGCACTTTGGAAGGCCAAGGTGGGCAGATCACCTGAGGTCAGAAGTTCAAGACCAGCCTCGTCAACATGGTGAAACCCTGTCTCTACTAAAGTTACAAAAAAAAAAAAAATTACCTGAGTGTGGTGGTAGGCACCTGTAATCCCAGCTACTTGGGAGGCTGAGGCAGGAGAATTGCTTGAACCCGGGAGATGGAGGTTGCAGTGAGCCGAGATCACACCACTGCACTCCAGCCCTGGGCAACAAGAGTGAAACTCCATCTGGGAAAAAAAAAAAAAAAAGAAAAAGTTATGAATTGTTTATTTCTGGAATTTTCCATTTAATATTTTTGGACCACAGTTGACTTCAGGTAACTGAAACTGCAGAGAGTGAAACAGTGGAAAGGGGAGGACCACTATATAGCTTTTGTAGTGCTTACCTTGGGTATTATATTATATTTGCATGACTGATCCACGTCTGCTGGTGGTGTCGTTTTGCCAGTTTGAGTGAAGTGTGGAAACCCTACCTTCCCTCATCTCCCTTAACCTCCCCTTTTATAACCATCTGGAATACTTCCTCTACAGAAGTTAGAACCACAACAGACACAGTTATAATTTTTATTTCAGTCATCAAACATAATTTTAAAAACTGGGGAAGAGATGGAAAGTCTGGTATGTTTATCCATATTTTTGCTTATCTTGTTCTTTATTCCTTCCTGTTGTGCCAAGCCTTTTTCTTTTGTTTCCTTTTTGTTTGGAGAACTTTAACCACTTTTTAGGGTAAGACTGCTGGTGACATTGTTTTTCTTCATCAGAGAATGTCTTGATTTCCCCTTTATTCCAGAAGGATAATTCACTGAATATGGGATTCTGTGTTGACAGTTCTTTCTTTTGAGCTTGAAGAATGTTATGCCTCTTCCTTATGTCCTCCATGGTGTCTAGTTAGAAATCCACTGTTGTTTGAATTTTTCCCCAGTGGGTAAAATGTGGTTTCTGTGGGGTGCTGTGACTCGTTCCTGTAATCTCAACATTTTGGGAGAACCAGGTGGGCAAACTGCTTGAGCCCAAGAGTTTGAGATTAGCCTGGTCAACATGGCAAAACCCCATCTCTTTAAAAAAAAAAACAAAAAAACAAAAATTAGTCACACATGGTGGCATGCGCCTGTGGTCCCAGCTACTCAGGTGGCTGAGTTGGGAGGATTGCTTGAGCCCTGGAGGTCGAGGCTGCAGTGATCTATGATTGTACCACTAGGCAAGAGAGTGAGACCCTGTCTCAAAAAAACAAACATAATGTAGTTTCTCTCTGGCTGCTTTGAAGATTATTTCTTTGTCTTTAACTTTCACTGTCTGACATCTGGGGTAGATGTCTTTGGTCTATCCTGTCTGACATCTGGGGTAGATGTCTTTGGTCTATCCTGTCTGAGGTTTGCTCAACTTCCTGAATCTATAGGCTTATGTGTTTTACCAAATTTGTAAAGTTTGTATTATTTCTTTGAGTTCTTTTTGCTCTGTTTCTGCATCTCCAGTTACATGAATGTTAGGTCTTTTGTTGTGGTCCCAAGGTCCCGAAGGCTCTGTTCATTTTTTAAACCTTATTTTCTTTCTGTTGTTCAGATGGGTTAATTTCTGTTATTCTGTCTTCCAGTTCTCTGTCTCATCCATTCAGCTGTTGTGCCACACACTGAGTTTTTTATTTCAGTTATTGTATTTTTTAGTTCTAAAATTTTCATTTGGTTCTACTGTATCTTCTTTTTCTCTGTTGATACTTTCTATTTCTTCTGTTTCCAGCATGTTTGTATTGCATGTAGAAGTGTCTTTGTGATGCTGTTCTGTCTTTATGAAATAATTCTGACGCCCTGTCTGTCAGCGTTGGCGCTGCCCCTCTTCACCGAGCTTGGAGCCTCCCTTGTTCTTAGTGTGAGCAGCCACTTTCTGTGGGAGCCTAGTCATGCTGGCTGTTGGGTGGAGGGGCTGCCTCCTTCTTGCCAGCTAGGAGTGGAAACCCAGCTCCCTGCACTTGGCCTCATTGACACTGTGGAGGGTGGTGTGGAAAACAGACCTTCCCTGAACCTTCCCTCCCTGCCTTGGGGGAAGGAGTTCCACAGTGCCTCTTCCACATGGCCTCCACTGACTCCGTGGGGGATGGAGAAGGGGTGAATGTCCTGGCTTTTCACCACCCCGGCAAGGAAGGGAAGGGCCTCCTGGCCAGGGTTGAGTCCAGGCTCCCTCCTCAGCCTTTGCTGATCTGGCTGGGGGTGCAGTGGTTTTGCGTGTTGGCTGGAATAGATGGCTGTTGCCCGAGACCTTCTGTCTTGCTGGGCTGCCCTTTGCCTGTGCCTCTGGGCATTTCTGGGCTGTGGCTTCCTTGACTCCAAGTCTTGGATGGGGCAGGAAGCAGCCCAAGGGCACCCAGCACCAGTCGTGCCCCGATCCCTTCCATCAGCACCTTCTCCGCAGCCAGAGGTGGCTTGGGTTTGTTACGGTGGCACTTAGCGGGAAGTACAGGGATGGTAGGTTGGTACTTTGGGTCTGTGTTCCAAGCAATGCAATGCAAGCTCCTCCTTTTTTCTTTTCTTTTCTTTTCTTTTTTTTTTTTTTTTAGGCAGAGTCTCACTTTGTCACCCAGGCTGGAGGGCAGTGGTGTGATCTCAGCTCACTGCAACCTCTGTCTCCTGGGTTCAAGCAATTCTCCCACCTCAGCCTCCCAAGTAGCTGGGATTACAGGTGTGCACCACCATGCAAGGCTAATTTTTATATTTTTAGTAGAGACAGGGTGTCACCATGTTGGCCAGGCTGGTCTTGAACTCCTGGCCTCCCAAAGTGCTGGGATTACAGGGGTGAGCCACCGTGCCCGGCCTACTTCTTTTTAATGCCAGTTTTGGCTTATTTTCCCCCAGAAGTGGATCCGTTTTACTGAGGTTTTCAACGTATGGGTGCATGTCGGTGTGTCTACAACATCCTTTGTCGCGTCTAGAGTTTTTTTCATCTGTATTTAATTTGCGTTTTCTCACTTGTTTCTGGGAACAGTCTTGCCAGGGGCATGTCTGTCTTATTGCCCTTTTCAGACAACCAGCTTTTGGTTTTGCTAGTGTTCTTTGTTGCTTGCTCCTTTTCTTTTTCATTGACTTCTGTCATTGCTCTTTATTATTTCCCTCCTGCTTTAGGTTTTCCCCGGGCTCCTGTCCTGCTTCCTGCCTTCTGCTCTGGGAGCACCTGTTCCCGTGTCTGTAGGTTTTGGGTTCTGGCTGATGTGCTTTGAGCTCTTGGCCTCCCTCTCAGGAGCCCCTCCCTGCTGTCCTTGTGGGCACCCGCAGTCCCCCACAGCAGCCCCACAGGCCTTCTCTGGTGGTTTGTTCACTGGTCAGGGTAGAAAGCATCCAGTCACTTACTGTGTTTAATATACTTGTTATTATTTTAGATTTACCAAAAAGTTGCAGACATATCACAGAGAGTTCCCATACACCCTCAGCCAGCCTCCCCTGCCAGGAGCGTCCTGCAGATCCACAGCTAGCAGTGTGATGTGCTTTGACCTGTGTCCCTGCCCAAATCTCATGTCGAATTATCATCCCCGATGTTGGAGTTGGGGCCTGGTGGGAGGTGATTGGATCATGGGGATGGTTTATAATAGTTTAGCACCATCCTCCAGTGCTATTCTTGTGATGGAATGTTCACAAGATCTGGCTGTTTAAAAGTGTGTAGCACCTCCTCCCTCTCTCGACCTCCTGCTCCAGCCCCCTCTCTCGACCTGCTCAGCCGCGTGAAGTGCCTCGCCTCCCCTTTGCCTTCTGCCACGATTGGAAGCTCCCTGAGGCCTCTCCAGAAGCAGATGCTGCCATGCTTCCTGTACAGCCTGTGAACTGTGAGCCAATTAAACCTCTTATCTTCATAAATTACCCAGTCTTGACTGGGTGCAGTGGCTCACACCTGTAATCCTAGCACTTTGGAAGGCCGAGGTGGGTGGATCACTTGAGGCCAGGAGTTCAAGATCAGCCTGGCCAACATGGCCAAACCCCATCTCTACTGAAAATAGAAGAATTAGGTGGGCACAGTGGTACATGCCTGTAATCCCAGCTACTTGGGAGGCTGAGGCATGAGAATCGGTCGAACCTGGAGGTGGAGGTTGCAGGGAGCTGAGATTGTGTGACTGCACTCCAGCCTGGGCAGCAGAGTAAGACACCGTCTCAATAAAGAAATAAATTACCCAGTCTGAGGTATTTATTTACAGCAATGCGATAATGGACTAATATAGAAAATTGGTACTGAGGAGTGAGGCATTGCTATATAGATACCTGAAAATGTGGAAACAGCTTTGGAACTGGGTAACCCACAGAGGTTGGAAGAGTGTGGAGGGCTCAGAAGAAGACAGCAAGATGAGGAGAGTTTTGAACTTTCTAGAGACTTGTTAAATTGTTGTGACCAAATGCTCAGAGTGATATGGACAGTGAAGTCCAGGCTGAGGAGGTCTCAGATGGAGATGAGGAACTTATTGGGAACTGGAGCAAAGGTTACTTTTGTTATGTGCTAGCAAAGAGGTTGGCTGCACTATGTTCCTGCCATGGGGATCTGTGGAACTTTGAACTGGAGAATGATGATTTAGGCTATCTGGTGGAAATTTCCTGGGTTTTGTTTTGTTTTGTTTTGTTTGTTTTTTTGACATGGAGTCTTGCTCCAGGCTGGAATGCAGTGGCGCAATCTCAGCTCACTGCAACCTCTGCCTCCTGGGTTCAAGCAATTCTCCTGCCTCAGCCTCCCAAGTAGCTGGGGTTACAGGCATGTACCACCACACCCAGCTAATTTTTGTATTTTGGTAGAGATGGGGTTTTAGTGGAAACATAGTTTCACCATGTTGACCAAGCTGGTCTTGAACCCCTGACCTCAGGTGAGCCACCCGTTTTGGCCTCCCAAAGTGCTGGGATTACAGGCATGAGCCACTGTACACAACCAATCTGGTGGAAGTTTCTAAGCAGCAAAGTGTTCAAGGTGTAGCCTGGCTGCTTCTGACATTCGGTGCTCATATGTGTGAGCAAAGAAATGACCTCAAGCTGGAACTTATATTTAAAAGGGAAATAGAGTTTGGAAAATTTGCAGCCTGGCCATGTAGTAGAAAAGAAAAGCCCATTTTCAGGGGAGGAATTCAAGCAGGCTATAGAAATTTGTGTGACTAAAAGGAAGGCAAGTGCTAATAACCAAGACAATGGGGAGAAAGCCTCAGAGGCATTTCAGAGACCTTCATGTCAGACCCTCCCATCACTGGCATGAGGCCTGGGAGAACTGAATGGTGTCCTGGACCTGGCCCAGAGCCCCACTGCCCTGCACAGCCCCAGGATCTGCGTCCCTGTGTCCAGCCAGTCCAGCTCCAGCTGTGGCTCAAAGGGGCCAAGGCACAGCTCTGGTCACTGCTTCAGGGGGTGCAAACCATAGTAAGCCTTGGAAGCTTCTACGTAGTGGTAAGCCTGCAGGTACTCAGAGTGCAAGAGTTGTGGTTCAGGAGCCTCTGCCTGATTTCAGAGGATACGTGGAAAAGCCTGTATGTCCAGGCAGAGGCCTACTGCAGGGGTCAAGCCCTCATAGAGAACTTCTGCTAGGGGGAAATGTGGCATTGGAGCCCCCACGCAGAGTCTCCACTGGGACACTGTTTAGTGGAGCTGTGAGAAGAGGGCCACTGTCCTCCAGACCCTGGAGTGGTAGATCCACCGACAGCTTGCACCATGCACCTGGAAAAGCTGCAGGCACTCAGTGCTGGCTCTTGAAAATAGCTGTGGGGGCTGAACCCTGCAGAGCCATGGCGGCGGAGCTGGCTGAGGACTTGGGAGCCCTCCCCTTGCATCACTGTGCCCTGGATGTGAAATGTAGAGTCAAAGGAGATGATTTTGGAGCTTTAAGATTTAATGACTGCGTTGCTGTGTTTTGAACTTGCATAAGGCCTGTACCCCTTTCTTTTGGCTGATTTCTCCCTTTTGAAATGGGAGTATTTACCCAATACCTATGCCTCCATTGTATCTTGGAAGTCACTAACTTGTTTTGATTTTATGGGTTCATAGGTAGAAAGGACTTGCCTGGTCTCTTTTTTTTTTTTTAGACAGAGTTTCAGTCTTGTTGCCCAGGCTGGAGTGCAATGGTGCTATCTTGGCTCACCGCAACCTCTGCCTCCCAGGTTCAAGCGGTTCTCCTGCCTCAGCCTCCCTAGAAGCTGGGATTACAGGCATGCCCCACCACGCCTGGCTAATTTTTTGTTTGTTTGTTTGTTTTGTTTTTTGAGACAGAGTTTCACTCTTTTTGCCCAGGCTGGAGCGCAATGGCACTCTCTCAGCTCACCGCAACCCCCCGCCTCTCGGGTTTAAGCAATTCTGCCTCAGTCTGCTGAGTAGCTAGGATTACAGGCATGCACCACCACACCTGGCTAATTTTGTATTTTTAGTAGAGACAGGGTTTCCCCATGTTGTCCAGACTGGTCTCGAACTCCTGACCTCAGGCAATCCACCCGCCTCAGCCTCCCAAAGTGGTGGGAGGCATGAGCCACGACACCCGGCCATCCCTGCCGGTTACTAATGGCTGAGCACCATCCCCCGAGTCCTGTTCTTGTGGTAGGCTTCTCATGACATCTGGTCAGTTAAAAGTCTGTAGCATCTGCCCCGCTCTCTCTCGTCCTCCTGCTCGGCCGTGTGAAGTGCCTCCCTCCCACTTCACCTTCTGCCATGATTGGAAGCTTCCTGAGGCCTCCCCAGAAGCAGATGCTGCCATGCTTCCTCTACGGCCTGTGAACTGTGAACCAGTTAAACCTCTTTTCTTTATACATTGCCCAGTCTCAGGTATGTCTTTATAGCAGTGCGAGAATGGACTCATGTACCATCTCGCTGTCAGAACTGAGACATCCACTTTGGTGTGGTGTAACTGTCAACTCCAGACCTTATTTAGATTTCCTCAGTTTTCCCTGATGCTGTTTTCTGTTCCAAGATACTACATTCCATGAAGTCACTGATTTTGGAATGCAGAGGAGCGTGAGAAAGATGGAGAGCGTGGATAGAAGTGTCTGGAACACGTCCTCCAAGGTGGCTGGTGGTGGTAGAGGGGGCAGCTTTGATTTTGGACAGTGGGAAGGAAGCTGGCAACTCTGCTGGGGACAAAGGGTGCGTCACAGCCATCAGAGGTGCTGCTGGCTGTGGGGTTAGGGCCTCACCCCCAGGAGAGAACTAAGCAGGGCTGGGTGCTGTGGTAGGGCAGGGGCCCCTCAGGCCCTGGGCTGAATCAGCACAGGTGGTGAGGGAGCTGCTGTGGTCAAGCCAGCTGGGCAAATCAGCCTGCTCTTGGCCAAGGAAGAGAGCGCCGTGGAGCCTGGCCCAGTCCCTGTGCCCTTCATGTCAGCTCCGCAAGCACAGGCCGGAAGAGTCTCCCTATGGACCATGCTCCCAGGGCCAGGCTGGCTTGGGGAAAAGGTGACCTGGTGCCTGGGAGATTCACCTGAGGCTCTCCACTGTCTTGGTGCTGATAGAAAAGGCAGACGACCAATTAGTTATCTGAAGACAGTTCTCCGGTTGCGGGCCCCAGTCCAGGCCCCAGAGGGCCCCCTGTGGGAAGCAGTGCCTCAGTGCATGGCCAGGCAGTGTGGACATTGGCTTAGCTGGAAACATGAGCCCACCCAGGCCACCTGGCCTGTCACGCTCGGCAGCTTGGACGGGCCTCTGTGCTTTCTGTGAAGGCTGTGTTCAACCTTTTTTTACTTTTTGACCATTAGAAGGATTAAAAGCTGTCTGATATTTTAAATTGGTATTTCTCTGATGTAAACTGAGGTGGAAAACCTTTTCCCATGTTTCTAAGGCCTTTGTGTCTTCGCTTCTGGAAAATCTTTTTGGTGATTTTTGGAATCTTTTTGGTGAGGGTGAGGGTGTTTTTCTTTTGGGTTGTTTGATTCTTACTGACTCAGAGGGAATTTATAAACATAAACAAACATAAAAATACATATAATGTCCTGGACTTTAATCTGTTAGTCACATGTCTTCTCTGTTTGTGGTTTATCTTTGCATTTCTTTGTGACGTGTTGAAAATCAGAAGTTCTTGATTTTAACGGACATAGTTTTATAGTTTTCTTTACATTTTGCACCCTTAGTGTCTTGAATAAGAAATTCTTCTCTACACCAGATTGTGCTCAGTTGCCTCTAAATATTTTGTTGTGTTTACCTTTCACATTGAGACTTTCATCCAGCTGGAGGTGATTTTCTTGTGTGGTGTGTGCGGTGAGGTCCAGTTTCATTTTGCCACAGCGCCTGGCCTCGAAAAGCCCATTGTTTCCAGCGGGTGTGCGGTGCAGCCCTCCCTCCTGTCGTGAGGTCTGCGTGGATGCGGGCTCTGCTTCTGGCTCTCTGTTTGTTCATTGGTCAGTTTGTCCCTGAGCCAAACCATGCTCTGAATTATTTGAGCTTCATAATAATAAAGCAAGTTCTTTCACCTTGTTCTTTTTTAGAACGAATTTCAGCTATTCTTGACCATTATTCTCCCAGAAATACATTTTAGATTTTTCTTGTCAGGTTAAAAAAAAGTTGGAATTTTGATTGGGATTGTCTTGAATCTGTAGCTCGGTTTGGTGGAATGGGCATCTGTCCCCAGAGCAGTGAGCTGCCAGCCTGTGGGGATGGCATCTGTATTTCTTCAGTTAGACCCTCCCTTTTAATGTCTTTTTTTTTTTTTAAGAGACAGAGACAGGGTGTCACTGTGTCACCCAGGCTGGAGTGCAGTGTTGTGATGATAGGTCACTGCAGCCTCCAACTCCTGGGCTCACGTAATCCTCCTGCCTCAGCCTCTCAAGCAGCAGGGATTATAGGCACATGCTATGACACCTGGCTAATTTTGTTTTTTTTTAATCTTTTGTAGAAACAGGGTCTTGCTGTGTTGCCCAGGCTGATTTCGAACTCCTGGTCTCAAGCAATCCTCCCACCCTCCCGCCCTGGCCTCCTACCTTTAATGTGTTTTAATAAGGTTCTTTATTATCTTTTTTTTTTTTTTTCTTAAGACAAAGTTTCACTGTTGTTGCCCAGGCTGGACTACAATGGTGCAGTCTGGGCTCACTGCAGCCTCCACCTCCCAGGTTCAAGCAATTCTCCTGCCTCAATCTCCTGAGTAGCTGGGATTACAGGCATGTGCCACTATGCCCAGCTAATTTTGTATTTTTAGTAGAGACAGGGTTTCTCCATTTTGGTCAGGCTGGTCTCCAACCACCGACTTAAGGTGATCCGCCTGCCTTGGCTTCCCAAAGTGTTGGGATTACAGGCATGAGCCACTGTGCCCAGCCCTTGATTAGGTTTTGTTAGATTTATTCCTAATAGTTTTATTACTATAAATAGTATATTTAAAATTTGTATTATCTCACTGTTCATTGGCGTATAGAAATATAATTTTATATAGATTTTATCTCCAGCAACTTTGCTGAACTATATTAGTAATTAGTTTATAAATTCTCTTGCATTTTTCTGTATAAACAATTATGTCATTTGCAAATAATGACTTTTTTTCTTCTTTTGAGTCCAGACAAGTTTTCTTTCTTTTTCTTGTCTTCCTGCCTTGGATAGGACCCCAATACAATATTGACTGGTGATGATAGTGGGCTTCCAAACTTTCCCCTTGACATGTGATGCTTTCTGGGAGTTATCTTTTACGAAACCCTGTATTTCAGGCTGAGGAAGTTACCTTCAATCACTAATTTGCTAAATGTTTCTTTTTAAAAAACTGTTGAATTTTATTAAATACTTATTTCATATCTGTGAGGTGATCATATGATTCTTCTCTTTTAACCTGTTAATGTGCTAATTTTTGTTCATTGATTTTCTAATATTAAACCAACCTTGCATTCCTGAGATAAATCTAACTTGGTCCTTGATATATTAGTGTTTTTACACATTGCAAGACTCTCGTTTATAATTTGTGTAGGACTTTTTGCATTCTTTTCATGAGTGATATTGGCCTAAATGTTTTTTTCTCATATAGTCCTGGTCAGATTTGGTTTCAAGATTATTCTGGCCCCATAAGCTGAGTAGTGTTCTGTGTTTTTCTATACAGTGGACTTGTTCATGGAAGACTGGAATTGTACATCTGGAGTATTTGGTAGAACCACAAGTAAAGGCCAGGTGCGGTGGCTCACACCTGTAATCCCAGCACTTTGGGAGGCTGAGGTGGGTGGATCACAAGGTCAGGAGAACAAGACCATCCTGGCTAACAAGGTGAAACCCCATCTCTACTAAAAATACAAAAAAGTAGCCAGGCATGGTGGCGGGCACCTGTAGTCCCAGCTACTCGGGAGGCTGAGGCAGGAGAATGGTGTGAACCCAGGAGGCAGAGGTTGCAGTGAGCCGAGATCGTGCCACTGCACTCCAGCCTGGGCAACAGAGCAAGACTCTGTCTCAGAAAAAAAAAAAAAAAAGGAAAAAAAGAACTACAAGTAAAACCCTTTGGGTTGGAGCTTTGCTTTTTAACTGCTGATTCCAATTTCTTCATGGTTATAGAAATACTTGGATTTATTTTTCTTGTCAGTTTTTCTAGAATTTGTCAATTCACTGGTGTTTTCAAACATACTGGCATGACGTTTGTTACCACAGCGTGCGGTGTCTTTCATCATCTGCAGCATCTTTAGTTACACGCTTAGCGTTCCCAACATTGTTTACATCTTCCTTCTCTTTATTTCCTGATTAACCCTATTGGATAAATTGATTACTGTTTTAAAAGAACCAACTTTTAACTCTCTTGGTTTTAATTCCTATTTTGTTTTTCTTTCCCTCTGCTTTGAGTTCATTTGCTGTTCTCCCCCTAACTTTTAAGCTAGGTCTTCTGTTGTGATATAAGCATTTAAGGCTATGTATTTTCCTTTAAGCCCTGTTTTCGCTGTTCCACAGATGGTGATACATTTCCAGATCTTTGGAGAGTTTTCTGGGGGTTTTGTTTGGCTGGTTTGGGTTTTTCATTAGTGAACATGAGATGAAGGTCTCAGGCCTTTGAAATTTAAGATTCATTTCATGTCCAGTGTGTTTCCTTGTATATTTTCTTCCATCATTTTACTTTCTTCATCGCTCCTAAGTAATTTCAAAAAGTTCTTTTTTTTTTTTTTTTTTTTTTTGAGACAGGGTCTCACTCTGTTGCCCAGGCTGGAGTGCAGTGGTGCAATCTTGGCTCACTGCAACCTCCACCACCCAGGTTCAAGCGATTCTTCTGCCTCAGCCTCCCAAGTAGCTTGGATTACAGGTGCGTGCCACCACACCCAGCTAATTTTTGTGTTTTTAGTAGAGACGGTTTAGGAGAGACCGTTTCACCATGTTGGTCAGGCCTGCTCTCGAATTCCTGACCTCAAGTGATCCACCCGCTTTTGCTCCCAAAGTGCTGGAATTACCGGCGTGAGCCACTGTGCAGGGCCTCAGAAAGTTCTCTTTGATCCTCGGGATTTGGTTGTGTTCTGCAGGAGGGTTCTCATCGGCGCTGTCCAGTACAGACATGGATGAGTCATTTGTGAATTTCAGCTTTTCTAGTAGCCACCTTTAAAAGGTTAAAAAAGATTATACACCAAAGCAGATGGAATCATGTTTTATTTAACCCATCCTATCAAAAATTTCAACATGTCATCAAGGAAAAAGAAATGTGCATTTTACATTATTTTGCTCCTACTAAGTCTGAGTCCTGGCACATGGTTTACACCAACACCCACACCTCAGCTCACACTGGCTGTGTGGCAGGTGCCCTCTGGACATCTCAGCCGGGCACTCTGCATCCAGTGTTGCCCACCAGCCGTTGCTGGGGCTGTGGGTGCATCTGATAAAATGCACCCGCAGCCTTGGCAATGCCTGCAGTCCTGCCCCTTTGTGAACAGTGGACCTGCACACCCCCACGCCCGTCCCAGTACCGCGTGGGATGCCTGTGCTGGTGGCAGGGCTTTCCTTGTCAGGCACAGCCACTGCCCCTGCCCCCCCCCCCCCCCGGAGGCCTTGCCCCCGCCCCCCCACCCCCCCCGGCCCCTGAAGCCTGCTCTGCTGCAGGACCGGGCATCTCTCCAGCCGCAGGCCCCTGAGGAGCCCCTGGTCTCTGGGCCCCAAAGCACTGCGAGGCGCTGTGTAGAGGGACTCAGACTCCGTGTCGCAGGAATGAATGAGTGAGTGAGGGTGCAAGCACTGGCCTGAGCCTGGCTTCCACCTGGGGGTATGGCGGGGGCCACACCACAGGATCCAGGGAAGGTATGGGGTACAGTGTAGGGCCCGGTTCTGAGCAGGTGCTCACGGCCAGCCCCAGGTACAGGAGCAGTACCTGGGATCCCAGATTCTTAGGTCAGGTGCCTGGCAAGGGACTGTGTGGCTGGGAGGATGTGGGTTCAAGGCTGTGGCACCCCACGAGCTGGAAGCACTCCGGCCACTCTAGTGCCGTGACAGATTTGAGCTCCACTCTTGGAGCTTGTCACAGTTCACATTGGGGACGCCTGTCGCTTAGTCCCATGAAGAGCAGTTTGGGTGCCCCATGCAGTGGGCTCTGCAGGGTGAGGGGGAGGGCATACCCTCCCTGAAAGGCCTTGGGCACGAGGCAGGCAGGCAGCTGGGCTGCAGAGCAGAGCCCGGGAGGGGTGGGCAGAGGAAGGGCAGGCTGGGCGCCCTGCACCACAGGCCAGGCTGGGCCGCTGGGGCCTTGGGCAGCCTCTTTGTGTTTCCCTGTGGGCCTGGTAGGAGAGCTGGGGCCATGTTGCTGCCCAGAGCACCTGCTGGCTGGCACACCCCCTGCCCTGTGGGTATAATTAGCACTGTGACAGGTGCTAGGGATCGCGTGCCCAGCCCAGCCCAGCCCTGACCCAGTGCAGCCTGGCCTTGGCTGACCTGCCCCACCCTCTCCCGGCCCAGCCTAAGACCCCCAGGTCTCTAGCCACACCCACCTTCCCGGGCTCCCTCTGTGCTGCCAGGATGGGCTGGCTGGGGTCTGGCAGAGGCAGCGGGTGGGCAGAGCCCTGAGCCATGGCCTGGCTGCAGGCTCTGGGAGTCCCCACGCTGGCCCAGCCCCGCCCTGCTCTCAGTCTGTGCCCAGGGCCTACAGTTGGCTGAGGGCCTCTTGTGGGTGGGTGAGGGCCCAGGTGGAACCTCTCTGGACTGGTGGCCTCAGCCTTCCAAGAGGAAGCCTTTGGCCCCAAGACTTGGACGGAGCCTATGGGGCCCCGTGGGTACTCGGGGGGCCTGGCCTGGCTCTCCTTGCCTTCCCCGTGCAGCGCCACAGCCTCCAGCCGGCCCACCCACCTGCACCCCTTCTCTCTGCAGTGCAAGAAGAAACACACGCTGCTGTGCCCCGACTTTGCCCGCAGGGGGGCGTGTCCCCGCGGCGCCCAGTGCCAGCTGCTCCACCGTACCCAGAAACGCCACAGTCGGCGGGCAGCCACGTCCCCCGCCCCAGGGCCCAGCGACGCAACCGCCAGGAGCAGGGTCTCGGCCAGCCACGGGCCCAGGTGATGGGGCAGTGGGCACTGTGCATGTGAGCCTGGGTGGCCCCCTCCCTGTCTGGGGAGATGCCCGGGGCCCTCTGGTTGAGCTCCCGCCAACTCCAGCTCTTTGGGCCTCAGACCAGAAAGAAATCCCTATCCAAGGCTGGGGATCACATGACCTCCAGAGATGCCCCTACCCCACTTCCAAGTCTGGACAGAGCCAAGGGCATCCCTGGCCAATGGAGGAAGGTGGGGCCTCACAGAGACCTGCTCACTGGGACCGGGTGGGAGGCCCAGCCCCGGGAGGAGTCTGGGGGCCCCCTCATCCAGCCCACCTGCCATGTGGGTGTGGAGCCCCATGGAGACCAGGAAGCCAAGGCCCTGGATGTGAGGGGCAGGCTCGGTGTGGAGCTGGGGCCATCCCTGCACCCAGCCTGTCCTTGCGGCCAAGGGCCAGGCCTGACCTGTGCCTCCAGCTCTGCCCTGAGACCACGGAGGGCCACGGGAGCAGGAAGCAGCCAAGAGCATGGGCAGTCTGTCGCTGGGATCCCCACCCGTCACCCCACCTCACACGTCTGCCCCTTCCTTCCCTGCAGGAAGCCTTCAGCATCCCAGCGCCCCACCAGGCAGACGCCCAGCTCGGCTGCCCTCACTGCGGCTGCCGTGGCTGCACCTCCCCACTGCCCAGGGGGGTCAGCCTCTCCCTCATCCTCGAAGGCTTCCTCCTCCTCCTCCTCCTCCTCATCCCCTCCCGCTTCCTTGGACCACGAGGCACCATCTCTCCAGGAGGCTGCCTTAGCAGCAGCGTGCTCCAACAGGCTCTGCAAGCTGCCTTCCTTCATCTCCCTGCAGTCCTCGCCGAGCCCAGGAGCCCAGCCCAGGGTCCGGGCCCCTAGGGCCCCCCTCACCAAGGACTCAGGTAGGCAGCACGGCCTGGCTCGGGCCCCCAGGGCCCCCCTCACCAAGGATTCAGGTAGGCAGCACGGCCTGGCTCAGGCCCCCAGGGCCCCCCCCTCAGCAAGGACTCAGGTAGGCAGCATGGCCTGGCTCGGGCCCCCAGGGCCTCCCTCACCAAGGACTCAGGTAGGCAGCATGGCCTGGCTCAGGCCCCCAGGGCCCCCCTCACCAAGGGCTCAGGTAGGCAGCATGGCCGGGCTCGGGCACAGGGGAGCTTTAAATGCCCCCTCAGACCACCACGTCAGAATCTCCAGGTGGGGCCTGGGTGAGTCCCACGGGCGCCAGGGGTGCACCTGCCAGCCCTGGGGCAGGGCCAGCCAAGGTGCGAGTGTAGCGGTGGCCGCTGCGCAGTCTGCCCCAGCTGAGGGCTGATTTAATTAGAAAGCACCCATTTCTGTTAATTTGTTCTGGAAGATCACCACGCACTCCTGGAGAGAACAGATGTTCCCTCTCCCCCGATGAGCATTTGGGGCTTGGTAAATGGCTCCACTCAGCCTTGTTTAGGAGAGAAAAGAGGATTTTATGGCTGCAAACGACCCTTTCTGTAAACATTTTACAGCTCTCCGCGCGTTTGAGTGACGATAAACCCCACGCAGCTCGGCGGGCTGCAAATTTGCGACCATACGGCTATCATTTTATTGTCATATTTCACGGTCGTAACGTTAATGGAAGATGCTTGCTGCAGCCTTCTGCAACAGCTCCGCTGAGCACACTCAAATGCCTGCCTCGGAGGGGCCGCCTCCTGTTCACAGCCTCCACGTCAGGGGCGTGGAGCCGTGGCCAGACCCTCCGCCCCACGAGACCTGGGCACCCGCTCCCTCCATCTGGGTGGGCCTCTCTGGGGTCGGGGAGCAGATGGGGCCCCGAGGCAGCGACTTGTATTTTTTTTTTTTTTTAAGATCAGGAACCTAGCAGCCAGTTCCAGAGCCAGTGGAGGTGGGCAGGGTGCTGAGGGGTCCTGTGTGCACCTTGGGCGGGGCCTGGGAAAGGCTGCAGAAACCTCCCCTGCTTGGCCATGGCCAGGAGCTCGGGCAGGTGGAGGTGCCTGGGACAGTCTCTGGGCAGGAAGCTGGAGCTGCTGCTGGAGCGGCCACCGCAGGGGCAGGCTGACGGGTCAGAGCCTGTGTAGTCTGTAGCCTGGGCCCTGGCTGCTGGGCCCGACTCAGCTGTGCATGGGTGAGCGGGCTCATCGGCCCTGAAGAGGGGCACCTGGGCAGGCCCAGTCCTGTGGGCAGCTACACGGAGACATCTCTATTCAGCGGGCCACTGTGGTGCCTGTCGGGTGGTCTGGAGGGGAGATCTGGGGAGGGAGGAGAGGCGCTGGCACCCAGTGAGTGAACATTCATGGGGCAGGAGCCCCTGGGCTTCCCCGCTGTGGGGAACTGCTCCCTCCACACTGCCTGCCTCCAGGCCCTGCCCGCCTCACCCTGGGGCCTCTGCTCTGCTCCTGCCCCTCCCCGCCACAGCTTGTGTGCACCCCGGCTTTCCACATGGAAGCTGCATCGTGGCCGCCTCGTGTGTCTGGCAGCCTCACTGAACGTGCAGGGCAGTCTGGTGCTGTGTGCACCAGTACTGATGGCCCACCCTGCAGACCTTGTGGCCGGGACTGCCGCCCGCCCAGGAGGACCCCTGGACTGTAGGCAGAAGCCTCAGTTGACCTCATAGACTGAGCCTGCACCATGGCTAGACAGCCACAGAGGCTCACCAGGACCTGTTGGCAGCAGGGGGCAGAAGCTGAAGCCTGTGGCCTGTCTGTGCTCTTCTCCCTCGAACTCAGGAGGGTATCTCTGCAGACCTTGCTGTGTGTGCTTGGGCTGACAGAGCCCCCCGATCCTGAGCCCGATCAGGAGCTTTGCAGGCTGGGGAGGTTCTTCCAGGGGTTTCCGGGCACCTAACTTTTGCCCTCTTTGCATAGGGAAGCCTCTGCACATCAAACCACGTCTGTGAGGACCCCAGGGACCGGCCTGCACCTACCTCAGACCCTCATCCTTGGAGAGGAAAGAGGCTCTGTCCACCACTCTACCCCACAGGAGGGCCGCCCGCCACCAAGCCTCACCTGGGGGCCACAGGGACACTGCTCTGCCTGCCTGGCCCTCAACCTTCCATGACCAGCGTGTGCGCAGGGCCTGGTCTTCCTCCCCCAAGCCAGGCCCCTGTCCCCACCCCACCACCTTCCAGGGTGCCAGGCAGGGCTGGCCTCCAGGCCTGTCCCCGACTGCCATTGGCAACAGTGGCCCTGCAGCCCCCAGCCCTCCCCACCCAGGTTTTCGGCCCAGTGAAGAGGCCACTGGCCAGGCCTCCCAGGCAGGTGTTTTATGTTCAGCAATAAAGGTTCTATCCGTAACTGGTTGGCTTGTCCTGACTGTTGCCATGCCACCGCCAGGCGGAAAGCACCGCCCCTCTGGGCAGGAGTATGGGGCCCCTTTCCTACCTCCCACGATGGTTCAGAAGTCAGAAGGCGCTTCTCCCTGGACCTGAGCAGCACCATCTGGGGTGGGGAAGGCCTAGGGGGCACTCTGGGGACCCGGATGCAACAGGCTAGAGCCATGGTGGGTGGGGCAGCTCGGCCAGCTCCCGGTTCCCCTGCCCTGCACGGGTGCCCGTGCTGGAGGGGCCTGACCAGGAGGCCTGGCTGAGGTTGTGCCACAGACCCTGGATTGGGAGAGGCAAGGCCTGGAGGGGCAAGGCTCCTCTCCTCACCTCCAAAGAAATGGGGGGTGGCCCCTGGGCGAGGCAGGCCAGCAACACCTTCAGGGGCCCCACGGCACAGCCTGGAGTCAGATGCACGAGCCTTGTGCCCTCTGCCTGCCTGGGCTCTGGGTGGGTGGCACTGCCACTGCCCACCCCACACCCCGCGGGGCCCCTTGGCCTGGTCCACACTCGGGCGGGGAGAATGCTCCGCCCCCTTGAGGTCGCGGCCTCCACCCTGAAGTGGGGTGTCCTGACGTTGGCATCAGAGGGGACGAGGCGTGAGGCTCGTGCGACGGTTCCACCAGAGCGAGTGCTGGGTGACACGGCAGCAGTTTCCGGTTCTCTCCACAGTGCTCGTCGCTGTGGCCTCTACCCTGGGGCCCTGGGACCCAGCCTGTGGCCTTGGCCCTGCTGGGATTCCAGCCGGATCGGGTGGGATGGCGGATTCTGGAAGCCAGAGCTGTGGGTGGGGTGTGCCCAGCTGGCTTCTGTCCCCTCCAACACTGGCTCAGCTCACCCAGACCCAAGTGTTCACAGGGGCTTGTGTCCTTGTTCGGGACCCCAGATTTGAGGGTGGGCACCGGCTGGGCATGAGGCGGCCAGATCCTCTAACTTCACTTTGTGCCACCGGGAAGCGTCTGCCGCAGGCCCGGTGCGCAGCTGGACCCACCCATGGGTGCCACTTCCTTTGGCCACCCTGCGGCTGGCACATAGCCCCTGAAACGTGAAACGTCCGTGGGGGCTGGGGAATAGGCTCCCCATCCACCCAGCGCCTGTCTGGGACCGTGAGCGCTGCCATCTGACACACGGCACAGCCACTCGGAGGCCCAGGGCACTGCTCTTGGGCAAGGGGGTGTGATGGCAGTTCAGGGCCAGGTCCACTGTCCCCAAATGCAGCCCCCCCCAGGAGTGGCCAGCAGGAAGACTCAGAAAAGGCTGGCCACTGCCTTCAGGGGGCCACCATGGTGTCCCAATCCCCCACCTGGGGACCTTGTGCAGCCTGGGCTCTGCTTGGTCTCAAGTCCTTGCGTTTCCCCTGCATGGAGTGTGCCCATTTGGTCACACGAGGCCCCTCATGCCAAGGGGCAGCTGGCAGCAGACCAGTGACTGCCAGGGCACCTGGCCAAGGGACCTGGGAGGCTGGGACTAGCAGAGTCCCTGCCCCTGTATTGACCATGGCCCCAGCTGAGGACAGCCTGGTGGAATGTCCCCTGCTGGGGTGGTCGGAACAGGGAAGGAGAAGGCTTCCTGAGGAGAGGAGGGCGTAACCCTGCACCCAAGCCTGTGCGTGCAGCAGAGTGGTGTGTGCTGGGGCAGCCGGATGGAAACCCTGAAGCGGAAGCACACAGCACCCTGGGGGGTCCTCAGAGCCCTGGCGGGGCACGGCCGGGTCCCAGGCAGGTGATGCACCCCCCCAGCGCCAAGCAGATGGGTCTTAGCGCTGTTGTCTCTTATAAGGGAGATGTGATGGCCGCAGAGGTGGGAGCCGTGGGCAGAGTCCAGGGCCACTGCGGGAGGTGGATGGGCGAGCAGGGGTGCAGCAGTGACTTCAGAGTGTGGTTCTGTGCCCTGTGTGCCTGGAGGGGTGCCGGCTGGGCAGTCGGATGCTGGCCTGGATGCCCCTGGGGGCTGGGAGGTGACCGAAGGGAGAGTGTCTGGGGGTCCGCCGGGAGCGCCAGCACCTTCCTGGGCTAGGCCTGTGCCCATCCTGCCTCTGGGCTGAGGGCGTTGACCCCGCCTCACTTAGCGCCCAGCAGCACGGGAGCTCCGGGAGGGCAGGGAGCTTGGGCGTGCAGTGGCTGAGCGAGTGCCCTGACTGGCGCCTGGCATACAGCAGGCGCACCATCCGTGCTTGAGTAGGGGCACAAGGAAGGGGCGGAGCAGCGACAGGCTGAGGAGGGACTCTCAGGAGGCCCTGGGCAGAGCAGCGACAGGCTGAGGAGGGACTCTCAGGAGGCCCTGGGCTTGTTTTTTGGTTGTCGTTTTTAAATGCAAATGAGCCCCTGAGTGGAGGAGGGGCGCCCGGGCAGCAGGAGCAGGGTGGGGGTGGAGGCAGCCCCAGCAGCCCCCTAGCCCAGAAGATGCAGAGCCTCTGTCTGCGGGACGGAGAAGGTTCTGTCTCCTGTGATCAGCTCCGCACAGCAAACGCGGGCACTGGGGGTGTGGGGGTTCTCCCACCTAAATACATGCCCCAAAAATGACACTCCAGACCCCACGCGAGGCTCTACGCAGTTCCGAGCACTTACTCTTGGGGCAGCAGGGTGAGGTTCAGGAGGTCCACGCATGGCCTGGCAGGGTTAGCTCAGCCCTCCTGCGCAGCTGTGCTCTGGCAGGGGTGGAGGAGCCGTGCCAGGAGGGTCCCCTCAGGCCCCTCCCTGCAGTAAAATGCATGAGCTCAGGGCCCCAGCAGACAGCAGACTGCGTGGGGTCCCATGGTGGACAGCAGAGGGAGCTGTGGGGTTCAGCTGGTGAGCACCCCAACCTCCCTGTCCCTCCTCGTACCAGGTTTCCCTCCACCCAGAGCCCTCTGGGGGCCCACGATGACTTCCTGGGCCCTACACCAGCCCCCATGGGCTCTGATCTTGACCCAGCCACCCTGGGCCCTTCCAGGCCCCTCCCAGGCAGTGGCTCTGGGCTCCCTGCTCCCCGGCCTGAAGGGCTTGCCCCTCCATCTGCTCAGGTGTCTGTGAGGCCCCCCAACCCCACCAACCCAGAACTCCCCACCTAGCCAAGCTTCCGCCTTCTCACAAACGAGTGTGGGGGACAGGCCCTGAGGTAGCCTCATGACGCACCCCCCTGCCCAGCGTTCCCACCCTTGGGTGACCCCTTTCCTCCGACAGACTCCTGGAGGGTGGCCAGATGCCGCAGCTGTGATCACGGCACCTTACGCCCCGCTGAGAGCCTCTCCCTGCTGGCCCGAGGCGTCAGGGCCTGTGCTGGGGCTGCACCTGGTGAGGAGCTCAGGGTGGCCTCCAGCCTCCAGCCAGCAAGAAGCCGGTCCTCAGTTGTACAGATTTAAGGAAATAATTCTGCCAACAGCCTGACGATGCCTGGTGGCACAGCCCTTCTCGTCCCACGTTGAAACTGTAGCCCGGCCACCTCCTAGACTGCACCCTGGACGGGGGCTCCTGCTAAGCCCTGCCTGGACACCTGGCTCACAGAAGCCACAAGACCATAAATGTGTGTTAAGTTACTAAACGTGTGGTAATTGGTGAGACAGCAATAGAAGGCAAATCCACTATCATTTTACTCATTATTATTATTTGAGACAGAATCACTCTGTTGGCCAGGCTGAAGTGCACTGGCGTGATCTCGGCTCACTGCAACCTCCGCCTCCCGGGTTCAAGCGATTCTCCTGCCTCAGCCTCCCAAGTAGCTGGGACCACAGGTGTGCACCACCACGCCCGGCTAATTTTTGTATTTTTTAAGTAGAGACGGGCTCTTGCCAGGTTGGCCAGGCTGGTCTCAAAATCCTGACCTTGTGATCTGCCCACCTCGGCCTCCCAAAGTGCTGGGATTACAGGCATGAGCCACTGTGTCCGGCCTCATTTTACTTACTATTTTTATGGCTGATTTTCTGTTCTCTGAGGCCCACTCGGCAGACTGTATTTTCCAAAAACACTACAACAGTGCATCTCAGCCCACAGGCCCCTTCCTCACATGACCTACACAGGCAGTGTCCGTACCCCTGCCCAGGGGGGTGGCCGACCTCTACACACGAGGACCACCAGCATGGTGCAGTGTTCTGAGGCACATGCACCCCTCCACCTTCCTCGGATGCACACACTGGGAACCAGCAGCCATGCTGTGAGGAAGCCCAACCAGCTGCAGGGAGCAGCCCTGTGGAGGTGTCACAAGCAGCTGTTTTGGCCGACAGCTCTCACCATCTGCCAGGCCTGGGTGTGAAGACCCTGCCCAGTGGCACCATCCATCAGCTGTCCCGTTACCCCAACCCCCAAGTCCTCCCAGCTGTCAGGACCAGAGGCAAGCTGTGCCCCTATTCCCAGGACACATCTCCCCCTTACAGAGCCCATGGATGAAATAATACTTGTGCCATCAAGCTCCAGGGGGCTTCTCAACAAGGGACCCTGGCCACCTCCCTGATGGGATGTGCCCCCTAGGCAGGCTGGCTGACGTACTCTAGGTGCTCAAGAGAAGCCTGTTGGGTGCATTGAGTTACCCAGCCACACAGACTGCCCCTGCAGAATTCTGTGAGGACCAAATGCTGAAAGTTTGGAGGGTGTGAGAAGCCCTTGGGTTGGGAGGCTGGCGGGAAGGGAAAGCGCTTCTGGGAGCCCAGGGAACAGCGGAGCACAGGCGAATTCTAGGGAGCCATCCTGGCTTGGTGGTGACAGCACCAAGCCTCAAGGAGGGCTTGGCAGGCTTGGGGCGGATGGGTTGGGGTCAATCTTTGAGGCCACCCCAGCCTCCACCACCTTCTCCCACCTCTCAGAGCAAGATGAGGCACTTAGGCTTCCTGTGGGTGGTGGCGGGATGGGGGTGCCACTGAGTCCAAGCATGGCTGTGGGGTCAGCGTCCCTCAGCCTGAGGTCACAGCTGTGGCCCCGGGGAAGGTTCCCACTGCAACAGCCTGGGGTCAGGCGTCTCCTTCATTCCCACGGGTGTGCTGGAGTCCTCCTGGGCTGGTGACCAAACACCCTCTCCTGGTCTCCTTGGCCTGGCAGGAGCCACAGTGCGATGGGCGGGAGGGGGGGACAGTGGGGACACAGCCCGGTGCAAACACTCTCTCTTTCCTCCTCAACCCCCTTTCCAGTGTGCCCCAGGGCCTCCAGGGTGTGGTACCCAGAAATGCTGCTAGACCCTTGGAGGGGCCGTGGGAGGGCCCTGTAGCCCCAAGGCCTCTCCTGGGGCTGCAGGTGCAGACAACCTGGACTACCACCAGCTCCACTGCGCGGCGGCATCCTCCCTTCCCGGGCCTCCCTCTCAACACGGGGTGCCATAAAGGAAACCCCACACCCCTGGCTGGCTGACCACTCGTGTGGTCTCAAGTCCAGGTACCCAGTGTGGGGACTTGGCTCTGCTGCATGCCCACTTCATTTCTTCATCTGTAGAAGGGTGGGGAGCTCAGAGCCCCCTCTGGGACAGGATCGGGGGAGAGGGGTCCCTGCAGGTGGGTCCTCATGCTGTCCTTGGCCCTCCCTTGCGGGGAGGAAGGCCTGGTCTTCCCAAATCAGCAGTCCCAGCTCTGCCCAGAGGAGTGGGAGGGCCCAGGGAAGGGCCAGGGACACCCCGAGACACCTTAGGAAGCAGATGTTCAGTCCTCACTTCATGACAGTCTTCTTGTTACAAAACAATAGATCTTTGTAGAGGGAAGGAGGTGAGAGCCTGGTACTAAATCTGCGGCGCCGTGACCAGGCCTCCCTGTGGCCTCTGCGCAACTCCTTCCAGGCTTTTTTTCTCTACACAGGTGGTTACATTTTAGACTTTTTTTTTTTTTTTTTAAATTGCTGAAGTCATAGAACAGCAATGGAGAGAATTTCGAGAAGAAACAATAGGCCCACTTCGGGTCACCGGCCTTGTAACTCCTGGCGCAACCCTCCCATCACCCGGCTCGCTGGTGTCGGGGACCTGGGGTCACAGGCCCACCGCCCATCGTCACCTCCTTTGCCCCGTGAACCGGAGCCGTCTCCTCCCAGCAGGTGCACGGCCGCCAGGTGGAAATCCCCGCCTTCCCGTCTCAGTTACCCCCCGTCCCACTCCAGGCCCAGCAAGGCGCCTCCAGCCCTGCGGGGGGCGAAAGTGGGCAGTGGTGGCCGCTTGGGCGGGGATTCCTAACGCCCTGAGGGGCTGCCAGCCCGTGGGCCCCGCCCCCGCCGCTCGCACCCACCCGCGTTGTCCCGCGACCCCCACAGTCCTGCGCTCTCCGCGGCCCCCCACAAGCCGGCCCTCCGTCCCCGGCCCCTCGCGCCGCCCCGCACGCGTGTGTCCCCCTCCGCCCGCCCCGTGCTTCCCGGTGCCCGGAGGTGCCGGCAACTTTGTTGACCAAATTCCTGAACGCGTCTGAGCCGCGGGCTAAAAATAACCGGCTCAGCGCGCCGCGCTCTGCCGGGCCGCGCGGTGTCACCCGTGTCCAGAGGCCCGGAGGTCCCGCTGCCGCCGCCGCCGCCGCTAGCGGAGCTGCCCCCGGCCCCCAGGCCCGGCCGCAAACCCAGGGGGCCGAGGGGGCGTCCCGCCGCGTGGCCCGAGGCGGACGAGGCCCCGAGGGGGTCCCCGGGCGCGGTCCCCGTCTGCTTCCCCGGACTCTCCGGCCGCCGGGTGTGGGAGCTGAGGCCCCTGGAGACGGCAGTTGTCCCCTGAGGCGGCGCGCCCTCTGCCCGTGCAGTGCCCCGTGATGGCCACCAGAGGGCCCTGCCCTCTCCTCTAGCCGGCGGCCCGTCCCTACCTCTTCCCACAGCTGTTTCCCGCAGGAGATTGACAGCTGGGCTCTGAGTTGCCATGGGGATAAGCAAATGAGGGCGGCGGGGCTGGGGCTCCGATTGGCCCGGGGGCGCGCGCCCCTCCCGGGGAGGCGGGCCCAGGCACCCGGCTCTATAAAGGGGCGCGCGCGGCTTCGCGTTTAGCCGTGGGAGGCGGGGCCGGCCGGCGGCGCGGGTGGGGCGCGGGAGCGGTCCCGGAGCAGCCCGAGGCGGCGGCCGCGGGGAGGAGGCGGCGACGCGGGCCCGGGGTCGCCCGAGACACCTGGCCAGCGGTGCCCCTAGCGCGCCGCCCCGGAGTTGACCACGTGAAACTTTTCCCTGCGCCCCTCGGCGCCGCCGCCCCGCGCCGGCGCCCCCCCGCCCCCGCCGGGACCGCCGCCCGCGGGGAGCAGGGGGGGGAGAGGCCTGCAGCTCCCCCCCCACTCCCACGCCGCCCGTCGGGGCGCGGCCGGGCGCGGGCCCCGGGCGATGGCCGCGGAGCTGGCGATGGGCGCCGAGCTGCCCAGCAGCCCGCTGGCCATCGAGTACGTCAACGACTTCGACCTGATGAAGTTCGAGGTGAAGAAGGAGCCTCCCGAGGCCGAGCGCTTCTGCCACCGCCTGCCGCCAGGCTCGCTGTCCTCGACGCCGCTCAGCACGCCCTGCTCCTCCGTGCCCTCCTCGCCCAGCTTCTGCGCGCCCAGCCCGGGCACCGGCGGCGGCGGCGGCGCGGGGGGCGGCGGCGGCTCGTCTCAGGCCGGGGGCGCCCCCGGGCCGCCGAGCGGGGGCCCCGGCGCCGTCGGGGGCACCTCGGGGAAGCCGGCGCTGGAGGATCTGTACTGGATGAGCGGCTACCAGCATCACCTCAACCCCGAGGCGCTCAACCTGACGCCCGAGGACGCGGTGGAGGCGCTCATCGGCAGCGGCCACCACGGCGCGCACCACGGCGCGCACCACCCGGCGGCCGCCGCAGCCTACGAGGCTTTCCGCGGCCCGGGCTTCGCGGGCGGCGGCGGAGCGGACGACATGGGCGCCGGCCACCACCACGGCGCGCACCACGCCGCCCACCATCACCACGCCGCCCACCACCACCACCACCACCACCACCACCATGGCGGCGCGGGACACGGCGGTGGCGCGGGCCACCACGTGCGCCTGGAGGAGCGCTTCTCCGACGACCAGCTGGTGTCCATGTCGGTGCGCGAGCTGAACCGGCAGCTCCGCGGCTTCAGCAAGGAGGAGGTCATCCGGCTCAAGCAGAAGCGGCGCACGCTCAAGAACCGCGGCTACGCGCAGTCCTGCCGCTTCAAGCGGGTGCAGCAGCGGCACATTCTGGAGAGCGAGAAGTGCCAACTCCAGAGCCAGGTGGAGCAGCTGAAGCTGGAGGTGGGGCGCCTGGCCAAAGAGCGGGACCTGTACAAGGAGAAATACGAGAAGCTGGCGGGCCGGGGCGGCCCCGGGAGCGCGGGCGGGGCCGGTTTCCCGCGGGAGCCTTCGCCGCCGCAGGCCGGTCCCGGCGGGGCCAAGGGCACGGCCGACTTCTTCCTGTAGGCGCCGGACCCCGAGCCCGCGCCGCCGTCGCCGGGGACAAGTTCGCGCAGGCCTCTCGGGGCCTCGGCTCGGACTCCGCGGTACAGGACGTGGACACCAGGCCCGGCCCGGCCGTGCTGGCCCCGGTGCCAAGTCTGCGGGCGCGGGGCTGGAGGCCCCTTCGCTCCCGGTCCCCGTTCGCGCGCGTCGGCCCGGGTCGCCGTCCTGAGGTTGAGCGGAGAACGGTGATTTCTAAGGAAACTTGAGCCAGGTCTAACTTCTTTCCAAGCGTCCGCTTGTACATACGTTGAACGTGGTTCTCCGTTCCCACCTTCGCCCTGCCAGCCTAGAGGGACCGCGCTGCCGTCCCTTCCCGGGTGGCCCCTGCCTGCCCCCGCCCTCCTTCGTTCTCTTCTCAGCCTCCCTTTCCTTGCCTTTTTTAACTTCCCCTCCCCGTTTTAAAATCGGTCTTATTTTCGAAGTATTTATAATTATTATGCTTGGTGATTAGAAAAGAAAACCTTGGAGGAAGCCCCTTCTTTCCCCAGCCGGGGTCCGCCCTCAGTCGCGAGTCACAGCATGAGTCGCTCGCCAGGAGGGGCCCGGCCCCTGCCTGCCCCCTCCCCGCTTGCCCCCGACCCTGCTACCGGCGTTCCTTGGAGGTCGAAGCCAGGGACGTCACCCGTGCTGTGTCCAGGCCTGCTGTCCTACTATGCTCAACCGGGGGTGGGGGGAGGGGGGTGAGTCCTGTGCTCAGTCGGGTGGGGGCTGGCCCGGATCCCGAGCTGCTGTCTCTCTATGCACCAGAACATATCTGTAACTCCTGGGGAAATACATCTTGTTTTAACCTTCAAGAGAAGTGAAAGAAAAAAGTAATGCACAGTATTTCTAGCAGAAAATTTTTTTTTTTAAGAGGAGGCTTGGGCCAGAGCCTTCTGGCATGGGGCGGGTGGAGAAAGTGTTTTTATTTTAATTTAAATTGTGTTTCGTTTTGTTTGTGGAATCTTTCTTTAATGCTTCGTCGCTCTTTGGACTAGCCGGGAGAGAGGGCGAGGAGGCGGGTGCTCCAGGCCCTGTAGGCTGGGCCAGGCGCCTGGGGGATCTGCCCGTTTTCGGAGGCCCTCAGGGGCCATCAGTGGGATTCCAGCCGCTCCACACCCCTCCCCTGAGCACTCGGAGTGGAAGGCGCGCCGACTCGTTGAAAGTTTTGTTGTGTAGTTGGTTTTCGTTGAGTTCTTTTTTCATTTGCTACGAAACTGAGAAAAAGAAAAAAATACACAAAATAAATCTGTTCAGATCCAAGTCACCGCAGCCTGGCTGGTTGGTCGGTGGCTTTCAGTTTTGCCGTGTTTCTCCCTGAATTGAAGGAAGAGGAGGGCCCTGCATTGGGCTTTGTGCTGGCCCTGGGTGACGGACGGGCCCTGGGTGACGGCAGGACCAGGGAGAAACTGAGCAGCGAGGCAGCGTTAGCCGGCCTGCACCCCGCAGACCTGTGCCCTCTGCGTCTGCCCTCGGCAAAGAAGGCCGAGGGGCTTTTGGGGAGAGTCACTGAGGCAGGCTGGGGGTGCAGGGCAGGAGGTGTCCTTGGTGGGACACACCGCTGCATCCTGGTGGCCAGAACTGTCCCCAGCCCTCGGAGTCTGCCCGTCTCCCACCTGAAGGCGCAGCCTACCCTTGCTCCTCTGAACGGCTGGCTGGGCATGGACTGGGAGCACAGGGGAGGAGGCAGTACCCCAGAAATCTCAGTTCACAGGGCCCAGGGCGGCTGCAGGACACGTCGTTGATGGTTCCCTCCCTTCACTGCCGGAAGAGAGGCAGGCGAGGGTCCGTGGTTTGCAAATTTGGAGAGAGGGCTTCTGGCCTGCAAGGGCTTCCAAACTCGCCTTTCTTGGGAGGGGGCTGTGCTGCTTTTCCATCGGGGGTAAGCGGAGGTTCTTTCTGGGGACGGGACGGAATCCTCTGTGAGTGAGTCTCCTGAGTTTGTTTTATCGTTTCAAGCGGAGAGACCTGGAGGAAGAGAGGAAGGCGAGTCCTCCGTCAGTCCCTGCCGCCTCCCCCTTTGCTTTTGGGTCTCTGCGGGAGTTCAAGCAGAATCCCAGCAGGGGAGCTGGCCGTGAAGGCATCTCTGTGGAGGAGAATGCTGGTGGGAATTACAGAAATGTGGGGCGGAAGATGGAGTTGAAAAGACTACGCCGGCAGGGACAGGCGGGTTCCAGGCAGCCACGGGTGGCTCAGCCGCCCGGCCCGGGCCTTCGCTTACACAGGCCATCTCTCCCCAAGGAGGGGCGGGGAGCCTTGGGCACATTCTTGGACGGGAATCTGCTGGCTCGTTTTTCATAGTCCGAAGTTGTAAAGAGCAGAGGACATGGGACACCTTAGTTTTCACCATCGCCGCCCCCAGGAGCCCTTTGCACAGAGCCTTTCCCTGGCCGAGAAAGTACAGGACCCAGCGACTTCTGGCAGCCTGGATCAGAGGCGGCCTTTTTGGGGTGGGAGCGGCGGGCAGGGAGCTGTGTCACCCTCCCTGCTCCCTACCCCCACCCCAGGCGTCTGGGAGCCCTGCACTCAGGGGCCAGAACTGGGCTTCCTGGTGCACGGGGCCTGCGGGCGCTGCTGGAGGCTTGCTGGGTTTGGGACTCAGAGGAACCCCACTGCGGCACGTGCCGGGGCTGCCACCGGATCCAGCTTTCTCCGCAGCATGGCCGGGCCCGAGCTGTGGGACCTTAGCAGCTGCTGCTGCTGGAGTCAGTTCACTTTCCTGTTTTCTGTTTTCTCTCCCCTTTCTCTTTCTCTCTTTCGTCTGTCCCCCTGCTTTCCGCCACACACAAGGTGGAGCAGGCAGGTGAGCACCGGGACGCGGGGACCCCTGCGGGCAGGGGACTTCTTATTCCTGTGTTCCGAGACAGAGCTTTATTGAAAACCATTTTGGGGGCTCCGTGAGCCCCCGCGGGAAGATGGCCATGTGTGGAAAGCACCTTTGGCTTCAGTTGCACCCGTGCCCACCCACACAGCACAGGCCTGGACCAGCGGCACACACCTGACCCAGACTCTGTACAGCTGGCAGGGCTGGCTGGAGGCCTCAGTTTGCCCCGAGGGAGTCCCTGGGACCAGTGTGACCCTTCAGGAGGGGCTGCTGCAGCCAGACCTGGCTGGAGCCGGCAGCGGGGGAGGGTGGGCAGCTCTGGGGTTCCTGGCTGAGGGAGGTTGTGTGGCCAGCAAGGAATCGGAGAATTAGATCCCTCAGCTCCTCCTCACTGGGCCTGGAGCCCTGGAGGGCAGCAGAGCTGGAGTGCCAACGGCAGTCGTGAGCATGTGTGTCCCTTGTGTGCAAGGCAGCACCAAGGTGCTTGGGGCTGAGGGGAGCTGGAGGGCCCCTGGAAGGGGCGACCACAGCATCCGCCGCTCAGCTCCTGGGACCCTAGCCCCTGACCCATCCTGGAAGAGCAGCTGACCTCACCCCCACCCCCACCTGGATGTCCCCAGAGGTCAGTGATGGTGCCTGGCCTGGGTGCCCCCTGCCCCCGCCACCGTCACCCAGAACCAGAGCAGGCAGGCAGGGACTCCTGGCACTTCGAAGGTGCCATCCTCTGCCTTCCTGGAGGAGGCTGCCTGGGCCCAGAGGGCAGAGCTTGTCTCCCACACACGCTGGCAACCACCCTACCCACCCTACTGCCCACTGGGGGCCCACAGCAGGGACCCAGGTGACAGCCCTGGCCCAAGAGCTCCGGAGGGAGACACCAACTGGAGTGTCCTGCATGTGACACTCGGCCCCCGCGTGAGCCCTGGGAGAGGGGAGGCTGGGGCCTGAGGCTGCCTTGAACAGGGTGCAGCGTGAGGACCTAGTGTTCCTGGGGCAGCTCAGATATGTGGCCCCAGGAGTTGTGTCCCATCTCCCACCAATGGGAGCTGTGTCTTCCCAGACAGCAGGGAGAGGCTGAAGGGGCCGGGGTTAAGGCCCTGGGCCTGGGTGGACACCCATGGCACACACTGGACACACGAGCAGGAGCACTGGCTGCACTCCCCCCACACTCGCCTGTGCCCGACAGCCCACCTGGACCCCACGCACACACACGTCTGTGCCCGCAGCCCACCTGGACCCCACGCACACACACGTCTGTGCCCGACAGCCCACCTGGACCCCCCCACGCGCACACTCGCCCGTGCCCGACAGCCCATCTGTACCCCCCACACACACGCTCGCCTGGGCCCGACAGCCCACCTGGATGGTCACTGGTCTCCTGCCTTAAGCCCCCGTCAGCCACGCACAGGGCTTGGGCTGGGGGTGCTCACAGGAGAAGGCCAGGGCCTTCCCTCCTTCCTCTGCCATTCCCAGGCGCTGGGCCAAGTGTGGCCCTGTTTCCTCCCCCCACTGCCCCCCAGTACGTCACAGTGGTGGCTGTCGGCAGGGCCCCCCCAGCCTCCTATAGAGCCGGCTCTGAGATGAGGGCCAGGACAAAGCGGAAGTGTCCTCTGCCCCAGCCCCAGCACAAGGGTGGGTACGCTGTGGCACGTGCACACATGCACGGGCACACACACATACACACAGCCCAGAATGTGGGAGCAGACTCTACCCACCCGGGGACACAACAGCAGACACACTTGTGGCCCTGCGTACACACACGCGTGCACCTGGCTGGCACACATGAGGGTGGAGTTACACCCAGACACATGCATGTGGACCCACCGGCCCTATACGCAAACCAACCCCATGGTTTTGTCTGGGCCGGTCCTCCATGCTGAGTCCCGCCTGGCCACAGTGGGCTCTGACATGGGCCTCTCCAGTGAAGTGCGGTCCTCAGCCACTGTCTGCTCGGTTCAGCCCAGCCCACCCTGTCCGGGAGGAGGGGTCCTGGCCCTGCCCTGCCCTGGCTGCCTTGGCCTCTCCTTGCCACCTCTCTCCCAGCCCTGGTCCTTGGAGCCACCGTGAGGGGCCCAGATGCCCTCCAGGATGGAAGCCTCATCCTCCACTGCCAGGTGCTGAAGGCTCCCTAGGGTCACGCCCTCTTCCAGGGATGGATGTGGGGTGCAAGACCCAGCCACCCTCTGGTTGGAACCATCACTAACCAGCCCAGCCAATCGTGGGGGGCTGAAGGCTCCAATTGCTCAGCAGGGACTTGGCTCAGCCCTGGAGGGCCCTGAAGGGGCCTGTCCGACAGATAGGCCTGTGCAGGTCACAGCGTCACCAAGGGTCCTGGCCCAGGGCCAGTGCTGTGACCTGCCACTGGGTATGGTTGGGAGCCTGGGGACCCAACACCCCTACCTTGGGCCTGGAGGAAGGGCAAAGCCATCCCTGGCCCAGGGCCTGGGGACGTGGAACAGGGCGGGTGTCAGGAAGAGCCTGGCCTTCTCCCCAGGGGGCCTTGGTCTCCCCACCTGCCAGCCACTCTGGAAAGCAGATACTCCGGGGCTCTGAGTCAGACACAGAGGTGATGGGCTGACATTTGCAGGACAGGAAAGGGCCACCAGCCCTGTGGGGTCCATGCTTTCCCTTGCCCAGCCCCGACTCCTCCCCGCTGCCCTCATGGCTGAAGCAGCCATACCTCTGCCGTCCCTGGGCCTGGGTGCCTGCTCAGCAGTTCCTGGCCACGGAGTCCAGCCGAGGGCTGGGGAGGCCCAGCAAGGGTGCGGGGCAGGGCCTGAGTGCCCCCGCTGTCCCAGATTCAAGCCCAGCCTGGCCCCACCCTCACAGGGGCCCACCTCCCTAAGGCTGAGGGTCCTGGCAGGTTGTCGGGGGCAGCAAAGGCTGAGACCAGGGCGAGGGCCCAGATGGTCCCGGAGAGCGTGGATGGGACGGACCTGGGGGAGACCTTTCCTGATAGGAGCTGGGAGGCGCGTGGAAAGTCGGGGCGTGAGGTGGATGCAGGTTCTGTGTTCGACCTTGATGGTGTAATCCCTGAGGGTGCACGGGGAGGGGCAGCACGGGGTGGACTTTGGGGGTGCAGCATGTGGGTCAGCAGGGAGAGCCCGAGGCTGTGGGCTGAGCCGGGGAGGGTGGAGGCCTGCGGGGTCTTGGCTGAGCCTGGCTCCTAGGGGGTCTCGAGGTGGGGGCAGGCAGCTCAGACAGGAGTACCCTCCAGGGTCCCTGAGAGGAGGCATTTGGATCCCCGGGCTCCCAGGGAGAGGGTGGCGGCCGAGGGACCCTGAATTAGGGAGTCTGGGGTGGCAGGGGAGACTGGCGGGGCAGGGCCAGCCAGGGCCCGGGAAGTGGGACCGGTGCTCAGAGGACTCGGAAGTTGTGGGGGAGGAGGCAGGGCCTGGGAGAGGGTCTGAGGCGGGAGGCTGGCCCAGGAGGAGGGGAAACCGCTTCCTCACCTGGGAGGCGGAGGAGGTGGGGGATGGGGGAAGGGAGTGTACCCCGAATCAGGAGGTGGCAGGAAGGTGGGAGTGGCTTGGAGCCCACACCCTCGACCCCCACACACAGTCGGCAGTCCGCATGGGGAGCAGTGACAGAGGAATTTGCGGCTGGCGGGCTCAGCGCCTGCCTAATTTGCAGTGACACCGCTCAGCTGCCCAGGGCTCCAGCTGTCACAGCCAATTAGCCCGCGGCCGGGGAGGAGCGCCGGGCAGGGGGGCGGGGGGGCATGAAGGGGTCGGCGGGGGAGGCTGTGGGGGTTGCAGGAGGGGTAGGCGCAGGAGGAGGCCTGTGGCCTTCAGGTCCGGCCCGCCCCCCCAGGCACCCCAACCTGGCTGTGGAGAGCAGCAAGGTGGGGTGCCCCCCAACAGCAGCCCACCAGGCCTGAAGCCCCTCAGCCGCAGCCCTTGCTGCCCCTTTCAACCCTGGCATTCCCCTGAGCCTTGCCACCTCTTCCATGCCGGCCTCTGGGACTCCAGTGCCCTTGACCCCTGGCACCCGAGTTAGGTGTCCTGAGGGCAGCTGGGATCAGTTCCAGCCTGGAGGATAATTCCTCTCCACATTCAGGCCACCGCCTTCCCAGACAGAGCCACCTTGGCCCCTGACTTGCGTCTGTGGCCCAGCCCCTCCCTCCCATGTGGCGGGCTCCGCCCTGGGGCCTCCCCGACTCCACTGCACCTCCCGGCACCCACTCAGCGTGGTCTAGCTCGCAGGGGATGGCCCCTTTGCCTCCCTCCCACCCAGTCCTCAGAGGCTGACACAGGGAGGTATCTGGAACATGCCAGGCGCCAGCCCCATGGGCCTTGATCGCCTCCCCGGAGCAGCCTGGGAGCAGCAGTGAGCGTGCAGGCAGGGTGCTGGGCACAGAAGAGTCCCAGGCTGCTGGCGGGGCCCCGCGGGACTCTAGGGGACTCTGGCTTCTCTAGGAAGGAGGGTCCCGGAGTCCCTTCTCCTGCAGCACCCTTGCTCCCGTCTCCTGGCTGGGACCCAGGTGTCTGGTCACCTCCCCCAGAGGGGTGGGTCTCAGGGACAAGCCATGTCCTCCGGGAAGCCACATGCCCTGGGTGGCCCCTCTCCAGCCGCCGCCTCTGCCCAGCTCTTGGTACAGATGCCCCAGGGGAGCTGATGCCCTGGGGGAGGGGCGTAGCCCACGGCTCCTCTGCGACAAGGGAGTTTCAAACACAGGGGCCCTGGCTGGGCCCACCCCACCCATCCCCAGCTTCTCCCTGCAGCCTCTGGTCTCCTCTCTTCAACCCCAAGGCTGCCCCTCCGCACAGAAGCCGCCCATGGCTGTCCCGGCCCTCCAGCCCACCCTCCTGAGGGATCTGCCCGCCTCCCACCCCCGGCCTCAGCACTCCTGGTGTGCTCCTCCTCACGGGAAGCCCTCTGCCGACCCCACAGCCCCCTTCGTCCCGGAGCACGGAGCACGGAGCACGGCTCGCCTGTCTCAGAAGCGTTAGGCCCCGCAGGCGCCTGGCCCGGCCTCGGCTCCAGCTCCACCCTCTCTACTGGGGCCCTGCCGTTGCCCCTGCTCCCCCGGCCGGGCGGGGGTCTCCTGCCCATTTGCTGCAGTGCTGGGGAGGGGCTGTGCTTTGCCGAGCGGGGCACTGGCGGTGCAGCAGAGGCGTCAAGAGGCGGCACCTGTAGACACGCAGTCGCGGTGTGTGAGACGCGCGGGCTGGGGCGCGGCAGGACGCAGGGCAGCGGTGCTGGGACCATTACCCCAGCGTGGTGGCGCGGGCGCCGCAATCCCGGGCGGCACGAGGCTCAGGTATGGGAAGAGAGACGGGAAGATGAATTGCAGACTAAGCCAGAGGGTGGCCAGGAAATCGGGAGAGGAAAAGGGCGGGGAGGGAGGGGGAAGAGCCCGCCGGGCCTCCAGGAGGCCTCGCCTGCCCGTAGGTGGCTGGGCCTGTGTGTATAAAGTCGGGGCTGGAGCGGCTGCAGGGGAGCAGCCGTGAAATGGGGGCAGGGAGGGCGGCGAGGAACTGGGGACAGATCCTGGGGCCACTGTGGGGGCAGCAGGGGCCCCTGCTTCTGTGTAGAGAGGATCGTGGGGGCACAGGCGGGAGCTGCCACAGTCCAGGGAGGTCGCTGGCCCGGCCCCTCACCCTTCTGTTCCTGCTGGCGGTTCCCTGCAGAGATGGTTCCTCACCCACCGTCTCTGCCCTCTGGGTCCTGGGCGTATCGCATGGGGGACGGGACACTCTGTCCGCCTTGTGCCCTGCCTGGGCCCGCTGCCCTATGGAAGAGCAGGAGGCCGGCACGGGTGCCTCCGAAGGGCAGCCTCGCAGCACATCTGAGGGTGCTTGGTGCACCGCCCTGGCACCACCATACCTGAGAGCTCAGGAGGTGCGGGTGGTGCGGAGGGCTCGCGCGGGGGTGGCTCTGCGAGTCTGGGAGGAAGGCTCTGGTCTCCTCCTCACCTTGTCCACGCGTCTTCTCTGGAGCAGGGTGGGGGCTGCCATCGCCTTGGAGGCGGGTCAGGCGGTGGGGCGTGGGTGGAGACGGGGCCTTGGACCTCGTCACTGGCCTTGGTTAGGTCAGGTGGGCACCTCCCCAGCCCCCCGGCCCAGTCACCAGGCCACCCCCGCCATGGTGGCAGAGGGGCTGGACTGGAGTCGGCCTGACCTCTGCCCTTCCCCAGCTGGAGGTAGAGCGGGGGCCGTCTCTCAGGGCTCAATCACCTCATCTGTAAGAAGACGCTCCTCCCATCGGCCATCCACACAGGGGCCTCATGAGCAGTAAAGAGAGGGACCCGTTCAGCAAGCCCTTCGTCAATCTGAGAAGGCTTCTTGGAAGAGGGGGCTCTGTTCCGAGGGGAGGGCGTGGAGTGGGATGTGCCTCTCCAGGTGCACCGGGGCGGGATTTACAGGGGTGCCCCCAATCCAAGACCGGAGATGTCTTGGCCACGTCTGTGGGGCTTGCAGAGGGGCCTGGGGGAACAGAGCTTGGCTCCTGGCAGGAGGGGAGCAGGGAAGGAGCAGGCATGGGAGGGGCACCCAGAGCTGCCATCCATGGGGGGTCCCCAGCTCAGCCCAGCTCAGCTCCCAGAAGGCTTTCCTCCCCCTACTCAGCCGCAGTGCGCTGCCCATCACTGCAGTCCCCACTCCTCCTTTTCAAACCCCTCATCCGCTGGGTCTGTCCCCTCACCCTCCCTTCCACAGCCCTTCCCAGAAGGTAAAACCCAGCCCTGCCCAGACCTGTGTACTAGGGACAGAACAGCCCCAACTCCTCCCACTTTCTGCTGAATTTGGGGAGCTGACTTAAGCTGAGTTCAGAAACTCTGGGGCCCTGGACAGGGCGCTTAGGGCCACGTTGAGGTTACGATCAGGAAGGTATGACGTTCAGCATTCTCCAAAAGAGAATTATTTCTGCAGGAATTCATGTGACAAGCCCAGACACACTCCTGGCTCCCGCTGTCTAGCACTCTTTAGCCATTAAATCTTACCCACCCACATACACGTAAATAACATTTAAAACGCACTATATAATAATGAATACAAAATATGTTGTCTAATCATTCTTACCTGGAAAGACCTTTATGGAAAATTCCAGGGCCAGGCTGAGCTGCTGCCCACACCCACAGGCTAGCAGAATCCAAGAGGGACAGTGTGGGGGCGGGAGGGCCACACGGACCCCTTCCTTCCCCCAGACCTCCTTTCTTGGTGACAGGGAGAAGGAGCAAGGTGAGGAGGCTTCTCCACCGTGAGTCTCAGACGGAGAGCTGTGCCCTCATTCACCTTTGGAACCTCTGACCTGAGGCACCTTGAGACGCAATAATATTAATACCTTAACTGCAAGACTCCGCGACTCACAGAGAGATGTAAGTGCAGGTAACAGAGAGCTGAAGGAACAATGACTCCAACAAATTCAATGGAAATTTAATTTCTATGTTGTAAAAGTCCAGAAGCTGATGGCCCAGGGTGGCCGTGGTGACTGCTTCACAGAACGCTCTGGATTGAGGCTCTTTTCATCTTGGCCTGTACTCCCAGGGTCTCCTGGCCCACAATGTCAGCTTCCACTCCAACCATCACATCTGCATTTGAAGATGAAGAAAGGTGAAAGAGGTAAAAACAAAAGGAGCATATGAGGTGATGGGTGGATGAACGGACAGACAGCTGGACGTGTGACAAGAAAGATGAGGAAGACAGCAGGATGGGTAGGAACGGGAGGATAGTGGCTGGATGGAAGGATATATGGATGGTTGATGGTGGGTGAATAAATGGTGTGTAGATGGGTGAACAGGTGGGTGAGTGGATACGTGGATGGTCAGTTGGGTGGATGGATGGGTGGATGGGTGGATGGATGGATGGGATGGTGGGGGAATGGGGAGATGGGCAGATGAGTGGGTGGATGATGGGTGGGTGGATGGATGGAAGGGTGCGTGGGTGAGTGGGTAGATGGGTGAGTGGTTGGGTAGGTGAGTGGGTAGATGGATGGATGGGAGGATGAGGCATGGGGGAATGGGGGATGGGTGGGAGTGGGTGAGTGGGAGGAGGGTGAATGAATGGATGGGCGGGTAAGTTGGTGAGTGGGTGGGTGAGTAGGGGGTATGGGGGTGAGTGGGAAGATGAGTGGGTGGGTGGGGGGGTATGGGGAAGAGTGGATGAGTGAGTGGATGGGTGGGTAGGGGGTTAGAGAGTCAGTGGATGAGTGGGTGGGTGGGTGGGGGTTGGAGGGTGGGAGGATGAGTGGGTGGGTGGCTGGGTAGGGGGTTGGAGGGTGTGTGGGAGGATGAGTGGGTGGGTGGGGGGTAGGGGGCTGAAGGGTGGGTGGGAGGATGGGTGAGTGTGTGGGTAGGGGGTTGGAGGGTGGGAGGATGAGTGGGTGGGTGGGTAGGGGGTTGGCAGGTGGGTGGGAGGATGGGTGGGTGGGGGGTTGGGGGTGAGTTGGTGGGTGGATGGGTGGGTAGGGGGATGGGGTTGCCTGGGTGGGTGGTTTAGGAAGCTGTGGAATGACTCCAAACGTGGAGTGAGGGAGCTCAGTTTGTACCACCGAACCTTTGCTCATCTCTCCCCTGGGCCCTCTTCCCTCTTCTCTCCAGAGCCCTCCTCAAATCTCACACCTCCATTTTCAAGAAGCTGGCCTCACCCATGCAGCCTCTGTAGCTCTCCTTCCCCTCCAAGCTTGTTTCTCTCGGCGCTGCCACCGTCGGATTCCTGTGCTGGTTCTTGCTGGTTTTCTTCACCTCCTGACCACCAGAACACTGGCGCCGGGAGGGCAGGGTCCGTGTGTTTCCACGGTTGATTTCCTAGAGGCTGCAGCAGCGCCTGGCACCGAGGAGGTGCTCCATCAATATTTGTTGAAAAGAAAGAAAAGGAAAGCAGGATGGAGATGGACTGACCCTGCCCAGCACCCCTGTCCAGCCCCTGCCCAGCACCCCTGTCCAGCCCCTGCCCAGCACCCCTGTCCAGCCCCTGCCCAGCACCCCTGTCCAGCCCCTGCCCAGACCCCTGCCCAGCCTCCCCTGTCTATTTTCCAGACAGCAGCCAGAGGCGTCTTTGCAGACACCACTGTCCTGCAGCAACCCTCTAAACCCTTCGCCGGCTCCACAGTTTGATCCAGGTCAGTCTGAGTTGCTCAGTCAGTCCTGAGACCTGCCCTCTCTTGTCCCTGTTCTCACTGCCCCCTGAGGCTTCCAGTCTTCCTTTAGGATCTGGGCCAAAATGGCCTCCTCCAAGAAGACCCCAGGCTGTTCTGTGAGCTGGTTTCCCCCTGTGTCCAGGAATGCCCCCACTCCCACAGTAGTGAAGTCTACTTTCCACCTGCTACCATCAGAGTTGAGCCCAGTTCTGGGCCTGGCACACAGGTGGGGCACTCCACAGGGTCTGACAACCCCTCCCACTGACCTGGTCTCTCCTCTGTGCCCACCAGGGACTCTATACTTGGGCCTAGGACTCTCATTCTGCAAGTCCCGCCTGGGCCCTTGCGGCCTCCATGGCATCCAGGGCCTCTTGTGGCCCATAGCAGGTGTGGGCTCTGCTCTTCAGCCTTCTGCAGCCTCCTGGGATGCTGTTCTGTTAGCAGCTCTTCTGGGGCAGGTCACTTTGGCATCAGCCACATCCACTTTTGTTTTTTTGAAGTGATATATGCACATCTGTCTTTTATAAATCAAATGTAGTAAGACGTAAAACAAAACTCAGCAGTCTCCTGCCCATGCCCTGAGTCCCCCACTCAGCAAGATAACTGCTTTCAACTCTGTTTCTTCCAGGAACCTCCTGATATGTTTCGGCTGTGTCCCCACCCTAATTCATCTTGAATTGCAGCTCCCATAATCCCCATGTGTCATGGGAGGGACCCAGTGGGAGGTAATTGAATCATGGGGGTGAGTTTTTCCTGTGCTGTTCTCGTGATAGTGAATAAGTCTCTCAAGATCTGATGGTTTTATAAAAGGCGGTTCTCCTGCACACGCTCTCTTGCCTGCCACCATGTAAGACGCGCCTTTGCTCCTCCTTCACTTTCCGCCATGATTATGAGGCCTCCCCAGCCATGTGGAACTGTGAGTCCATTAAACCTCTTTTTCTTTATAAATTACCCAGTCTTGGTAATTTATTACAGTGCGAGAACAGACTAGTACACCTCCAAATCTCTAAATAAAATGTTTATATTACTATTTCTTGATTTATTAATTTTAGGCATTGTTTAGGATTTCACTCCATTACACATTTGCTCTTCCCCGCCCCACATCCTCCCTATATACTATGTGAACATTTTTAGTTTAGGCCGGGTGCAGCAGCTCATGCCTGTAATCCCAGCACTTTGGGAGGCCAAGGCAAGCAGATTGCTGGAGCCCAGGAGTTTAAGACTAGCCTGGGCCATGTGATGAAACCCCATTTCTACCAAAACTACAAAAAATTAGCTGGGCATGGTGGCATGCACCTGTAGTCCCAGCTACAAATGAGGCTGAGGTGGGAGGATTGCCTGAGCCTGGGAGGTCTAGGATGCAGTGAGCTGTGATCACACCACTGCACTCCAGCCTGGGTGACAGAGTGAGACCTTGTCTCCAAAAAACAACAACAACAACAAAAAAGGCTGAGGCGGGCAGATCACGAGGTCAGGAGATCGAGACCATCCTGGCTAAAATGGTGAAACCCCGTCTCTACTAAAAATACAAAAAATTAGCCGGGCGTGGTGGCTTGCGCCTGTAGTCCCAGCTACTCAGGAGGCTGAGGCAGGAGAATGGCGTGAACCCAGGAGGTGGAGCTTGCAGTGAGCTGAGATCACACCACTGCACTCCAGCCTGGGCGACAGAGTGAGACTCCGTCTCAACAACAAAACAACAACAACAACAAAACCCCACAATACTTTTAGCTTAAAAATATTCCATATTTAAATTATCATGACTACATAAGAATTGTTCTTGCCTGAACAACGTTATATACTATAATTAAATGCTCTTTCCTGAGCAACTTCTTTGTTTTTCCTGGAGTTAAAAATTGCCTCCTGGTTTTCCTTTGTTTGGTTTTCTATGTGTCAACAACAAATTCTTCCTAAATGCTCTAATCATTTTAGAAATCTCTCGTGACATGGCTTCCACACAGAAACTTGCATTGTGTAATCTAGGAAGGCCATTTTCCCTGGATACCTTTCAGCAGGAGCCAACCAGTTTCCTGCCACAGCTGGACTGGCTGCTCTCCAGGCCTGCTGGCCCCTCCTGCCTCACCTGTGTTGGCACCCCCTTCTCTTTCTTGGTTGACTTCTCCTTGTAGGGGAGCATCCTTCAGATACTTCTTCAGAAGAGATGCATGGGAGATAAGTGTTTTGAGATTTAACAAATCTAACAGTGTCATTAGTATTTCCTCACACTAGACAGATAGTTTGGCTGGGTATAGAATTTGCTGTTGGGAGTCTCTTTTCCTCAGCATCTGTAAGGTACTCTGTCTTTGAGCTTCTGTGTGGTTACTGGAAGTCCAGTTCCATCTTTACTACTAATCCTTGGTATGTGTGGAGGCTAAAGTAACATACCATGGAAGCTAATCCACCATGCTGACTTCTGACTAACACTGGTTCCAGGAATGCCTCTGAGATTTTCAGTTTATCTGTTGTTTCTTGCATAAGAGCATATACTGTAAGTCCTGCCTTTAGATCAAATTCCTCCCCATTCCCTCTGAAGCACATGTACCCTTTCCCTATGGTATATAACCTCTGGGTCTGGGGAATTATGGTGTGGAGATCTATATGTCTTGTGGCTGTCCAAGACCACTCTTCTGTTCATAAGATCCCCCATAAAACACACTTTAACAACAAGCTGAATTTGTCTGCCTCCTCCTTTGGTTTCTCAGCTCCTTCTGCATTTGGGGGTTGCTTTGCCTTTTTATGAGACAGTATGTGGCTGGGCATGATGGCTCAGGCCTGTATTCCCAGCTCTTTTGGAGGCCCAGGTGGGAGTATCACTTGGGTCCGGGAGTTTGAGACCAACCTGCTGCAGCCTGGGCAACATAGTGAGACCCCCATCCATACAAAAAAAATTAAAAAATTAACTGGGCATGGTGGTGCTTGCTTGTAGTCCCAGCTACCCAGGAGGCTGAGGTTGGAGGATCGCTTGAGCCCAGGAGTTAGAGGCTGCAGTGAGCTATGATGACACCACTGCACTGCAGCCTGGGCAACACAGCAAGACCCTGACTCAAAAAAAAAAAAAAGAATTCCCTTTATCCTTAAAAAAAAAAGAGAGAGAGAGACATATGTGACTATTTTTTCCCCCTCTGGAAGTTTTTTGGGGCACTCCTTGGCACCAGTGGTCTACAATTCCACAGTGATGCACACGTGTCACTTGCATTGTGCTGGACTTGGGTGAGCCTTGCTGTCTGGCCTGTGCCTTGTCATTCTGGGCGCTGGTCTCAGTTTAGTTCTTTGATCATTGATCCCCCACCTTTTTCTCTCCTTTCTCTTTCTGACTCCTTTTGGAACTTGGACCTCCTGGATCAATTCTGCATTTTTCTGATATTTCCTTCCTGCCTTCTATTTTTTTTTTTTTTTTTTTTTAGATAGGATCTCACTCTATCACCTAGGCTAGAGTGCAGTGGTGCGATCTGGACTCACTGCAACCTCTGCCTCCCGGGTTCAAGTGATCCTCCCACCTCAGCCTCCCGAGTACAAGCATGCCCCACCATGCCCAGCTAATTTTTGTATTTTTAGTAGAGTCAGGGTTTCACCATGTTGCCCAGGCTGGTCTCAAACTCCTGAGCTCAGGGGATCTGCCTGCCTTGGCCTCCCAAAGTGCTGGGATTACAGGCGTGAGCCACCGCGCCTGGCCGTCTCTCTTTTTGTTGTTTTGTGTTTTAATCCTGTCAGTGAATACATGTTTCCATTGAGCTTTCTCTTGTTCTCTGATTGCATGAGTGTTACCACTCTCGCTCTCTCACTCTAACTTCATCCTGTTCTTGTTCACTTTTATTATTGGGATAAGAAGTGTGGCCTCTGAGGCCAACCTGCCTGGCAGAATCCTGGCTCTGTCACTCCTAGCTGTTGACTTTGGGGAGGTGGATGTGACATTCTGTGCCTCACTTCTCTCATAATACTGGCACTGACCTACTGGGTTTATCATGAGTATTAAATCAGCTGGCACATCCAAGGGTCGCGGCTGGGCTTAACTCACTGGGAGCCAGTCTCTGGGTGCTGCTGCCGTTGTTACCGTTTTCTCTGGACTCCATGGGTCTCCCTGGCTCTGTTGCTGGTTGACCTGCTCCACACTGGAGGCTCTTCTCACCTGCCTGCTGGTGCTCAGCTGATCATGAGTGAGGCCTGGCATTCTGGTGACCTGGCGGAGGGTGGTGGAGGGTGGCAGAGGGTGGCAGTGGTCTTGTCGGCAGATGGGCCTTTCTGTAGAGGACCAGGCAATGGGGAATCTATCATTTTGAGAGGCTGGTCTTTTTCCTCTGGCCATTGAGTTTTTCAAGGAAGGCTCCTCTGCTCTCCTGCCTGGGGACTATGGGCTGCTGGTGTCATTGCTAAGAGAAGGAGGGGCAGGCGGCTGAGCTTGGTTTGTGATGGCCACTCAATCCCCTATCTTCAGTGAGAGCCTCATACCCACCCTCCAGTGAGCCTGGTCCCAGGCCCAGTTTCCCCAGGGTCCCCTGTGGCTGGGAGAGGCCACAGCGAGGGGCCTAATGGCTCTGACGGATGCCCACCCGGGCCCAGCTGAACGTCTGGCTCACCATCTGCTCCACTCTGCCAAGATAGGCACCCCAGCCATGGAGCACTTTGCCACCTCTTCCCTCACTGGTGGCTGCTGCTCCACTCCCGTTCTCTCTTTCCTGCAAACGGCACCTCCCTCTTCCTCTTCGGTCATTTTGGTGATGTTTGGGAGAGACCTGTGCTCCAGAGGCCACGTCTAGTGGAGCCTGGTTCCCAGGATTTAAAGGGCCACAAGCTCAGGACAGGCTGAACCAAGACCCCTCCTACTCCAGGGCCTTCCCTTGGAGGGTTCACGGTGGGGGTGGGGGCGCAGCAGAGGCTACCTCAAGGGAGGCCCGAGCCACCCAAGCTGGACTAAAGCCAGGTTTGGGAGGCGACAGCGGAGCCCCCGACAGTGGGCAGAGGCAGGTCCGACTCCACCCATGGCACCCGCTCTTCCTGCACTGCTGTTTCCAGGGTCATGCCTTGGCTCCCAGCCTGCCGGGTCCTTCGTGGCTCCATGCAGTGGGCAGGGAGGTGAGGTCAGTGAACAGGGGCCACTGCCTCTCCACCCCTTGTCCCCATTAAGGGGACAATGAGAGAATAAGCACTTTTCTTTCTTCATTTCCCCCGCTGTCTGCTAATATCATATTGATGATAATTTCTCTTTAATGGGCTATTTGCAGTAATTATGATACACTGAGAGAGTAATTGTATCTGACTCCTAGCGCCCATCGTGGTTGGGGGGGGCACATGGCCTTCCACCCTCTCAGCTAGGGCAGCTCTGCCCTTTTTTCTTTGCCTAGGACCAACTGCCTGCCCAAGGACCCCTGGTGCCAGGGTCCTGCTGGACTTTGCCATCCAGGAAACGCAGCCTTCAGAGGCCAAGACTCCAGGCTCTCAGCCTCCTAGAGCTGATGGCGCCTCTTTCCCAGGCTGGGGGACCCCAAGAGGCACCCCATCGGAGCTAGTAAAAGCTGTATACCTCAGGACAGAGCACTCCCTCCCTGCTCCTGCGGGGCAGCTCCAGGCTTCCATCTGGGTCTGACTTGGGCAGCAGATTCCCCAAAGGACTCGGAGGTCCTCATCACAGCCAGCCCCCAGGGCCTGCTGGCTTCACAGGGCAAGCCCTGTGGCCTCTGTCTCTACTGGGACATGAGTACTCCTGGGCAGGGACTTCCCTGCCTTGATCTGGCTGCATGGAGTGCCTGGCTCACAACACGAGTGACACACATACTTGTTAAATGAAGGCAGAAATCTTGAAGAATGTTCAATCCAGGCTGGCGGCTTCAGTCACAGCAGGGTTATGCCACGTGGACATCTGAGGGCCCACTTCTCAGCTGCATTTGTTAGGGACCCACAGGCACCAGCTGTCTGCACCACTCACCACCTCGGAGGTGTGGACCTGGCACCCCCCAGGCCCTACCCAGGGCTTGGGCCTCCTCCCAGTCCTGCCACTCTCGCAATGCCCACATTTGCCACCCAGGCCCCAGGCTCGGTTGGACAGAGAGTGCTGGGGTCCCCAACAATAGTTGGGTCCTTCTCTGTTCCTGGGACACCCCAGCCCAGGTAGAGGCCAGAGGCCATCCAGAGGGTGACGTCAGGCGCAGGTCTCAGGAGACACAGGAACTCCAGAGCCCATTGAGTCTTTGGTGAGGACCCCGCCCCCACTAAATGTCCTCCCAGGCCTCTGGGGCCCCTGAAATCCACAAGCCTGCCCTCACTTAACAAGGGGACCATCCTTCAGACACTCACCAGGCTTTCAGGATAGAAGCTACTAGAGCCAGGCAGAGCCCTCATGAAGGGTCAGCTGTGTCTACACTGCCTTCAGTCCCAGCCATATGGTCCCAAGAGCCTCTTGGCTCTATCACCACCATCACCATGACCACCACCACCACCACCATCACCACCACCACCACCACCACCACCATGACCATCACCACCACCACCACCACCATCACCAACACCACCAGCAACACCACCACCACCACTAACAGCACCACCACCACCACCACCATCACTATCACCATCATCATCACCATCACTACCACCACCACCACCATCACCATCACCACCAGCACCACTATCACCATTACCATCATTACCACCATCTTCACTGCCACCATCTACCATTACCACCGTCTTCACTGCCACCATCTACCACCACCACCATCACTACCACCACCACCACCATCACCATCAATACCATCATTGCCATCACCACCACTACCACCACTATCATTGTAACCATCACTACCATCATCATCACGATCACAGCCATCATTTCCACCACACCATCACTACCACTATCACCACCATCATCACCACCACCACCATCACCATTACCATCACCACCACCATTACCACTGACATCACTGTCACCACCCTCTCTGCCACCATCACCATCACTATTACTGCCACCACCATCACTACCATCACATTATCATCACTATTATCACTACCATCACTGCCATCATCATATCACCAGCACCACCAGCACCATCACCACTACCACCACTGCCATCACCATCATCATTATCATTGTCATCATCATCACCACCACCACCATCTCCACCATCATCACTGCCCAGTTTACCATCCGTTCCTACTTGGACCAGAGCCTTGCTGGTTGCATGATCTGTTGGCAGATAAGACACAACCTCTTGAAATTCTGAGAAAAACTAAAGGTCAAGCCTGAGCAACATAGCTAGACCCTGTCTCTACACAAAATAAACAATATTAGCTGGGCATGGTGGTATGCACCTGTAGTCCTAGTTACTTGGGAGGCTGAGGGGAAGATCGCTTGAGCCCAGGAGGTCAGGCTACAGTGAACTGTGATTGCGCCACTGCACTCCAGCCTGGTCAACAGAAGGAGACCCCATTTAAAAAAAAGGACTATTTTTGCTCACGAAGTGGTAAATAAGGCGGTGTATCCAGGGCTGAGGTTGTCCAAGAGGGACTTGCACCTGGCCACTGTGGTTGGCGGTGAGGAAGAACATTTGCTAAGTTGAACAGCATGGCCAACAGGTCCAGAGTGCGGCAGGAGGAGAGCATTCCTGAAGTCACTGTCAGCCCGACAGAGGCTACAAAGAGAAGCTGACTCAGACACATCTGCTCCAGGCCCCAGGAGCAAAGGGCTGGGAAGTGGTGTGGCCTTCACTTGGAGGCACCAGGCCATGAACCCACCCTGCCTGGACCCCTTCAGGTAATCGCAGTCTGAGAGAAAGAGGCAGGTACAGGTGGAAGTCAGAGGCCAGAGGTGTGGAGTGGGGAGGACTCCCTCCCAGGGGCCTGGGGGAGCTGAGCAGAGGATATGGGAACCCCTGTAGACGCTCAGGGTGGGGGTCTTCCCGCCTGCCTCCCTACCCCTCCGCTCACCCTGCCCCGCATCAGGAAGCAGGGCTGCGGGCCACAGTCTCATATGTCTTTTCTGGTCAATAAACCCTGGCTCCTGGGGCTGGAGGAGCTGATGGCACTGCCTGCCCCCACCGGTGTACTCTGTCATAATTAAGTGCATACAGCCTAACTAATTGAGTGGTCAGGATGCTAATTAGTGACTTTATTGAGACTGAAGGAGGGTGAAGGGCAACCTGGCACCAAGTCCCCCTCCCCAGCCTGGACAGCTCTGCTCTCTGCATCCCCAGGAAGTGGCCCCCACCCCTCACCCTGGCCCCCACCCTCTACCTGGCCCTTGTCCGGCCCCTGTGCCCTCACCTCTGCCTCCTGTTACCCTCAGCCCCAGCTGTTGGCTGTGATGTCTGCACCTCTGGCCTGGGCCCCCAGGCCCTGCCCCTCCTCCCACCCCTGGCCTGACCCCCAACTTTGATGGTCCCAAATCTCCCTGGTTCTGGTCACGGCCTGTGGCCTCTCTTGTCCTTCTGTGACTCTCAGGCCTGGTCACCCCTCCCCATGCTGGGCTCTCTCCTCTGTCACACACCCCTCAGCATCCCTGCCCAAGGACAGCCTAGCGTCCTGGGAGCTGGGCCTCAGGCCCTCTCCGGGCAGCCTCCTGGGGCAGAGTGTGTCCTGGAGCCTCCAGCCACTGGCCCTGTCCAGGCTCTGCCCCCAGGGCAGCACACTCACTCCTCACCACAGTGTCCTGGCGCCATCTGTGACCCCCGGCCTCTCCAAGCAGCCACAGGTCCACGGGAACCTGAACATGGCATCAGGTGAGAGGCAGGTGAGCATGGCCAGACCCCACACCCTGGGAGTCCTTCTCCTCTGAGCGGCCCCTCCCCAACAGGCTCGTGGGGTGAGGAGAGGGGCTAGGGGGTGGGAAGGCTGACGGAGGGAAGCCTGGGGATAGGTGGGGAGCCTGGGGGTTGGGGACTGTCTGGAGAGACCTCCTGCCACTCTCGTCCAGCCCACCAGCCCCGGTCTCCATCCCAGCCAGGCCTGGGTCACCAGGCGGCAGTAGGACCGCACCCTCTTTTCCCTGGAGGAGAGAAGAGGGGCCCTGTAGATTGGCCACGCGCTCGCTGAGCCTCAGTGACCTCAGCTGTAAGGTGGGTGCTGATGACAGACGTACCTGCTGCGGGGTGGGAGGAGCAGGTGACAGGCTCATTCCCGGTAAGGCGGGCCTGGTCCCCATCCTGGCTGCTCTGCCTGAGGCGCTCTGGGAGAGCAGAGGCGGACACAGAGGCTGGGACCACCTGAGGGACTTGCTGGGGCTGGAGGAATCCCAGTGCAGAGGCGGACACGACAGGGCGGGGCAGGGGCCGGGAAGGGAAAGGGTGGGCGGGGAATGGGTGGGGCCGATGTCGGAGGGACGGGACCGGGAAGGGGCGGGGCCGAGGCCGGAGGGGCGGAGCCGGAAGGGGCGGGGCAGATCGGGGCAGGGGCCGTGGCAGGAAGGGGCAGGGCGGGGACCGGCCGGGGACCTGGGCGAGGCGGGACGGGTTTGGTGCTTGAACCCGATCTTAGCGCTAGGAGAAGGTCCAGGGGGTGGGCTCCTCGCAGAGGGCAGGACACCCACCTCCCCGTGCACCTGCTTCTTCTCCGGTCTCCCGCCCCCAGCAGCATTCTAGGACCCAGGGGTGTCATCGGGTCGGGGAGGGAGGGGCTGAGCCTGGGTTTGGGGACATCGGGACAGGGGGAGGGGCTGGCGCTCCCGTCTGGCCGGGACCCCGTGGCCTAGCGCGGCTCCACGACCGACAGACGGCAGCGGACGTGGGGGGTAGGAGCGCGCAGGGCGGGGGCGTCAGATGGCGCCGCCTGGGGCTGCCCCCCGCCCGCCATGAGGAAGCGAGTTGGGGCCCCGGGCTCTGCTTATCTGGAGGGGCCACGTGCCCGCTGCGCCCTGCGGATGGCAGGAGAGGTGACACGCCGACTGCCACCGTCGGTGCCCGGGGCTGCCCCGACCTGGAGGGTGGGGCGGGGGTACCGCGCGCGGGCACAGCTGTCTCCCCGCAGTTGCCCGGCTAGGGGTCCCCGGGCGGCCAGTGCACGTGCGCGGGGTCTGCTCCTGCGGGGTACAAGGGGGACAACAGCGAGGGTGGGCGAGGGGGAGGCGAGAGCAGAAGCGAGAAATGCGGGCACAGGGTGAGAAGCCTGGGACCTCCTGAGAGGGTGAGAAGGCCTGCCCCCAACGGACACCCTCATGCCTGAACCACCAGCCACTGAGCTCTCCTTGTCAAGAGTCCTGGGGCCCCTCGCCAGGGAGACGCCAACTGAGCACCCAGCAGGACGACGCCCCGCAGGGAAAGATGGCTTGGGTTGGGCCTGGGGAGTCCCTGCCGCCTAGACGGGTCCCTGGGGAGGGTCAGTGGCACAGCCTGGTAGACTGGGCCTGAGTCAGGCAGTCTTTCGGGGAGGACCCCTCACTCAGCGAGGGACCAGCACCCTGATTCCACCCTGTGGGCCGGGCTGGTACCGGCCTTCCCCTCAGGCTGTGGGTGCCAGGACCCCAGGGCCCCTCTTAGTTTCTGCCCGGCCAGCAGCAGAGCCTGTGATGGGGCGTGGGGGGCACAGGCAGCTCGTGCATGGCTGCAGTGGGGCCCGGCACAGGGCGGGAGACCCGGGACAGTGGCTTTGCCCCTGGGGTGGTGGCCAGCCCCACTCGGGTGTGTGATCACCCCTGGTCCCCTTACCAGGAAGGGGCATGACCTACCAGGCGGAGATTCCAGGCCCTGATGTCCTCGGCTCTGAGTGGCATCAGTGCCCAGGCCAGCCTGAGGCAGGCAGGGCAGAGCTTGGTTGTGCAGAGCAGGGGTCCTCCAGCCTTCCCTCCTACCTCTGCCTTCTCCAGGGGTTGTGGGCTGAGGAAGCTTTTGGATGCGGACCCAGGAGAGCCTCTTGGGAATAGCTGAGGCTGCCTGGGGTTGGAGAGGAAGCCTGTGAGAAGGCGGCCTCCTCCACTGTCCCTGAGGACCACTGTGGGGAGCACGCCCTGGGCAGAGTTCCCTTCCACCCGGGTCCTGCGGGGGAGGCCAGGCCAGCCTACCAGGTCCCCTGGCTGAAGGGGAGGGGCCCCAGCCCTCCCTCCTGGCTGCTGTGGGAGGCCTTGAGCCTCACGTCTCACCAGGCCGCGTGCTGTGGGTAGAGGTGGGGGTGGGAGCCCACAGGGGCACATCGCCCCAGTCCTTGGAAGAGGAGATGGTGGCATGGGCAGCGTGAAGTGGAAAGCACTCAGGCTGGCCGGGGCCACGCAGGGCCAGGGAGTTGAGGGAGTAAGGGCTGGGGTGCAGCTGTCTTGGCGGCTGGCAAGCAGGAGCGGTCAGGAGGCTGAGGTCCCTGGGGTGTGGCTGCAGAAGGGCCTGCAGGCCTTGGGATTTCAGCCTGCATCTGCGCTGAGCCAGGCGTCCTGCCCCCCTGGGCTGTGATAGGGACACATCAGATCTGCCTTGGGAGCCCAGGCTGGCAGAGAGAGTGAGCTGGGAGCTGGCACAGTCCTGCCTGGAGGCAAACAGCTGGAGGTGGAGGCCGGGCAGGGGCCTCCTGAGGACGGGGGTGCTAGGAGTGGGTGGGGCTTTCTCCTAGAAACCCCTCGGGCCAATACACTTGATTAAAATTAAAAGAATTTGATTCCAGCCAGCACTCAATGTGTTTTTTTAAAGCGATGAAATTCTTTGCTCATGGTTTCCCCAGTCAAATACTTTTGAGCAAAGTGGAATGTATTGGTCACAGATAGCTAATTTTCTTAGGGGTGGGGGGACTCGAGGCTGAGACCGGGCAGCCACGGAGGGAGGCGGAGGGCAGCAGGGGCTTCTCAGCTGCAGGTTCCTGAGCCCCTTCCAAGACTCTAGTTCTGTCAGGGTCCCAGTGAGGGGTCCTCGGGAGGAGTCCAGGGACAGGCTCCCTGCAAGCCCCCTCCCCTGCTGTCAGGGGCAGGGACACCAGGAGCTACCCCGGGGCAGATCCCTGCCCTTGGGATTCCGAGGCCCAGCCCAGCCGAGGAGCTGCAATTTTACAAACAAACACCTGCAACACTGCCATTTGCTCCAAGGGGACACCTGGCATCAGGCCGGACACCTGGCATCAGGTCGGACACCTGGCATCAGGCCGGACACCTGGCATCAGGTTGGACACCTGGCATCAGGCTGCACACCTGGCATCAGGTCGGACACCTGGCATCAGGTTGGACACCTGGCATCAGGCCGGACACCTGGCATCAGGTTGGACACCTGGCATCAGGCTGGACACCTGGCATCAGGTCGGACACCTGGCATCAGGTCAGGCGTGCAGGATGGGACAAGAAAGGAGTGGGATCTTACTGGGGAAGGCAGGGCACGCCTCCCTCGCTGACAGGGGATTCCCCAGCAGGAGCAGCAGGCAGGGTGGGGGTAGAAGCCCACAGACTTCTGGGAGGGATGTGCGGGGGCCCAGCTGACCACGTGGCTGGATCACCAGGGCCTGCAGGAAGCGTAGGGGCAGCAGCGAGAGGGAGGGCTTCCTGGTGGAGGTGGCATCTGACGTAACCCTGCAGGGACCCACAGCCAGTCAGAGAGGCCAGAGACCAGCCGAGCCAGGGGACCGAATAGCAGGGACACAGGGGCTGGAGAGGTCAGGGCCCCAGCTGGGTGGCAGAGGCAAAGTCACCCCTCTCTAATTGTCTCTGACTTGTACACCCCACCACCCACAGGGCTCCTTGGGGTGTGGGGAAGGCATCCCCAGTCAGCCCAGCCCTCCCGGCCCTGCCAGAGGGAACTGGAGCCTTGGGGTTGGGTTTCAGGCCACTCTGCCGGACCACGAAAAAATGCAGCCAACCAAGATTGGAAGGTGACCTCAGCCCGGGGGGTGGGGGGCAACCCCAGAGCCTCCCGCCTGCCCCAGCCTCTCCTCTGATAACCAGGGGTTCCCCCCAGGACCTGCCTGGGTATCCAGCCAGGTGCCAGCCTGGACCTGGACTCCCGTGGCTGCCAAATCAGGCTGTGACTGAGGTGGGGGATGGGCATGGGTGGGGCAGCTCTGGGATGGACTGTCTGGGGATGGGGACCCTGCGGCAGGACCCTCCACCAGATGAAGAGGTGGGAGCTTCCCTGGGAGGGTCCCAGGGTGCACACAGCTGTCCCCGGAGCACCAAGGATTGCACAGGACCAGCCAGGCCCTGCCAACGACAGTGACACATCCCCCGCTCTGGGTTGTGGGCACCTCCTTTGACACTTGGTGACCTACATGTCAGCATGAACTTCACAGCCCTGAGGACTGTGGGCACCTAAAGGCTCGGGGGCTGGAGGAGCAGGTCCCACACAAAGTAGGACATCAGAAAGGCGGGGCCCTCCCCAGGAGCAAGACCACCGACGAACAGCCTCTTCACAATCAGTTTCCATGCCCGGGATTGCTGCCGGGCCACCCGCTGCCATGGGGATTGGAGAAGGATGCTTCAGGGTGGGCAAAGGCTGGGAGGTCTGCCGACCATGTTCCCTTTGTTTTTCCTTCTCTTTCGCTCTTTCTTTCTTTCCTTCCTTCCTTCCTTCCTTCCTTTCCCTTTCTCTCTCTTTCTTTCTTTCTTTCTTTTTCTTTCTTTCCTTCTTTTCTTTCTTTCTTTCCCTCCCTTCCTTCCTTCCTTCCTTCTCTCCCTTCTTTCTCTTTCTTTCTTTCTTTTCTTCTTTCTTTCTCTCTTTCTCTCTCTCTTTCTTTCTTTCCTCTTTCTTTTTTAGACGGAGTCTCACTCTGTCACCCAGGCTGGAGTGCAGTGGTGTGATCTTGGCTCACTGCAACCTCCGCCTCCCGGGCTCAAGCGATTCTCATGCTTCAGCCTCTTGAGTAGTTGGGATTACAGGCATGTGCTACCATGCTCGGCTAATTTTTTGTATTTTAGTGGAGACAGAGTTTCACCATGTTGCCCAGGGTGGTCTTGAACTCCTGAGCTCAGGCGATCCGCCCGCCTCAGCCTCCCAAAGTGCTGGGATTACAGGCGTGAGCCACCGTGCCCGGCCCCGCATTCCCTTTCTGAGGGAGCGAGCAGGCAATGCACTCTAGAAATGGGAGAGAAAACCAGGAAGGAAGAAGATGAGGGTTCCAGGAAAAGCCCAGGGAAGCTGCCACAGGGCAGTGACTGTGTCATCCCAGAATGACGGACATACTGGAGAGAGACGGGCCCGAAGTTCACCTTGGGAGGCTGAGTTAGCAGGAGCCTTTGGGGAGTTCGAGACCAAACTGGTCAACCTAGTGAGACCCTGCCTCTACACAAAATTTAAAAATTAGTTTGGTGTGGTGGCACTAGCCTGTAGTCCCAGCTACTCCGGAAGCTGAGGTGGGGGCCGACCGAGACTGAAAGGTGATCTCTGCCCCAGGGGTGGAGAGGGGGCACCCCCAGAACCTCCCACCTGCTTGAGGATCGCTGGAGTCCCAGGAGGTCAAGGCTGCAGGGAGCTGCGATTGCACCACGGCAGTCCAGCCTGGGCGACAGAGCGAGACCCTGTCTCAAAAACAAACCAAAACAAAAGGTCCTGAAATCATGCTGTTGACACTCAGTGTGGGGACAGGCCATGTGCAGGCCAGGACAGAGAGGGGTGAGTGAGCAGGAGAGAGATGGGGTGGGGGTGGAGACATGAATGGAGAGAGAGGGAGAGAAAGAGACAGAGCGAGACAGAGATAGAGAGTGCACGCCTGACTTCAGGACAGTGCAGCCCTCAGGCCACCATGACTGTGGGCAGTATCTACACTGTATCTACGCTGTCCAGGGTGACCAACCAGACCCGCGGCTGTGACCACAGCTGGTGATGACAAGCAAGAGGCAGCTGGGGTCAGGGGCAGGAGATTCCTGTTCTGTGGAAGGCAGGCAAGGGCGAACATCTGAAGCTGAAAGGAGAACGCTGTGAGGCCGGCAACGGAGAAGCACAGAGAGAAGGCGGGAGTGGCAAGAGGCACCGATGGCAGTGGCCGTGCAGATGGGGCAGCCTCGGCAGGACAGCTGGGCACAGCTTAGGACACTCAGCACACTCTCACCACACGGGGTCTGGGAGCGGACTCTCAGTGTTCACCCAGATGAGCAGAAACTGACCAACCCCCATGCGGATGTCAAGGCAGCTCTGTTCTTCAGAGCCAAGCCTGGAGCGGGGTTGGGAGATCAGCCCCAAACCTCCAGACAGGGGGATGTTACTCAGCACCACAGGGAAGGAGCTCTCCAGCCCGGAAAGACCAGCAGGAGCCTTCGAGGCACATTTCTAAGGGAAAGACGCCCTCTGAAAGGGCCACATGCTGTGAGTCCCACCAGAAGGCACTCTGGGAAAGGCAAAACCACAGGGAAAGGAAGAGTCTGCGGCTGCCAAGGTCGGGAGAAGGAGAGCTGGGGGCGCGGCAGGGGTGCTGAGGGTGGTGACGCCCCTCCGTGTGGTGCCACGACGGTGGAAACAGCAGTGTGCACCAGAACCCACGTGGCACACCTGGGGTGAGCCCCGGTGTCAGTGCAGACTTCGGGCGAGCCCTGCGGCTGATCAGTGATGCCAAACGGAGCACTGTGGGGCTAAGCGGGGAGCGGGGACAGGTCGAGGGCAAGGCCCGCGGCTCTGCACTTTCTGCTTACTTTTCTGTAAATTTTAAAATGCTCAACAAAAAAGTCTATAAATTCTACATACAAATGGAAACAGCAGAAAGACTTGCAAGCCAGGATGCCCCGCCCGCTGGGGGGGATGCCGGGAAGGGGGTGCTGAGGGGCTGGGATCCACCTGTCCCGAGGGTCTCCAACCCTCCTCCCAGCCCTGGGTCACAGGTGGGATGACGCTTGGGCTGTGGGCAAGAGCTCGCTGGATATGCCTCTCCTTTGTCTCTGTCTCTCTTCATCTACCTGTGTCTTCTCATCGCTCTCCCCCACACCGCCCTGTTTCTCCCACCCTGCCTCCCCTCCCCTCCCCTCTGCCCTCCCCTCCCCTCCCCTCCCCTCTGCCCTCCCTTCCCCTCCACTCCCCTCCCCATCTCTGGGCCGCCTCCCCTGACAAGCTGATCAATTGCTCATCACCGCTGGCAGGAGGTTCTAACTCAAGTGTGGCATCTTAATCAGCACCTCTGCTGTCCCAGGCCATTGACTGCCTGCTCCGGCCAACAAATGAGCCCATTGGCCAGGCCCCCTTTCCACCCGCCAGGCCTTGTATGCCTGCTGGGCTCTGCACGCCGTCTGGTGGCCGTAGGGTGCAGCACAGCCTGGGGTGTGGAGGGAAGGCCGGGGAGGGGAGGCTGGCAAGGTGTCCCTGAGGTCTACGCACTGGGCAGCTGGGAAGAGGCTCCAGCAGACACCCCCATCTCGAGCCCGCTGCTCACCCTGGACCCCCTTTTCCCACCTCCCACAGGACTGGCATGCCCTCTCACCCCTGCACAGCCTCCACTCACCCTGCACAGCCTCCTCTCGCCCCTGCACAGCCTCCTCTCACCCCTACACAGCCTCCTCTCACCCCTGCACAGCCTCCTCTCGGCCCTGCAGCCACTCACCCCTGCACAGGGGGCCACAGACCCAGCGCGCATACCATGCCCTTGCAGGTCCCCACCTTGCCTGCAAGCCCCTCCCCCCTTGCCGATGGATGCTGTGGCTGGACCCGCCCCCACCCAGCTGCACACCCAGGCCCTGGAGGGCAGGGGTCTTAGTCCACTGGGTCACAGCTGTTCCTCAGGGCCCTGCGCTTGGGGGACGCTCAGCAGGGCCCACTGCTGAATGAATGCACTGAGCTGTCCAAGAGCAGGAGAGCCCAGAGGTTCAAGACCGGAGTCTGGGCGCAGCCCAGGTGGGCACGGGCCTCAGCTTGGGGTGCCCGAGCTGCTCCTCTGAGGAGCATTCCCAGGTGTGTCTGTTGAGGTTATGAGGGTTCAAGGGACTCCTGGGAGTTGGGGTTCAGGGTCTTTCCTGGAGAGGGGTGTGGAGTGGTGTGGAGGATGTCGTGAGACAGAGGGAGAACAAGGCCCCCATGGACTATGCCCCAGGGCTGGAGGGGGCCTGGCACACTCCCACCCCTCCCGCCCTCAGCCAGCCTGTGAGGCCGGCATGCAGGCACAGGTGTCCCAAGACCTGTGCCCACCCCATCGCAGGTCCTTAGTGCTCCTCTCTGCCCCGATGACAGCCCGGTGACCAGGGGTTGGGGGGGCAGCCAGCCCCCAGGTTTTCTGTCCCCTCCCCAGGCTTCTCTGCCCCTCCCTGCTCCAGATGCCCCCCCGGTGGGGTCCAATATGGTGTCTCCTCAGGAGCCTGGGACCCCCAGAGTCTCCTTTCCTCAGCCCACGAAACCGTCTTTCATGGGGCCATCTGGTGACTGCCTCCCCCATCAGACTGGCAGCCCGAGCCGGCCGTTAGCAGGTGCTCAGTGGGGTGTGGCCCGGGGTCCCCAGGGGCCTCTCTTCTAGGGCTTGTACCCTCCCCCTGCCTGGGCCCAACCCTCAGCCTGTGTCAGTGCCCCCCTGGCTGTGGGGGTGAGTGTGGGCCCTTGAGCCCAGCAACGGGGTGATGCAGGGGTGAACCCCACTGCCCACCCCTTTCCTGCTCCAGAAGCCTCTCCGGGAGATCCCAGCCCCCAGCAGACTGCAGGCCCAAGGTCAGCGGTCTGCGTATTGACAGCGGCCGACTGCCCCGGCTGGCAGGGGAGGGTGAAGGCTGCACGCGGCTCGACGCGGCCCATCTTGTGAGACAATAAATTTGGCCATTGACCCAGCAAGCAGACGTCGATAAATGAATGGTTAATATAAACATTGTCCTTCCCAAATTAATCCGGGCCTCAGGGGTGGGGGCACAGGGCAAGTGGGAAGTTGAAGTACAGAGGAAACAGGGCAAGGACAGTGATGTGTGGGTGGCCAGCCTGTCCCAGCCTCCCGGGACACACCCCTGCCAAGGCGAGGTCTTTCTCTCCTCTGGGGGCTCCTGGGCAGGTGTTTGCCCAGTGCCAGGAGGGCAGCCAGGTTTAGCAAACAAAAATCCAGGGTGCGGAGTTACATTTAGATTTCTGATTAAAAAAACAACAAAACCATTTTAGTCTAAGTATATCCCATGCACTGTTTGGGATATACTTATACTTAAAAAAAAATTCATTGCTTGTCTAAAATTCACAAGTACCTGGGTGTACTGAATTTTATCTGGACACCCTGTGTGAAAGGCAGGAGGGGAGTCTGGTGGCCCCAGAGCTTGGCTGGGTCCATACTGCCTCAGCCCTGCCCAGCTCCAGTGCCCCTGACACCCCCAACCCTCACGGAGCCACAGCCAGCAGGATCACAGGGGGGCAGCCTGGAGCCAGGGCTCAATAGAGGTGGTGACATCAGACTGATGTCATCATTGTGTCCTGCGCTGTGTCCTGGCACGCCTCCAGTGACGCTCACCTCTGTGGCCTCTGCTTCCCCACCGAGGGAGGAGGTGGGTTCGGGAGGGGAGTGTGCAATTGAGGACTGCCTCCCGGAGGAGTAGTGGGCATTGGCTATGGCCCAGGGGTACGCCCTTGCCCCTCTGCGGTGGGGCTTGCATATCTCTGGGGTGCAGGCCAGGGCCCGCACCTCCCATCAAGAACCCTATAAATAAATAAGCTGGTCATATAAATAAACCACAGCCTGCCAGGCAGTCCTGACCCCAGGGCAGCTGCAGTGCCGGGCCAGGCTATCTCTTGCACCCAAGGCCTGCCCACACCCTCTGGGAAGAGTGAAGAAACTGCCAGACCCTCCCCACAGGCCCAGAGGAGGCTCCTAGAAGCCCTGGGCTCCCAGTACCCACAGCTGGGCCTGGGTGCTGAACCAAGGGGAACCCCGGGGAGCTGCTGGCTCCCTCCCCCACACCTGGCACCCAGTCCCACAAGGCCGGTGGCTGGACCCTGTCTGGGCTGCCTGGAGCCTAGCTGGCCTCCCACGAACCCTCCCGCCCAGGTGATAGGCAGCTGAGGCCCAAAGCCCCAGCTGAATGAGCTTGGTTGGGGTGGGAGAGCTAACAAATCAGCTCCAGGCTCCCCCAGCCCAAGCAGGAGTCCCCGGGTTCTGGTGCCCCCAGGGTTGGACTGTGATGGTGCTGGGACTGCCTTGCGCTGCCCTATTGGCCAGGGAGCCGCCTCCTCCCACACTTCCTCCCTGCTGTCCTTCTCGGAAGACGCCTGCCCCCACCCCGGAGTCTGGGTTGGGGGAGGCCACCCTCAGAGGCCTCCAGCCCAGACCAAGGAGGAAGAGGAAGACCCCAGGGTCCAAGATGGATGGGCCCCTGGGGCCTTGGCCCCGCCCCAGCCAGGCAGATGGGGAAGCAACTGTCAGCACCTAATGGGCCCTGTGACGAATAGGGCGGGGGTGCTGGCGGAGCTTCCGAATATCCCTGCAGAGTCCCCAAGGGCAGGGCAGTTCCGGCCCAGCATGGAACGATCAACACCGGGGTCTGGGGACCCGCAGGGCTCTGTCCCCTGCCCCTGAGTTCTTGGGTGGGTTCTGGGGGTCCTGGCAGGGAAGAGGCGGCAGTGGGAGATATCTGAGGTGGTCCCGGGCTGCCCCACGCCCCTCCCAGGCTCACCGAGGGGATGCTGAGCTCAGCGCTGGCTGGCTGAGGGCTTTAGGGACCATTAAAAATGCTCTCTGCCGGCCGCTGTGAGCTGTCCATTTGCTGCTGGCCTGTAGTTACTGCGGCCCCACCCCCACACATCCGCCCTCAAACCCTCACCCTCAGGGCCTCTCTGGCTTCCGCCACCCTTCCTGGGTGAGGGGCCCCTCCACCTGCCCAGCCAGAAGGATGCCCGCCCCTCGCCAGAGCCCCTTGGGGAGACCCCATGCTGAGCGAAGGTGGTGGGCACAGGACACATGCTGTGACCCCAGTGACCTAAGGCTCTGAGGCTCCGATTCACAGGGTGGGGACGGGGGCTGGGGAGGCGAGTGTTTCACGGGAACAGAGTCAGTTTGGGAAGATGGAAGATTCTGGAGGCACGAGGATGTGGGCGCGCTTCACACCACTCAGGTGCACCCTCAGAGATGGCTGAAATCGTAACACATTTTACCGTAATCACAATTTTAAGTAATCAAGCCGTCCTGTGGGGTCCTCTATGGAGGCCCAGCTCTGAGTGGGACACTGGGCTTGGGAGGTGACCGTTTCAGGACAGCCTGTCCTGGGGCTCACGAGGCCAGCCTAACCCTCCTGCCAGGGTCGGGGTGACTGAGGGAACCAGGGGACATATGGGTAGGTGGGCCCCTTCCATCACTGCCCCCTAGGAGGAACAGTGACAGTCCAGGAGGGGACAGTGGGAGGGTAGAGCACCCAAGGTTTGAGCAGAAGGGCATGGGCGGGGCCCTGCCGCCCAGCACCCTGTGGGAGTCCCTGGAGGGCAGGCCTGGCCCAGGCCAGACCCAGGAGGGCTCTGGGAAGAGCAGGGCTGGAGGCAGGCGCCACATACAGTCAGGGTCCAGCTCCTGGAACAGAGGAGTCAATGCTGGGGGTGCGGGGAGGGAGTTCCCTCGATGGCAGTGGAATCTGGGACCCTCAGGCCACTGGAGCTTCCCAGCCTGGCAGGCAGCCACTGCAGGCCTTCGCTGTCTGCGCCCGCCCTGCACTCCGCACCCTCGCTGGGTTGGCGTCCGGGACAGGGCAGGCCGGAGTGGGAGCACCCCCATGCGTGGGGCTCTGGTGTTGGCGGGAGGTCCTCAGGCCTGGGACCCTATCTTGGCAGTGGGATTTGGGGCTCAACAGAAGGAGCAATTCTGCCTCAGTCCAGTCACTGAGGGGCCTTAACTCCCTCCCTGGAGCCCCAGCAGGCGGCTTTGGGCTTCCCTGTCACACAGAGGCTGGGGATGCTGACCTGGCAGCGGGCAGAGTGAGGCCGCGGGAGGGCTGCCTGTAGAGACAGGGGCCACCGCCAGTCCAGGAGAGATTCAGAGGGCGTCTGGCTTGGCCCAGCCACGATCGACCCCGGGAGGCTCTTCCGAGGTGCATAAAACTGCTTGTTCTCCCGGTTAGAAAAATGGCCCTGCTCTGGGATAATTGATTGATTTTCCTCTTTAGGAATATTCACAAGCGCCAGTTCCAAGAACGGATCAATCCTAGCCTCCTCACAAGTCAGCCACGGGGAGGGGGAGCAGCCAAATGCAACCACCCCACGGCAGGGCCCACCCAGCCTCCTCTCAGCCCCACTGTGCACCCCCAGACGCTGTGCCAGGGTGGGGAAGGGATGGATGCTGGGGGCAGGGGCCGGGCCTGCCCTTGGAGGCTTCAAGTCAAGCCTCAACAGAGAGCCCTGAACAGGCCAGTAGGTGAGTGTCTAGGTCCCACCTAGCCAGGTCCCATATGCTATGTGACCCTGCACAGGTCTCTGGACTTCTCTGGTGCTAAAATAGGAGCACAAGTCCAGCCCCACAGACCTAAGGGCTGTATCAGGGTCCTAGGAAACCTTTCAGCTGCTCTTCCAACCCACTCCCCACAGTGACCAGGCGACCTGCTCCAAGTTCTGGCCCTGCCAAAACTTATTCTGCAGCCCCCACGAGCTGGCCTGCCTGACCTCCTCTCCCTCCTCCCTAACTCCCCACACCATGCTGTTTCAAGCTTCCTCAGTCAGCCTAAAGAACTCCTATTCATTCTTCAAAACCCTCTGCAGTTGCCCCTTCCCAGGGAGAACTGTACTTCTCCCCTTTGGGTAGCTCCATCCTGGTACCTGTGCACCAAGGACTTGTCCCCGGGCGGCTCCCCTCACTCCTCCAGCCCATAGGGACGGAGGGCTTACAGAATAGACGGCTGGGGCCCAGGCTCCTACAGGGAAAGCAAAGACCCAGGTTCCCAGAGTGGGTAGTAAACCAGTCTCAAGTGTGTTTTTCTTTAAGTGCTTATCTGTTCAGATGAGCTCACATGGTGTGTGCATTATAAAACCCACCACCCAGAAACACACAAGCTTATTCAAGGATTTACCGCAGCCTGGACAACAGAGCGAGACCCTGTCTCTACAAAAGATAGAAATAAAGTAAAAAAATTAGGCTGGGTGCGGTGGCTCACACCTATAACCCCAGCATTTTGGGAGGCTGAGGCGGGCGGATCACTTGAGGTCAGGAGTTAGAGACCAGCCCGGCCAACATGGTGAAACTCCATCTCTACTAAAAATACAAAATTAGCCAGGAGTGGTGGCACATGATCTCAGCTACTTGGGAGGCTGAGGCAGAAGAATCACTTAAACCTGGGAGGCAGAGGTTGCAGTGAGCCGAGATCTGCCTTTGCACTCCAGCCTGGGCGACGAGCAAAACTGCGTCTCAAAAAAAAAAAAGTTAAAAAAAATTTTTAAAATTAGCCAGGCACAGTGGCTCATGCCTGTAATCCCAGCACTTTAGGAGTCTGAGGCAGAAGGATCACTTGAGCCCAGGAGTTCAAGACCAGACTGGCCAACATAACCAGACCTTGTCTCAACAAAAAATAAAAAAAGCTAGCTGGGTGTGGTGGCATGCACCTGTGGTCCCAGATGCTTGGGAGGCTGAGGCGGGAGGATCACTTGAGTCCAGGAGGTAGAGGCTTCGGCGAGCCATGATTGTGCCACTGCACTCCAGCCTGGGTGACAGAGCGAGACCTTGCTAAAAAAAAAAAAAAAAAAAAGGCTTTCCCTGTTCAGGAGAACTCATGTGTCCATTACAAACACACACAAGGGAAACCCAAGCAGATGTGAACCCCAGCTCTCACACTTTGTCCCACTCCCTCATCTACTCTGGAGTTGCTGGGATCGCCACTGTCAGGAAATGAGGTCAGCTGTGCACACAGAGAGGAAGGGAACCCTGGCGGAGGGGACTCTGCAGGGGTGGGAGGCAGGGCCCCAGCCCAGAAGTGCTCACTGCTAGGATCCTGCTAGGGGAGGGGCCTGGATTTCTTCCCTTACTTGCAAGCCCCCCAGGGCCTTTCCCGGGGAAGCTGCCCCTGACCGGCTGCTCCACTGTCCTGGCCACAGCCTTCACCTGGGAGGAACAGACACTCTTTGCCCTGGATGGGCCTGGAGAGGCTGGGTGGCCCATGTCCACCCTCACCAGGGCAGCACCCGCTGGCTGCCATGCTTCGTGGGCCAGGCCTTGACCCCAGGTGGATTAATCTCTTCTCTGTCCCATCTGTGTCCCTGGCCTCTGTGCCTCATGTGAACTGCCCAGCCAGGGCTCCTAAGGGCAATAATGGAGGTGGCCGGGCAGGCCTGGTGAGGAGCTCTGAGCCCTCGTCCTGGGGACAGTGAGCCATGGGCCCTCTAACCGGGCAGGGCCACTGGGCCTCCCCGTGGACACCCCGTGATGGGGGCCCACCCGCCCCACAGCCCCCTGGCCCCACAGCCCCACACGCTCTGGGTCAGCCCTGCCTGTTAGCAATTCCACCTGAGAGTGATGTACCCAGGAGTTCCTGCAGGGGCCCGGCTGGCCCCATCTCAGAATCCTGTTGAGGGTCAGCGGCCCACATGTCTGTACTAAAGTCCCAGGAGTGAGGCTTGCGGGGCTGCCCTGCTGGGCCTAAGAACCCACTGGGGAGATGGGCTGAGCGTTGAAGCCATGTGCCACCAGCTGGCTGCCCGACCTGTCTCTCAGGACGGCGCCCTACTATGGCTCCAGGGCCAGGCCACTGTTCCTGCCCCAGCTCCCCAGGGGGCTGAGGACGGCACCAGGCCGGATGATCTGCTATTGATGAGGTGGGGGCGGCAGGGGGCAGGCCAGGTCTGGGTCAGCAGATCCGCTCCGGCATCAGATGTGCCCGGACATTGATCAGACAGATGAGGGCCTGGCTGGGCCTGGGGGTGGGGGTGTCCACCCAGCAGAGGCCACGGAGTGAGCACTGATCTGGAGAAGCACCTCCTCCCACCCCAACCCCCACCAGGCACTGCTCCATGGACCCAGAGGCCTGAGGGGACTCCAATGCTGCCCTAGGGCAGTGGACAGAGCTGAGGCCTGGCCCCCCCTGCTGTGAGTGGCACTCAGCCCTGCCCAGGATGGGCAGGGGGACCCAATCCCTGGCCCGTGAGCTCCACCTTGGCCCCAGGCCGAAGGGTGGGAGGCTCCGTGACCTCTGCACCCAGGGGCAGCTACAGCCCCTTCCCAGGTGCCTGCTGGCCCTGAGGGCCGGGCTTTACTGGCTGCCCAGCCCTGGGCATCCCAGATCCTCCCAGGTGTGAGAAGAGACAGCCCCAAGGGAGACCCTGAGGGGAGGGTCCCCAGCAACAGAGAGGGAGGAGGCCGCTCAGAGGCTGTGGGGCGGTGGGGAGAAGGCAGACACAGACCCAGAGAGAAGGAGGGAGCAGGGACCCCAGATACCCACATGAGACCTGCAGACAGACACACTGGGGAAGGATGAAGATTCCAGGACAAAGACAGAGACCAGCAGGAGGGGGTGTGTCCCACCGGCAGGGAGGGGCTGGGAAGTCAGGAATGTGGCTGCTTGTGACAAGGGCCCTATGCCAGCCCTGGGCACCCCTCAGAGGTCACCTTGGGGTGGCCCTGCCAGCCTGAGCAATTCATGGCTGGTGCATGTCATCCACCAGATCGACCATGGGAAGCAGGTGTGCTTGGTGGGCACTGGGAGCCTCTGGGACCCCGGAGCCAGGCAACCCAGAAAACCGCAGACAGGTCCTTGGGCCACCACACCCACCCCACCAATCCACCACTAATGAATTGGGATTTGATCCATGAGACAATAGTGGTGGCCAGGCTGGCTCCAGCAGGGCTGAGTGAGCTGAGTGCTGGAGCCCCGGAGACAGCTGCACACCGGCTGGGGTGCTGCAGATTGGGGGCTGGCGCTGCCCACCGCCCCTCATGCTTGTGCCCTTGGGCAAAGGCACTCCCTTCTGGGCTGTGGCTCCCCAACTCAACGCAGGTGGGAGCACCCTGAATATCCCCTCCTCCCAGCCCTGGTATTGTCCCTCCCTGGCTCTGGCTGCTAGGCTTTGTATGGGCTGCTGCCCATGCAGGCCCCAGGCCAAGCCAGTGAGGGTCGGGGCAGAAGGCCTGTGAGAGCCAGGACTGAGACACTCCTGGGCGGCCAGTTTGCAGTAGGGCAGGAATCCCAGGAGAACCTCAGGGACCCTTTGGTGAATGGATGGATGGATGGATGGATGGGTGGATGAGTGGATGGATGGGTGGATGAGTGGATGGATAGGTGGATGAATGGATGGGTGGGTGGATGGATGGATAGATGGTTGGATGATGGATGGATGGGTTGATGGATGGGTGGATGGACAGATGGACAAGTGGATGGATGGATGTGTGGATGGATGGATGGGTGGATGGGTGGATGAATGGGTGGGTGGATGGATGGGTGAGTTGATGGATGGGTGGGTGCATGGGCAGGTGGATGGATGGATAGATGGATGGTCGGATGGATGGGTGGATGGATGGATGGATTGATGGGTGGATGGACGGATGGGTGGATAGATGGATGGGTGGATGGGTAGATGGATGGATGAATGGGTGGGTGGATGGGTGGTGGATGGACGGATAGATGGATGGTTGGATGGATGGGTGGATGGATGGATGGATGGATTGATGGGTGGATGGATGGATGGATGGATGAGTGGATGGATGGATGGATGGATGGATGGATGAGTGGATGGATGGATGGATGGATGGATGGGTGGGTGGGTGGATGGATGGGTGGATGAGTGGGTGGACGGATGGGTGGATGGACGGATGGGTGGATGGATGCATGCGATAAGAAGGGGATTGGGAGCTCCAGAGGGAGGATAAACCTACTGGAAAGTGCAGTCCGGGTGCGCAGGGCCTATACATGGGGCCAGGTGGGGCACAGGCAGGTGGGCCACGTGCCACTGTGGCCTTGGCTGGAGGAGGGTGAGGCAAGGGGGCCGGGGAGAGGGGCACAGGTGAGGGGAGCTGCCAGATGCACGTGGCCTGAGGGCCCCTGGACTACAAGGTGATGGGTGGTTTCCCTGGGAGTCCTGCCCTGCCCCATGGAGAGCCCTTCAGGGAGGTGGGGACAAGAGAGCTGCTGGCCCTGCCTCTCTGTGAGGGATCAGAGGGAGGGGGCCACTGATGGAGGCAGCTGTCAGGGCCCCAGGGAGAGTTTTAAGGTGAGATTCCAGGAGAGACCAGGGCAAGAGAGACTTTTGTCAATTTAATAAAAAATCCATCTAGATTCCCAGTGCCTCGCCTGTTCCATGTTGGGCACACAGAGATCTCAGGCAACCCCTCTGTCTACGGCTGCCCAACCTGGACGTGCCCCATCTCAGCTCAGGTGGGCAGGGGGCAGGGTGAGGTGGAGGGGAGATCTTCCTCTTGGGAGGAAGGAAGGAGTTCCCTTCGAACCACCTGCTCCAGGCTCCATCAGGATTGCTGCTGTCCCAAGACCTCCCTGGGGCCACGACGCTGGCTCTGCCTACCCAGCAAGTGACCTGTGTGAGGCAAAGGGCCTCCAGGTGGGCGGGGGGGGAGACAGGATGTTCCCAGGAGGGAGCTGTCCACATCCTCCTCAGGGTGCCTGGCCACCGCAAGGTCGCTGTTATGGCTGTACAAACACCTCTTTCCAACATCTCACAGCCCGGTTGGCTCAGCCCCAAGACCAGCAGCCTCCTATGTTGCCCACCCTGTCTCCACGCAGCAACATGGTTACCGACCCAGTCACTCACCCCAGAGTCACTAAAAGTAGGTCACTCACTGCACGGTCACTCACCCCACGGCCACTCACCGACAGTCACTAAAACCATGTCACTCACCCCACAGCCACTCACCCACAGTCACTAAAACCAAATCACTCACCCTCACAGTCACTAAAACCAGGTCACTCACCCCAGAGTCATTCACCCCACGGCCACTCACCCACGGTCACTAAAGCCATGTCACTCACCCCACAGTCACTAAAACCATGTCACTCACCCTCACAGTCACTAAAACCAGGTCACTCACCCCAGAGTCATTCACCCCACGGCCACTCACCCACAGTCACTAAAGCCATGTCACTCACCCCACAGTCACTAAAACCATGTCACTCACCCCACGGTCACTAAAACCAGGTCACTCACCCCAGAGTCATTCACTCCACGGCCACTCACCCACGGTCACTAAAGCCATGTCACTCACCCCACAGTCACTAAAACCATGTCACTCACCCCACAGCCACTAAAACCATGTCACACACTGCACGGTCATTCACCCCACAGTCACTAAAACCATGTCACTCACCCTCACAGTCACTAAAACCAGGTCACTAAACCTATGGTCACTCATCCCACGGTCACTAAAACCAGGCCACTCGCCCCACGGTCACTAAAACCAGGTCACTCAACCTACAGTCACTCATCTCACGGTCACTCATCCCATGGTCACTCACCCTTAAGGTCACTCACCCTCACAGTCACTCACTCCACAGTCACTCACTCCAGGCCACTCACCCACAGTCAGTCACCCTCATGGTCACTTGGTCACTCACCCCACAGCCACTCACTCCAGGCCGCTCACCCCGTGGTCACTGAAACCTGGTCATTCACCCCGTGGTCACTAAAATCTGGTCACTCACCCCGTGGTCACTGAAGCCTGGTCACTCACCCCGTGGTCACTAAAACCTGGTCACTCACCCCGTGGTCATTCACACCAGGTCACTCACCTCACAGTCACTTGCCACCGTCACTGTTAGCCACCCTCACCAACAGCACACCAGGCCCTCTGCCACCCCGGCAATGCCACCCTGGCAGCTGATTACCCTGGACACCACCAAAACCAGCGGCGCACTCTCTATCCCATCCACGCCACTGCCCCGTCTACATGCTTCACCCCAGGGCTCCCTGCAGCCTCTGTGTGTGGTCAGGGAGCCAGGGCAGGGGCCCCCAGGGGCTCTGGGCACCGGGCAGGTGTCACTCTCAGGAGTAAGCACCGTGCGGTGATGAATGGTGGGCGGGGGCACCGCCACGAGTTTAACAGCCGGCATCGGATTATGCGGCTCAGCCTGGAACCAGCGCATTATGAAGGCTAATGGATTTTTGAGGCCACATTGATTTTTCATTAATTTGGTAAAAATCTTTTTCCTCTCCCCTATAATTCTGTCTTAAAACGCTCCCCCTGACAGCTCGATAAGTCACTCCTGCCTTAATGCATGTCTGGCGCACGGTCTAGGGGCCGAAGGGGGTGTGGGGGGAGCTGGAGCCGCGGGGGCCGCCAATACCCCCCACCAGGTAAACACTGAGTTATGCCCGGGCGTGCAGCCCAGCTATCACGGGGTGGGTGCCCAGTAGGGTTATCCCACCAGGTTGTGGGCAAGGCCTCTCCGTGGCGCAGGCATCGGTGCCTGGGCCACTGGCTCAAGACAGCACAGCCTCTGGGGCAGAGCCCTGTGAGGAGGGGGAAGCCGGAGACCCTACTCCCAGAAGGGGTGGACAGGGCCAGGCCAGAGCCCTGACTCCAGAGGAGACAGCCTTGAGAGGGGCCTGCCCAGGCCTCTTGTCCAGCCTACCCCAGCAGCTCTCAGGCTCCCAGACCCAGGAGACCCACCCCAAGCCCAGCCTGGGCTGCTGACCCACAGGGGCCCCTGCCTATCTCCCTCCGCAAGGGCTCCCACCCAAAGCCGGGCTGCACTTGCCCTTAGGTGGACAGAGCTCACCACTTCTGCTCAGTTTTGTCCCCTCCCTTCCTCTTTCCCCACTCCTCTCTCTCTCCTCCCGCTCCTCTTCCCCTCCTCCCCACCCGCAGCACAGCCCCTGTGCCCCAAGTCTCCTCAAACTCCTCTCCAGGGGTCCCCAGGCAGTCCTCCCCTCAGGTCCAGCCCCCAACCCTCTCCCATGGCTTTGGGTGACCCCCAGGTCCCCCTGAGTCCCCCTCCAGCCACAGAGTGTGCACCCAGCAGCTTCTTGGAGGCCGCCCCCCTGGGAACCCACTGGCATCCCGACCAGCGGGCCCACCTTGGGCTGAACCCCCAACCTGCCCCTCCTCTGCTGACACCCAGGCTGAGACATCCCCTGGCGCCCCCCACACCCCGCCCAGCACCCTCATAAGCCGTGCTCTGGGGTGATGCCCCCTGGTCCTTGGGTGCAGGCGCCAGTAGCACCCACCAGGCATCGGCGCAGCGCCCCAGGCAGTACCCTCTTGGGGCAGCCCCCCATAGGGGCCCAGGTCCCCTTCCACAGGCGGCCTGCCCTCCCATGCCAGCCCTGCTTGGCCCGCACTCCTTCCACACCATGCTCGCCTGGAGGTGCAGCGGGAACCAGGCCTCTCACACCTCCCCGAGCTTCCTCTGCCCTGAGATGCAATCTCAGCCTCCAGATGGTCAGCCCCGCAGAGCCAGGCCTGTCTTCACCGCTGACAGCCCAGAGCCCAGCATGGCAGAGAGAGTTTCCAGCGGCTCTCCTGAGCTGAACCTAGGTCAGCCTGCCATGCGTCTCCCAGCTGGTGACCTGCTCACCCCCGACCTTGGCTGCATCTCCCCCACCACTGGCTTCTACTCCCTCCCCCAACTGCTCACTGGGAGTTGTGGGCAGAACAGAGATGTGGTCAAGACTGGGCCTGGTCCTCAGGGAGCACCGGGGACCTTGTCAAGGCCCTGAATCTGCAAGGCTCCCTTAGCAGCTCCGTCTGCAGATGAAGAGCCTGGGGCCCCCGTGACAAGCTCTTAGGCGTTATCTTCTGACTTCCAGGCGCACCTCATGTGTCATAATGATCACTGGGATGTGCAGGACATAAGAAGCGCACACAGAGAGGGGCCAGGGCTCCAGGGGGCTCCTGGGAGGCAAGTGTCCAGCAGCAGGTGCTCAGTCATCGCCGATGGGCAATGAGTGGCCATGAGGACAAACAGGAAGGCAGAAGGGTGGCACTGCAGCCTCCACCGCCCACCCTTCCCTGGAGAAGTGGGTGCCCCTTCCTCCTGCTGACTTGGAGAGGTCGTCACCCCCGCTGCAGATCCCCAGCCCGTCCCACCTTGCTCTCTGGAGCCAAGAAAAAAACAGTGGAGGCCGGGCACGGAGGCTGGGCTCGGAGGATGGGCGTGGTGGCTCACACCTGTCATGCCAGCACTTTGGCAGGCCAAGGCGGGAGGATAGCTTGAGTCCAGGAGTTCAAGACCAGCCTGGGCAACATGGTGAAATGTCTCTACAAAAATACAAAAATTAGCTGCGTGTGGTGGCGGGCACCTGTAGTTCCAGCTACTTGGGAGGCTGAGGTGGGAGGACTGCTTGAGCCCAGGAGGCAGAGGGTGCAGTGAACCGAGATCGCGCCACTACAGTCCGGTCTGGGTGTCAGAGCAAGACTCCATCTAAAAAAACAAAACAACAAAAACGTGGGGACCAGGCAGAGAAGCTAATGCACTGAACGCCATGGTGGGGGTGAGGGGACCACCGCCATGGGGCAGCTGCCGAGAGGAGTGAGCTGGAGGTGAGGGCAGCAGTGATGGGGGAACTGATATCACTGGTGACGGCCTCATGGGGACCAGAGATTGGTGTGGGGAGGCTGGGGTATGTGCTGTCCACTCTATGACAGGGGCAGGCGACGTGATGTCAGCAGTGGGTGGGGACAGTGATGTGCCATGTGACCTCGGGTTGGGGAGAGTGGTGGGGGGTGTGACATCAGGAGTTGGGGGGGAATGGTGGTGTGTATGTGACCTCGGGGGTGGTGGAAGGGGACGGTGGTTGGGCTGTGACCCTGGTGATGGTGGGGAGGGTAGTGGGGTTGTGGCTTTGGAGTCCCATCTCTTCCTCTCACATCGGGAGGGTTACAGTGGCCACAGGCAGGCCTCCAGTGCCCTGGAGGTGGCTAAGGATGTGGCCAAGGACATGGCCACAGGCTGTCAGCCTCTCTCCTTATGCTGAGAAGCTGAGGCTAAACTCAGCCCTCTAAGCTTGTCTGCTACCGAGGCCTGACCTGGCCCCTGCCACCTCTCAGGTGGACAGCAGCACCACCTAGGTGACCCAGAGCTCCCAGTGCCACCTCCGCCACCCTGGCTTGAGGCCTCACTGGGTCTAGGCCCCATGCCCTCTTCTCCTCAGGGCCCCTCCCGGCTGCCCACTCGGCACCCCCGTCCTGGGGGGTCTGAAGCCCGTGGAGCCGGTTTCTATCTGGAGCTTTGCGGAGCGCCCCCAGTCCCCGCCTTCCGCTGCCTCCCCTCCAGGATCAACCCCTGGGCACTCTGGACCTCCATGCCATGTCTGCAGATGGTCCGCGGTGCTGTCTGCGCATGAGGACAGCTGTAGCCTTGCCAGCCCACCGGCCACTGTGGCCCACCTCGCACAGGCACAGATCCTGACCATGGCCGTTGGGAACAGGGAAAACATAGTGCTCTGGGGACTGTGGGAGGGTGCGGTGGGAGGGGGGTGCTGGACAGGGCCTGACCCCCAACACCTGCAGGCAGTCTGCATTCACTCATTTTCCAGAACTGCTGGCTTGAGGCGGCGGGAGAGGCTGGGAGGGGGTGAGGAGGAGAGTGAAGTGGGCGACCCTGCCCTTGGCTCACCTCGGTCTATCCCCAGTCCCCACAACCCATCCATCCTCGTGCCCCGCAATCCATCCCCAACCTCACTCCCAGCCCTGTCCATCCCCAGGCTCCCGCCCCCACCCCTCCCCACTCCCTCTCCCTGTGTTAATCCCGCTCACTGCTGACCCAAGCAAAACAGAGTCCGCCTTCTCCCTTCTCGGCAGTTTTCTGTTGGCAAAGCAGAAAGGACGGCAGCGCAGGCTCAGCCCAGCCTCCTGCCTGGGGACCACTCTGAAAATGGAGCATCACCCCGTGGGCCCCAAGCCTGGGCAGGGTGCACACACGGTCTCGGTGTGCCATCGGCCCCTGCGCTGCTCGACATCCGTCGTGAGCCCTGGCTCCGCGTGGGCATGGGGAGTAGGTCGGGACCATACTGTGGCCGCAGCAGCTCCTGGGTGCCGGCCCCTCCCTCCCAGGCAACATATGCCCCACACATCCAGGCACTCACGGACATGCCGGTGCCATCCCTGCCCTCGGCCCATCTGTGACACAGTGCCCAAAGTGATAAGGCTGGCCCAGAAAGTGGGGGCTAAGGCCCATGCATGGGGTGTGTCCAGGCCGGGCCATCTGAGGAAGGGACACTAACCCGTCCCTAAAAGCCAAAAAGGTGCTAGCCAGAAACGCCCAGGAGTGCGCAAGCAGGACTTCAAGGGAAGAGAACGGGCTCCACTGAGGCCGCGGTGTGGCGCTGCGGGGGGGGCAGGCAAGCACCAACACGTGCTGCTGCAGGGACAGCCTTGAGCCGGCCCCTCGGGGCAGCTGTGCCCCCCGGGAAGCCTCACCCAGTGGCTCTCACCGCACAGCCTGCGGACCGAGCGCTCCCCAGCGGCCAGCCCTGCCTTCCCCCAGCCTCGCAGCCTCGCCCTGATCCTGCTTTGCTCCCTAGCCTGGGCAGATGGGACAGGACCCTGAGCTGCCGCCTCCTGTGTGCTGGCCCCAGGGGCTGCACTGCCCTCTGGCGGGGCACAGGCCACAGCTGGCCCCGGGGGTGAAACTGCAGGTCCTGCCAGGCCAGGCATCACACCCTTGACCAGTCCCTGAGGAGCCATGGTGATGCCCCCCCACTCTGCCCACCGCTGCCGACTCTGCTGCCTGTGTGGACTTGGAGTCCCGTGGGTGGGCTGGACAGGGCAGTCCCCTGTTCAGCAGGCCCCTGCGCCGGGCAGGCAGCCACCAGCTACTGCAGGGATGAGGATGGGATGGGGCGCGGTCCCTTCCCGCAGCCCAGGGGCTGTCTGGCAGGACTCCCACAGATGCCGGAGGGGCATGGTCCAAGTCTGAGGGGCTGGGCTGGTAGGCATCCGCTTTCTCTTCTGGAGAGCAGCCCCAAGTGGAAGGTGGGGAGGGGGACCCCCCTCCTGCCCAGCCCTGCCTTGACTAGAACTCTGGACCCCAGATCCCAGGACCTCCGCCCCCCTCCCCCTGGCTGGCAGCAGGACCTCAGGGCCCCCCACATCGCCACAGCACCCCTGTGCACCAGGCTTCCTCCACTTCACAGGACGGAGGCGGTGACGGGAGCCAGGTCCCAGCCACGTGTGGCTTCAGCTGTGAGGCCCCCCCTCTGTGGCAGAGGGACACGACGGCGGGGGGGGGGGCAGCAGGGGAGGAGATGGCCTGGGGCAGAGGGCAGGGCCAGGAGCACAGGCCCAGGCTTGGTGGCAGCCAGGGGAGAGGCATGTGTGGGCAGGGGTGGGACGGGTTGGGCGCACCCCAGGGGTCTGCGGTGGGGAGAGGCGTGCTCTCTGGGCAAAAGCCCCCTCCCCCAGGCTATGGTGGCCTGGCGCCCACCATGCAGGAGGCAGGTGGCAGCTCTGTCCCCAGCTTGGGTCTCGACAGGCCACAGGAGGTGGGGAGTCCCTGCACTTCCCAGACAGGGCTGCCACCCTGTCATCCCCAGTTAGTGCCTACTGGCCTCCTTGATCCACAGTTTTATTAACCAAATTAACACGTGCTGGGGAGACCTGCGTGACCTTGGCCCATTCTGCTGAGACAGGGATTTTCCCACAAGGGCAAGTGGGGGACCTGGACCCCCACCCCGGCTCAGGCAGGTTGGGGAGCCCTGCCCTCCTGCCCAGGAAGATCGCGCCGCGGCGCCTGCGTCTCTGGGACCCCAAACACCCTACTTGCACCCCCATTTTCTTGGCTGAAGCACGAGGGAGGTGGCAGCGCAGGGCCCTGGACCCTGGAACCAGAGCCTGGGATGCAGGGCAGGCTGCTCTCACCTGCGGACCCTCGGAAGGGACTGGACAAGAGGGCAGGGGTCTCGCAGAGCTGGGGGCCGCCTTTCTACCCGGGGTCTTTGCCTCAGCCCTCCCAAGGCGCACCTGCCCGTGCCGCCTCCCAGGGCTGCTGAGCGGGTGGCGGCTGCCCCCTAGTGGCTGCAGGGAATGACTCCCGCTGGCCCTGTCTCTTCCGGAACCTGCCAGGCCCTGGGGCCCTCGGTGGGGGCCTCCGCTCCGGCTCCGGCTCCGTGGCTCCTCTTGGGTGCAGCCCTGACTCTGCAGCCCTTCCCACCCTCTCCTCTTGGTGCCCAAGTCCTGAGCCCACTGCTGTAGGGGTCCTGGAGGTGGTGTTCTTGCCGACGGCCTTTGGGGGCCATTGTCCACCCAGTACACGGAGGCCTGGAGGCAGCCCTCACTTCCCCTGCTTGAGACACTGACAGCTCACGGCCTGTGGAGGCCAGCAGGAGCGGCCCAAGCAGGCTGGGGAGGGCTGGGGGCCCATGCAGGCCCCAGGCTCAGAGAGAAGTGACACGCCCAGGAGCTGGAGGGTGGCACCCATGCTCAGAGCAGGACAGCAAGGCGGGCAGCAGGGCTGGCAGGCTTAGGGCCACCATGAGACCTGGGCCACGACACCAGGGACTCCTGGGCAAACGGGACACTTGCTGGGTTGACCAGCACAGAGCCCATGATGACCAGCACAGGGCGCAGAGGTGGGGAGTCCCTTGCTCTGTGCACAGACAGGACAGCAGGAAGTATTTTGGGGGAAGGCCATGTCTGGGACCCGGCCTAGAGGTCTGCGGGTGCTGTGGGTGTGTCTGGCTGCTGCATGGTGGAGGGGCAGTGAGCGAAGGGGTGCCCAGCAGGAATCACTGGGCACCAGGCAGAAACTTGGCTGGAGGCAGGACTGAGACCTCAGGGTCTGTGCCCAGGGCAGCAGCAGGGTGGACAGAGCCCGGGGGTACAGATGGGATGGCTGTGAGGAGCACCCTGTAAGGAGCCCTCAGGGTGGGGCAGCCCCAGGAAGCTGACCTCAGACCGACAGAGGGACTGGCATCCTTCTGTGTGTGGGTGAAGAGGCCACAGCTCCCATCACTGGGCTCAGACAGGTCTGACCAGTCTTTAATGGGCAGGCAGGTGCCCGAGGCAGCCTCCAGCATGAGGCGGGACAGGCATTGCCCGGAGGTCCTCTGGGTGGGGAGGGCATGCTCGGTGCTTGCTGCCAGCTGGAGCCAGGGCTGAGGCGTGCAGGGATCCTGGCCCTCACGGCCACCCTGGGTGCTTCAAGGATGAGGGCGGAGCTGGCTTCACTGGGGCACAGGGCTGGGGGCAGCCTCCAGTCTTGCCCTGCTGGGCCTTTCGGCTCCAGTTGAGGAGGGGCCGGGGACTGGCCCACGTGGATGCCGGGGTCTTGCAACCATGCTCCCTCTGGCTCCTTAGAAGCCCCCTGGGGCCCAGCAGGACGGGCCGGCGGTCCCCCTGCAGCAGGGACAGAGACAGACTGTGGTCAGCCACTGCTGGCCTGTCCCCACCTGCAGCCAGTCTGGGAGGGGTGAGAACCACCTGGGAGGGGCTGGCACGTCGGGGGCTTGTTTGGGGGCTCCCATCAGGGTGGCCACATAGCAGGGGCCCATGGGTTTCACCCAACCCTGGGTCAGCCATGCTGGGTAGAGAAAACCTCTGGGATGGAGCGCCTGGCCCAGAAGCCTCCAGTCTGAGGATACAGAGGCCCAGTGAGGGGTGGGCTGCAGCATCCTCGGGGTCAGGGCAAGAGCTGCCAGATGGAGGCCACAGCACAGGTGGCCCCTGCCCAGGAGGCGGCCCAGGGAGGGTTACCTGCAGCCCCACCTCCCCTTCCCAATGTTGCTCAAGCATCCAAGGCAGGCCCAGGGCCAGGGTGGTGACAGCAAGCTGGGGACCGCCCCTCTGGGGCCCCAGGGGCTCACCAAGCTGGGCAGTCTAGAGCTGGGCAGCAGCGACACCACCTGCAGGCTGGCGCCCGCCTCTCCCGCAGCCTTCAGCTCCGTCACCACCTCCGCGTGTCTCCACCACCTGCATGGCTGCCCATTCACTGACACAATGTAGTCGCCCTCCTTCAGGCCAGCCGCCTGTGGGGAGACTTGGACGGTGAGGTGGGGACAGGACACCCTGGCTGGCACCAAGGACTCAGCCTCAGGGGGCCGGCGGGGCCCTTACCGCGGCCTGGCTCCCTGGAATGACGGCAGCGATGAGGACAGGCGAGTCTCCCCGAAGCGTGAGGCCAAAGCCGCCCTCTCCTCGGGTCAGGTGGACGGGCCCCACCAGCCGCCACCGGTTCTTGGCTGAGAACACAGACAGGGGCCCCTGGCAGGGGCTCAGAGGTCAGAGGCCCAGCTGGGCCACACACTGAGGAGACCCCGCCTGACTAGCACATCCATCCAACCTGTGCACCGAGGGACACCGTGGGGTTCCACAAGGTGGGTGGGGAGGGCTGGACCACCATCAATGGCCTGTCTGAGGCCATGTGCTGGTCAGAGCCACACAGCCCAAGCTGCCCATGCTGGGCGGTGCCTGGGGACGGGTGTGCTCACCAGCCGATGGAAGATGTCAGGCCCCTTCCCCTGGGACAGGCGTGGCATCCTGGCCTCTGGCTTCTGGTGGGTCTTAGCTGAGAGGGTGTAAGAGCAGAGCTAAGCTGGGAGACTGTGGAGACCTGCCTCGGGGATTTTCCAGGGCGCAGGGCATGACCCTGAGTGCACACAGGCCCCGCTTCTGACCTCCAGGCCTGGCCACTCTGCAATGGTGGGAGGAGCTGCCCCAGGTGTGCCCTGAACACACGGCCCCCTCTGCCCCAAGTGGCTCCCAAAATCCCTCCCTGAAGTCCCAGCCATGCCTGTCCTGGGTCTGTGGGCTTCCCCTCAGGGTAGGAGGCCAGTGCAGGGAGGGAGGTGCTGAGGAGCGTGGTCATCCCCCAGGCCCCTGAAGGGCCCAGCAGCTCTGTGGGTCCCTGTGATCGTGGCCTGGAAAGTGCTACTGCTGTTTAATTCATCGTGGTGACTGCATCTTTAATGCAATCAGCCTCCCTTTCTCCAGGACGAAGGCCCCCACCCTGGCCAGGGATGCAGCCACCCAGACAGGCCCTGGCTGCTCACGCTGGATGTCCGGGGCCTCGGCAGCCTCACAGAAGTCATCCTCACGGTCGAGCTCCGCATACTTGGCCAGTGAGCGCTGCAGCGTCTGGGAGATCACAGCCCGAAGCAGGTCCACCTCGCGCAGGACGCGGCACAGGGCGTGCAGCCGCAGCGCCTCCTCCTGCCCCAGGATGGCACGCTTCAGGTGTGCCTTGCCTGCACGCGGGGCACTGGGATGTCACACACCATGTGGGCCCGTGGGCCCTGGGACGTGGCAGAAGGAGTGGGCAACGCCAGGGCTGTGGGGCTCATCACAGCCACTTTCGTTGGGGGTGCGCGCCACGGGGGTGAGGAGCTGGCTGTGCAGGAGGGCTCTGCCACGTGCAAAGCAGGGGCCAGGGATGAGCTGCTCCCAGTGGTCTCCCACCTGCTCAGAGGCTGCCCAGCACTCCTGGGGCCCCTGCGCTGGGCCGTCACCCATCAGGCACAGGCCATCCAGGGATAGGTAGGTGGCCCAACTCGTCAGCACGGGGACAGCAGGTGGCAAACAGCATGAGGGTGGTGGGGGACACCCTGCCACCGTTGGTGACCATCTGAGCCCCAGGGCACTCCACCCATGGGCGCCTTACCAAGCTGCCTGCGCTCCTCCAGCTCCTGCGGCAGCACAGGGCCTCGGGGCTTAGAGGAGGTGGGGGGCTGCAGGAAGACCTGCTCGTGCGTGGGGAGCTCTCCCTCGGTCGCTGCTGGGGGACAGAGAGGCTGTGAGCCCTGCGCGGGGGGGCCTTGGCAGTACCATGGGCAAGTGTGGTGGGCACTCACGGGAGCCGTCGCAGAGGGCCATGGCTACGTGGTAGTGGGCCAGGGAGCGGAAGTACTCGGCCTTGACATGCACCAGGGCAGTCCAGGAGACAGGCACGTAGTCGTGGACGGGTGGCTGGGCCATGGTCCGGTGCACTAGCCTGTACTCGGCTGCCACCTGCCGGTGGATGTGGCAGGCACGCGAGGGCCTCCCACTCTCCAGGTGGTGCCTGCTTCTCCCTACCCAGCCTCCACCTGCTCCGACCACCATCCCAGCAGCCTCCCTGGCACCTCAGTTCCTGCTGCTTTGTGCCATCCCCTGGAGGCAGAGGCTCGGGTCCCCAGGTTCCTGACCAGCCCCCCCAGGGAGCAGGACAACAGCTGGCTCGGGGCTGACACACAAGGAAGGAGGTGGGAGAGCTCACGCATGCCTGGACCTGGGCTCTGACCCCAGCTCGGCCCCACCCCCTGCATCCTGACACGGGTGCCCGAGCTCACCTGGGCGGCCTCCTGCGCCAGGCGCAGCTGGGCCAGGCAGTCTTGGGGGGCCATGGAGGCAGGTGGTGAGAGGCCCTCAAACACACATTCCTGGGCCTGGGCCATCATGAGCTGCTCCAGTGCGCAGAGGGACGCAGCGCTCATGTCTGGGCTCGGCGCATGGGAGAAGTTCTCCCTCAGGAGGCTGAAGGCCCCTGCGGAGGGAGGGGTGCTCACACAGGCAGGGCCCTGTACCTGCCCATCTCTGCCCCATGCAGCACTCAGGGCGGCCAGCTAGGGATGCTCCTGGGACACATATGGACCTGATGTGCTCACTCCCCCTACCTGAGGGACTGATGTCCTAACCACTCCCCAGCTCCTGCCCTGCAAAAGGGGCTCTGCAACACCCTGGCACCGCGCCGTGCCCCACCGCGGCCCGGGCCGCCCTCACCAGCGGCCCTCTGGAAGGCCTCCATAGCGCGGCGGGCACCCTCGGTGCAGGAGCGGTCCTGGCGCGCCCCAATCTGCGTGTGGAGGGCACCGATGTTGAAGAGAACGCTGCCCTTCTCGAAGGCCAGGGCACGCTGCTGGGCCGGGACCCCAGTAAGCGAGTCGTACCTGCAGTGTTGGGTCAGGCTGGGTGGAGTTCCCACGGTTCCCGCAGCTGGGCCTCCCCTCCCCAGGGTGCCTCCGCCCGCAGAGCCCCTACCAGTGGAAGAAGAGCCCGAGGCTCCTGGCAGGGGTGAGGAAGCGCGCATCCAGGAAGCACAGCTGGTTGTAATAGGCTGTGAGCAGCTCCAGGCCCGACTCATTCCGGCTGGGGGTCCGCATGGCCTGCAGGGCAGGAGCCACTGGGCCCCACCGCCCTGGCCCACCCCACTCACACACACTGCCCTGGGAAGTCCCATGGGCACCAGCACCATGGGGGGCGGGGAGGCAAAGCCAGTGGGGCCCTGGGCAGCCGTGACTCCCGAAGGCCAGCAGCATGCGGCACCGGAGCCACCTGGGAGCCCCTCCACGCCCCCTGGCTGGGTCTGGACACACAGGGCCCCTGGTGCGCCCGTCTCCCCACGTCCTCGAGATGTCTACGCTGAGCTCCTCTGTCTGTTCCTGACTTCAGCTTCAGCCTCCGCATGTGTCTCCCAGGGCTGCAGGAGGGTGGGTGGGCGGGGGAACCACACACCTGCCGCAGGGCCTCCAGCTCCCTGATTTCTGCCTCGTAGGAGGCGCCGTCCTCTCCAAAGTGCACTGAGATCAGCTCCTGATGGGGGGCAGGTGTTGGCATCCACAGTACCCCTGTGCCTGGCCTCCTTCCCTGAGGTCTCCCAACCCACCTTGGGAAAAGACTCATGGTGGAGGGAGGGTCTGTGCCGCAGAGCAGGCTGGCTGCCATGCAGCGTGGGGGCCCTGGGCCCCTCAGTGGAAGCCCCAGAGAAGGGCTGGGGGCCAATGTGTATGGAGGGGCCTGGTGGGTTGATGCGGGTCGGAGCCCCTGTGGCCCTGGGGTTTCCCCACCCCATCACAGAAGCGGGGCCTGGAGACTCAGCGCTACTTTTACGTGCGTTTCCTTATTCATCCCCGTGGCCGGGAGGCAGGTGCCATCTGCCACTCAGTGACTCGGACACGGAACACAGTCAGTGGCTCCCGTGGGGCCCTGCCAGGCAGTGCCAGTCTGTTCTAGCTCTCCCCAGGACCCTCGTGAGCCAGTGCTGGGTGTGTGGCCCCAAGCCAGTGGTGCCCTCCATGGGCGAGCCTGTACCCTGTGCTCCGGCTGGGGCTTCCAGGCCCCATCCTCCTAGGGCATTGCCCATCCGAGGGTAGGGCACATGTTCACACCCACTCTATGGGATCAGCCCCGGCCTGGGGCGCAGGCACCAGCGGGGCCCTGAACGCAGCAGAGGCTGGGTCCCTGTGGCCATTTCTGCCAGGTCCCTTGCGTCCCTTTTAAGCCTCCCTCCCTCTGGGCCTCAGTTTCCCTATCTGTTCAACCAGACAGCTGGACCAGAAAGCCTCCAAGACCCCCTTGGTCCCAGGGCAGGGCCGTGTATCTCAGAGCTTGGAGGCCAGTACCTACCTTCAGCGGTGTAGACCAGTCCAGCTCCTTGGTCTCCTTCAGGCCCAGGGGGATCATGGGGACAGTGACAGCTTCGCTGTAACCAGAAGCATCGACTTCAGACTGTAAGGCCAAACCCTGCTGCCCACGGCAGCCCGGGGTCCACTCCTAGGGCTCTGTGGCACAGGGTGCCTCCCTCCCTCATGGGTGTGCACGTGCGCCTGTGTCCTGGGGGGCATCCTTGCACCTGTGCACCACCCCCCACCGTCCTAAACCGCCCCAAAAGCAAACACACACACACAGAGACACACACATGCGCGCGCACACACACACACAAACACATGCGTGCATACACATGCAGACACACATGCGCACGCACACACATATATGCACACACGTGCAGACACACACACGCGCACACACAGACACACACAGACACACGTGCATACACGCACACATAGAGGCAAACACACACCCACATACACGCAGACATGCACACGCACGCAGACACGTGCACACAGACACACGCACAGAGATGCACACACAGACACATGCAGACACACAGACACACGCGCACACAGACGCATGCACACACATGCACACACATATACACACAGAGACACACGCACACACACAGAGATGCACAGACACATGCACACAGACACACGCGCACAGACATGCATGCACACACATGCACACACGCACACACACAGACAATGCACACATATACACACAGAGACACACATGCGTGCACACACATGCACACACACACGCACACGTGCACACACATACACGCACGTGCTGTCCCGGCCCCCACCCGCACCTCCCATGCCGGCCAGGGTCCACGCCACCGCTGAGCTCCTCCAGCTCCTCCTTCAGCAGCTGCAGGTTGGAGTTGACGTAGCTCAGCTCCAGGGCGACCGTCTCTCTCACCCGGTTGTTGCTGGTGGCTCTGAGGGAGGCCGCGGCAGTTGAAAGCCCAGCCCCAAGGCAGAGCCAAAGGCCCCGTGCCCACTGCAGCCGTCCTGCCAGCTGACCTGTCAAAGCTCCAAGCCCACCCTGCAGAGGACGTCGCTGACAGGGTCTGCCCCCCATGGGTGGGGCAGGGGCAGCAGTGGGATCCGGGGGCTCACAGGTGATGCCCCCTACAGTTCATCACCCCGACCCCAGCACCTGCATGTTCCGACTCTGGCCTGGGGGCACCTCCCTCAGCACCACGGCTTTCTTTGGGGCTCATACAGCCCTCGACAGCACTCAAACATCACTCCTTGGATGGTGGGTGAGAGCCACACACCTCTCTGTGCCTGCATCAGGGCCTGGCAAAGGGACCGGAGGTCCCCAGGGAAGGCCAGGATGGGGGCAGGGAGGTAGCAGGTGCTAAGGGGACCGAGGGGCACTCACACGCACATGTGTGGCACACAGGCGGTGTGCTCTAAGGAAGAGGCAGCCCAGGTCTTCCACCCCCTCCCAGGTCCCCAACCTTGGGACGCGCCATCACCTGCCACAGCTCAGCCTCAACCATGCCTCTTCTGAGAAGCCCCCACGTGCACTGTTGGGGCTTCCCAAGCTGCACACCCGGCAGGGACACTGGTTTCCTGGCACCTCCAGCCCAGCACAGAGGCCCACGGAGGCAGGTCTGTGAGGGTCATGGCTGAGCATCACGTGTACTACGTGCCCACCAGGACCCAGCTGCTCATGCACCTGTCTCTGTGACCCGGCCATGGGGCAGACATCTGCCTGCGTGGCTGTCCTGCCCCCCTCACCCAGGTGGGCCCTGCTCCCGGGGCCGGGCAGTCTCAAGCACTGACCTGTAGAGGTTCTCAGCGCCCGTCCGCATCTGCAGCTCCTTGTCAATCTGCTGGTGAATCTGGGCCCTGCGGCTCTGCAGCTGGCCGCACTGGATCTGCGTCAGGGAGTCACAGCCCTGCAGGGAGGCCACAGGCGATCACAGCCCGACCCCGTGGCGCCCGCACCAGGCTGCGCCTCGCCAGCCACTGAGAGGAGTGCATCCTGCCCATGGGTAACGGGATGGTCACCATGCGCTGGGGCTGGAGCTGGCCTCACAGGGAGGGGCTGGACAGAACTAGTGTGAACACAGGCCTGGCCAGAGCAGGACAGGAGGCAGTCAATGCAGAAGGACGTGGTCGGTGGGGTAAGCTGCTGACTCGTGATGGGGGTCAGCGGGGGAGGCTGGCACCTGCCAAGGACACCAGAAGCCAGGGTCTCACCAGGCAGCCTGGACAAGTAGGGGCTCCGGGAGCCCTGCAGGAGGCGGCCCACTGCTCCTCACAGCCTTCCTTCTGCGCTTCTGGATTTCATTCTGGATCCCCCCCTTGCCCCTCCCAATTTTTTTCCCATCCAACTCACCCACGCCTCCAAATCATTCCCATGTGGGTTTAGGCGTGGGCTCAAAGGACAGGGTCCCTGAGGCTCTGGGGGCGGCCACTGGCCCCCGATGGTTGGTGCAGAGGCTGCGGTCTGACTTTGGGAATGGTTCTCGAAGCGAACGCACACCCGTGCCCTCCCTATCCACAGAGAAATGACTCTGAGCCTTGCACCCAGACTGCAGCCCCGCGGCCCTGCCCAGCACCAGCCATGGCGAAAGAGTGGGGCGTGCCCAGCGGGGCCCCTTCTGGACTTTGATGGCTCCTGTGTCGTCAGTGGTGCCAGCGTGCTGGAGCTTACATTTCACTCTAGGGAGATCCAGTTTCATGCCTCAGCCCACCCCACCCTTGTGGTGTTGGGGTCCTGCCCACATGATCCTCACGTGTCCCTCCCTCTCACCATGGCCTCCCAACCCCCACTCTTCCCCGTGGCCATGTGGGAATGCCTGGGTCTCCACCCGGACAAGATTATTTGCAGCTACCTGTGGCTGTCCCCTGGGTGGGCTCCCAGGCGTGGGCTGGCTGGCTTGCCTCTCCAGCACCCACTCCTTCCATGCTTTGAGACCCACAGTGCTGCTCAGGGCTCACTGCTCAGGGACACTGACTCCCACCCAGCCCTGGGGCGAGCCTGGTCTGAGTCAGGCGTGGCCAACCTGGCCATTTCTGCCAGTCAGCAGCAAGACAAGGCCTCTGGTGGCTCCTGGGACTGCTTCCCGCCCTTGTCGGGAGACAGGACCTCTTCTTCCCCAGGACCTTGTGGCGTCTGAAGGTGAATCTTGCCACCATGAAACTGACCTACCACTGCATGAAGCTGCGGATTCATGGGGCCAACGTGCACACGCACTGGGTCTTCCCCTCTGTGGACCCGACACCCTCTCCACGCACACACGTCTCTCAGGCCTTCCCGTCTTCCCCGTAAAGAGCTCACACGTGTTTTCCTGGGTTTTCTCCTAGATATCTGGAGAGAGTTCTTTTTGCTAATGTGAACGAGATCTTTGTGTGCATTTTAATTAGTTTATTCCCATTATACAAGAAAGGTTTGATTTCCTAGACAGAAGGCCTGCTCGTCCAGCCCCCCAAAATCACAGCAGCCAGCTGAGCGGGTGACCATCTATTATGGGTGAATTGTGTCCCCACAAAAGACAGGTTCAAGTCCTGACTCCCAGTACCTGTGACTGCAATTTTTCTAGAAATAGGGTCTTTGCAGATATAATGAGTTAAGATGAGGCCACCCTGGAGTAGGGGGTCCTTAATCGCAGTGACAAGGGTCCTTATACGAGGTGGGGAATTTGAACACAGTCACATGGAGGTGGCCATGGGAAGGCAGAGACAGAGACTGGAGGATGAGGCACCGTCCCCTGGAACCCACGCCATCCCCCAAATCCCCGCCCCGTCCCCTGGAACCCGCGCCATCCCCAAACCCCCACACCGTCCCCTGGAACCCACACCATCCCCCAAATCCCCGCCCCGTCCCCTGGAACCCGCGCCATCCCCAAACCCCCACACCGTCCCCTGGAACCCACGCCATCCCCCAAATCCCCGCCCCGTCCCCTGGAACCCACACCATCCCCCAAGCCCCCGCCCCGTCCCCTGGAACCCGCGCCATCCCCAAACCCCCACACCGTCCCCTGGAACCCGCGCCATCCCCAAACCCCCACACCGTCCCCTGGAACCCACGCCATCCCCAAACCCCCACACCGTCCCCTGGAACCCACACCATCCCCCAAGCCCCCGCCCCGTCCCCTGGAACCCGCGCCATCCCCAAACCCCCACACCGTCCCCTGGAACCCACGCCATCCCCAAACCCCCACACCATCCCCTGGAACCCGCGCCATCCCCAAACCCCCACACCGTCCCCTGGAACCCACACCATCCCCCAAGCCCCCGCACCATCCCCTGGAACCCACGCCATCCCCCAAGCCCCTGCACCATCCCCTGGAACCCACGCCATCCCCAAACCCCCACACCGTCCCCTGGAACCCACACCATCCCCCAAGCCCCCGCACCGTCCCCTGGAACCCACGCCATCCCCAAACCCCCGCACCGTCCCCTGGAACCCACGCCATCCCCAAACCCCCACACCATCCCCTGGAACCCGCGCCATCCCCAAACCCCCACACCGTCCCCTGGAACCCGCGCCATCCCCAAACCCCCACACCGTCCCCTGGAACCCACACCATCCCCCAAGCCCCTGCACCATCCCCTGGAACCCACGCCATCCCCCAAACCCCCGCATTGTCCCCCAGACACCTGTGCCATCCCCCAAACCCCTGCGCCATCTGCTGGACACCCACGCCATCCCCCAGACACCTGTACCATCCCCCAAACCCCTGTACTGTCTGCTGGACACCCGCACCATCCCCTGGACACCCAGGCCGGCAGCCTCCTGCTGAGTGCTGGGGTGAGGGAGCCTGACGGAGGTCCCTGAACTGAAGATGAGTTGGCGCTTAGGGGCCGGAGGGAGGGACACAGGCGGCCGGAGGGATGGACACAGGCAGCTGGAGGGAGGGACACAGGCAGCCGGAAGGAGGGTGTGCCGGCCCAGGACCCTGGCCTCCCCCAGCCCAGCCCTGCCCCCGTGGACACCACCCAGCAGCGGACGGGCCGATGTGCACTTGGGAACCCTCACCCTGCTCCCGTTTCTCACTCCCGCCTCCTCCAGAAAAGAAATTCCCTCCAGAGCTGCTTCAGGGACTCGGGCTGGAGAGGCCCACAGGTGGGAGAGGGGCATGGGCGCCTCAGATCTGAGAAGCTCCCTGAACCTGAGGCCCGCCCACCCCCGCCTCCCATCCCTACCTTTCCCACCGGCGCTACCACCTCGAGGGCCTCTGCCCAGTACCTAGGAGACCCCCGTGCCACCCACCGCAGCTACACCCCCTCCCCGCAAAGGCCCCGCTGCAAGGCTCCAGCAGCTTTAAGGGCTCTGGCTGTGCGACGGGCATCAGACACCCAGCCAGGTCCCTGCTCCCCTCCTGGCCCCAGGAGAGCTGCGGGGAGCCTGGCCCCTTGGAGCCCCACAGGCACCTGCTGTGGGCCTGGTCCATTCCTCGGCCTCCCTACCCGCAGTGCTCCCTGCAGGCCAAGTGACTTCCCGGCCTACAGGCGGAGGAGCAGACCCGAGCCGGACCTTTGAGGCTGGGTAGACCTTGGAGGTGGGCGGCCCATGCCCCACTTTCCACACTGGGTTGAAGGTTGAGCCCAGTGGAAGGGGCATAGACACAGGCGTTCAGGCCCCTACTCCTGCTACAACCTCCCCACCCTCTGGAGACAAAGGTGACCTGGAGCTCCCCACCCCCACGTCCACGGTGCCCTGACACCCCACTGTGGCCATTTCCGCCTTGCATTAGGAAAGGACAGAGAGGCTGTGGTCTGTGGGGGTCCCGAGAGGCAGCCACACATGAAGGGCCTGGCCATGCCTCGATGGAGAGGGACGAAGAACAGAGAAACAGCCCCCCAACCCTGACACTGGGGCTCCTCTGCCCAGGAGGAAACAGTGTGGCCCTGGCCAGAGTGGGGCTGACCTGGGGACGGGCAAAAGGCAGAGATAGTTATCCCAGCCCAGGTCTGGGAACAGCAAAACATCAGAGCAGGGCCAGACCTCCACTCTCCCCCAGGATCCCCTGGCCCTGGGCCAGGCAGTCCCCAGGGAGAGGTCACCCACCTGGAGCAAACCAGCTTTTTCCCTTCAGAGCCCTGGCCCTGGGCACCCTGTATGCTGACAGCCACCCATCTCAGGTACCCCTCTCCTCTGCCCCCACTGAAGTCTCACCTGAATGCAAGAACTGGAAGCCCCAGGAGGGTGGAAGCCCAGCACCCACCTGACCCACCATCTCTGCCCCCCACTGATGAGGGAACAGAATTCAAAGGGCATTGCTGCACAGGTGTCTCCTGGGACACAGGGCTATAAGCAGCACGCACGCCAGAGGAATCATAGACTGGCCACTCACGGCAGGGACTCCCACTCTCTCTGATGCTCCCTGGGGTACCCAGGCACTGGTGCTTCCTGAGCACCCCTCTTCCTGGAGCCCAATCTACCTGGGCAGGGGCCTGGGAACCTGTAACCAGCACCCAGAGGGTGCTCCTGTCCAGCCAGGCTGGGGAACCTCAGGCTGACCCACTCGGCATGCTGGAGACCAGGTGAGGGGGGCACAGCCACCCTGCCCACCTGCTGCTCCAACGCTCTCCCTCTGCAGCCTGCTCCCCCTTCTCCCACTGGCCTCCCCAGGAAACCACAGAACCTTCTGCATACAGCCAGGCTGTATTCCTTGTGGTCCTCCCCCGGGAGCCCCTGCAGCCCCTGCGGGAGGGACGGCAGCTGGGTTGGCCACCCTGGGCCGTGCCAGGCTTCTCCCCTTCCCAGCTTGGCAGCCTTGGCCACTTACTCACCCTGTTCATCAGACGGGCTGAGGCCCAGGGCTTGGGAGGCACCAATGGCAGGACTCCAGCTGTAGCACTGGCCCTGGCACCAGGTAAGCGCTTGCTGGAAGCCTGCTCTCATCACGCCTGGGGCAAATACAAGTCACCCAGACCTGTCCACAGGGCCTCAGGCCCAGGTGTGGCCTCTAAGTGGATGAACGACCGACCCCTGACCCACTGAACTCTGAGCTTTAGGGCCAGTTTGGGGGCCAGCCTGATGGGGGTGGAACAGGCCTCACTCTAGCCCGGCAGCAGGCATCGGGGAAGACTTTCCAGATGGCAGGACAGCCTGAGTGGTGCGCGTGTGACACAGGGCCTGCCTCCGCCCCACTGCCACCTCCCACGGGCCCCTCCCCAGTACCCTGACTGTGGGGTCATTTCTGGACGCTGTGAGAGACACGGCAGCCTGGAAACAGCTTCTCCCCAACTTTCCAAGGTGGCAGCCCAGGGAGGGCCAGGACAGGGAGCCCAGGCACAGCCCCCAGCCTGAAAAGCGTCACCTCCGGAGCCCTCTGGGACATCTTGTTTGTACAGCCTCCCAAACATTCCACCCAAAACAACATGTGCCGTCCCAGGCCACCTGCAGGCATGGCCGCCCTGACAGAGCAAGTTCATAGGGGGCAGGCACAGGCTGCCTCTTTCCCTCCAGTGCCCAGGAGGTGCTGCAGCCTCTGGCACGCCTCGGGGTGGGCAAGAAGGGCGTCCTTGAGGGCTACGGTCAGCATCACCAGCCCAGTGACCTGAAGCCAAACCCTGGCTGATAGCACCGCCTCCTCCTCTAGGAGACCTAACCCCAAACACCAAAGCCGAGTAGAACCAGCCCAGGGACAACACAGTCTGACGTCCCAGAGGGGAGGAGGGCCGCGCGCTATCAAAGGCTCACCCGGGGCGAGGAGCAGGAGCAGCCCGCGGCTGAAAGCCCGTGGCGGGCGTGGGCGCCCAGGGCCTGGCAGGAGGACTGGGGCAGCCTCGAGCTGGTCCGCAGGGAACAAGCAGGCTCTGGGCTGCAGAGCAAGGCCCACAGACGTCCCCTCCTTCCCAGGCACAGACTCAGCAGGTCTCCACAGCCCTGCCCACCCCTCCCACTTGCCCAGTCAGCACCCCGGGTTAGGGACTTCAGAAGGGAAGGAGGTTTGGGAAGTGAGAAGAGGCCAGCCGGGAAGACCTCTCTCGGTTTCCCATACCCAGGAGGCTTCGCTGCCCGCTGCTACCAGTGCACCCAATGGGCATGCAGTTCCTGAGCGGATGCAGAGGGAGGACCGAACTAGGGAAGGAGGCTGTACAGGTGCCGGAAAGGAACACGATGGCGGGTGTGGGGAGGGCGCTCACAGAGCCCAGCCCCACATCCGCCCAGAAGGGGGACACGAGGAGGGCGTCCCCCCAACCCGCTTCAGCGGTGAGGATGATCCAGACTTTGGCTGTCCGCATTTCCCGGCTCACATGAGTGGCCTGGAAGCACCTCCACCGAGCTCAGAGGAGGAGGGACGCAGGCTCTGGCCTCAGTTTCCCTGCCTGCGTCCGGGCCGAATGAGACGTAGGAGGGGGGCGCCCGGAACGCGCCTCGAGGGGGGGCAGGAAAAGGCCGGGATTCCGGGCCCCTCCTCCCGCCGCCGCGCCAGTTCTGCGCACCTGCAGCCGCGGGCTCTCCTCGCCGGCGCCCGCGCCGTCCGGCCTCTCCTCCAGGATCATCGCCGCACCCGCTGCGCTGGGGGTCCCTCGGGGTCAGCCAGCCCGCCGCTCGCGCAGCGCTCCGCAGCCGGGCTAGGGCCGCCCGCACCACCTGGGCCGCGGGCTCCTGAGTGCCCGCGCCGGTCCCCGACTGTCCCTCCTGAGTGGGGGCGGCCCGCGGCGCGGCTGGGCGGGGCACGGGTCTGGCGTGCGAAGCTGGCCATTGCCCAATAGGCGGCAATGCCGCTTCGACGGACAGCTATATCAGCCAACCAGAGTTCCAGGAAGGCGGGCTCTGGACGGCCAGCTCCGCCCGCCCGCGGGACGGTAACCCCTGGCAACCGCGGCCGGAACGCCCGCGGCTGGCTGGCAGGTTGTACTGCGCATGCGCCGCGGCGGCCGCTGAGCGTGCGGGAGAAGTTCGGGAAACGGAGAAAAAAACTATACGGAACGTCCCAAGCTGAGAGTCAGGGCGGACCTGGACTCGGCGCGCCTAGCTCCTCGGCTCCCTTTGCGGGGACTCCAGGAGTCTGCCCGCTCGCGCCGTTTCGTCCTGTCACCCCGGCAACGGGACCCTCTAAGAGGCTTGTTCCAAAAATGTTCACAATGGGGTTTTTAAAAACGGTTTTGTTAGGGACAAGTGCTTGTGTGAGTCCTCCGACAATGCCTGCTTTCTTCTCTCTGCCCGCGGAGCGGAGGCTCCAGGCCTGGCCCCAGTCCGAGGCGCCTCTGTCGGTGTCGTCCTGCTTCCAAAACCGGCCTCCAGAACCCGCCTCCTTCCAGAACCTCCGTCCAGAACCCGCCTCCCTCCAGAACCTCCGTACAGAACCCACATCCTTCTAGCACCTGCCTCTGGAACCCACGTGCTTTCAGAACTACCTGTTTGTAGAACTTGTTTCCAGAACGAACCTGCTTTCCGAATCTCTTTACTTCCAGAGCTTGTTTCCTGGACTGACCTATTTTCAGAACCTACTTTCAAAACCAGCTTGCCTCCAGGACCACCTGCTTGGAGAACTGGCCTGCAGCCCCAGGACTGGACGACCTGAGACTGCACAGCTCCCTGCGGGGCTCACCCGGCTGTGTGTGTCCTTCCGGGCCTTCCATACTTCCCTAGGTGTCTGGTGACTCCGGAGCCCGCTCGGATTTCGTGTGGGTCTCGCCTCAGCTCAGAACACACCCTTTGAAGAGCAGGAAGGCCAGGGCACAGGCGGTAACCACGGCTCCTGGTCATCAAGTTCCTCTGAAGCCCAGGTCTTGTCCACGTTCACTGCCCCACCACAGGCCCAGCGGAGCCTTGGAGCTGAGCCCTGGGATCATTCTGGTGCCTGTGCTCCCGGCTCCGCAACAAGCACACAGGAGCCTGTCATCCCCAGATCTAAATCCTGAAGGCTAAGCTCCGTGGTCTGCCGCAGCCATCTGCAGCAGGCCCCTCCCAGCAACAGCCTTCTCATAAGGCCCCTGCCAGCCACGCGAAACCTCCTGGCTAGGGCCTGTCTTCCACTCCTGGCCTTTTGAGACAGGGCCTCACTCTGTTCCCCAGGCCGGAGTGCAGTGGTACGATCACAGCTCACTGCAGCCTCCACCTCCTGGGCTCATGTGATCCTCCCACCTCAGCCTCCTGAATAGCTGGGACTACAGGCTTGCACCACCACACCCGGCTAATTTTTGTATATTTTGTAGAGACAGGGTTTCGCCACATTGCCCAGGCCCAGGCTGGTCTCAAACTTCTGGGCTCAAGCAATTCATCTGCCTCAACCTCCCAAAAGTGCTGGATTACAGGGATGAGCCACCATACCCGGCTTTTTTTTTTCTTTCTCCTGGCCTTTTGGGGCCCTTGAAGTGTCTGCTCCCTGGGAGCCCTTCAGCTTGTCGTCCACTTGGTGGGTTCCCACCCGTCCTTCTCACTTCTGCCTGAATCACACAGGCTACATGAGACCTTCACCCACCCCCTTCGCCAGCAGCTCTGTGGTTCAAGTTTCCTCAAGGTTAGGGGCTCCTGGCCATCTTACCTGTGGGCCTGAGCATGGGCCGATGCTTCCAAAGTTCACACTGGGTGCACTTGTGTGGGGACTTCCATGTGAGTCATCTCCTTGCAGGCTGCCAAGGTCCTGTACAGCAGAGACCCAAACCCTCTTAGCAGTCTTCAGAGTCAGCTATGTGTACAGGAGGCATTACCATATCAGTGACTGTCAGCAAGCATGTGTGACTGAAATGGTATCCAGTTCTTACGTATTTGTTTTGCAGGCTTCTTGGTTCAGCAGACAGAGGCCATTGGGAAGTTAAGAGAGGCTCTCAAACTTTGAGGGTCATAAGACTTCCCCTCCCTGCAGGGTGCTGTTTCCTGAAGGAAAATATTCAATTACTATTTTCTTTATTTATTTATTGAGATGGAGTCTTGCTCTTGTCGCCCAGGCTGGAGTGTGTGCGTGTGCGTGTGTGCGTGTGCGTGTGTGTGCGTGCATATGTGCGTGTGTGCGTGTGTGTGTGTGTGTGTGTGTGTTGGAGGGGGGTGGTGCTGCCTTTTTCTTTGCATGCTTCTGTGTTACTGGATTTGGCACAGCAAGAATGTATCACTGCACTCAAAAAATTTAGAGTTTCCTTTTTGTTTTTTTAAATTATTTTAGATTTGGAGGTACATGTGTGGGTTTGTTACATGTGTATTGTGCACTTCTGAAGTTTAAAAATTTAGGGGGAAAAATGAAAGGATGGGAGGTGAGAAAGTAGAGGAGAATTTTGGTGTGACAGGCAGGGAACTGGACAGCGGCGGGAGGGGCACGGCAGTGAGCGCCGGGACCTTTTGCAGATGAGGTGATAATTGCTGATGGGGCTGCTTTATGCTCGTTTTCTCTTTTGTAATTTATAAAGAAAAAAAAATTGAGACAGGGTTTCGCCCTGTTGCCCAGGCTGGTCTTGAACTTCTGAGCTCCAGTGATCTGCCTGCCTTGGCCTCCCAAAGTGTTGGGATTATAGGTGTGAGCCACTGTGACTGGCCTTTTTTTTTTTTTTTGAGACAGGGTGGCTCTCTGTCGCCCAGGCTGGAGTGCAGTGGTGTGATCACAGCTCACTTCACTGCAGCCTCAACCTCCTAGGCTCAGGCAATCCTCCCACCTCGGTCTCCCAAGTAGCAGGGACCGCTTGCATGCGCCACCACATCCAGATAACTTTTGTATTTTTTGTAGAGATGGGGTCTCGCTATGTTGCCCAGGCTTGTCTCAAACTCTGGGCTCAAGCAATTGGCCCACCTTGGCCTCCCAAAGTGCTGGGATTACAGGTGTGAGCCGCTGTGCCTGGCCTGCTTTATGCTTTTATATGGACCAGTACTTTGCAAGTGTGAGCCTGGCAGACTCTTGCTGCAACCAGGAACATGCAGATTTTCCAGATGGGCAGGAACCTGGGCTCCTTTCTGAGCCTCCACATGTCCTGGGTGAAGACCTCAAGGTCTGGAGAGACTGACTGACTCACCCAAGGCCCAATGGCTGTGAGCGGGAAGCCAGGACTCCTCACAGCGCCAGCTTCTTCCATGCATGCCAGCCCATCTGCAGAGCCCGGTCAAGCTCAGGGGAACGCCACCACTGAACCAGAGAGGCAGCCAGGAGGAGGGGGTCTAGATAGAGAAATGTGGAAAAAGCAGCTGATTCCAGAAATTTCCTGCTTGGCCTGGATTAGGCCATGCTGGGGACTGGCTGCCCCTTGCCCAGTGGGTGCTGGGGCATTCAGGCTTGGGGTCTTTTAGGTCAGCCCTAAAAGTTGATGATTTGATGCTGATCGCTGGTACTTACTTCAGCTTTCCTTCTGGTTGGAAGCCTTAATTAGTGGAGGTTGCTGACACTGTTTATGCGCATCGGTATTTTTTTAGAATGTGGAGTGGAAGAGGTGGGCTTTGGGGGACTGGCTAAACCCCAAGAATTTAACTGGCCGTGTATTTTGGCCACTGTTGCGCCTGTTAAGATCTTGGAGTGTGGGTTTGCACCTGTATTTAGAGGTGCACAAACCCACACAAATTCAAGGATAAATAACTGCAAGGCCCGAAGAGAACACGCTCTCCCGCTGCACGCAGGCTGCTCAACTGTGATGAATGGAGTAACAGGTACCACAGGGCGAGCAGGACGCCTTCATCAATGGTGGTAATAGCCACCAATGCATCATCTGTGGAGGCAACAGGAGGGACGGCTGGGGCAGAATCAACAGAACGTGAAAATGAATTGTTTGTAAATACAATCAACAGTGTTATGTTCGTGAGAAAGCCATTCATCATTCAGAAACCACCTTTAGTAAAAGATGCACCTGGCTTCCCGGTGAGACGGGGCCATCAATCCCTCCCCAGTCACAGGGTCAGCTCGGGGCTGCCTAAACCCCCAGAGAACAGACACACATATTTATTCTTATTTGAAAATAAGAGTTGTTAAAAAAAAAAAAGAGCCACTGAGAACATTAGCTTGCCGGGAGCATGGTAGAAGGAGCCACATGGGGACAAAGAGAGCTCTTTAAAGCCCTCATCTTCTGGGTGCCCTGCCAGGCCCTGGTGGGGCCTCCGTAAGCAAGGAGCACCCAGCCTGCTCTGGGACCTTCCCGGGCTGTGTGTGCTTATGTCCCTCCCGGCCGCTGAGGGACCTTCCCAGGCTGTGGGTGCTCATGTCCCTCCTGGGTGCTGAGTGTGCTTAGGGAGGGAGGGAGGGAGACGCCCATGGTTGGCCTGCTGGCTTCTGGAGAACTGCACTTTTCTGGCAAATAAAAAGAAAAGGATATGGGGAAGGGGAACACATGATTGTCCTTGGAATGTGGCAGAGTGGCCTGCTGTGGACTTTCCTCTGGTTGCCAGTTTCATTCTTAGGACAGTGCCTTGGTGAGGGTGCCCCGGGCACAGCACACTGGGTTTCTGCAGTGGGCACTTACTGGCACTGATCCCAGCAGCTGGATGCACCTGTGGCGTGTTTTATACAACTGAAGCGACCATGGCCTTCTGTGGTCCAGCCTGGTGCAGAGCCCACCGCCATAGAGCAGTGATACTGGAACGTGTGTGAGGGTTGCCGGTGGGTTCCACGGGGCGGTGGGAGGAAGAGGTGTAGAGGACTCCGACACTGTTTTGGCCTTGGCAGCTCAGAGATGGCTGGTGTGACCACCATACGGGGACGGTTTGGGAGGAGGAGGTTTCGGCAGGCAGAGCCTTGGGTTTGGGATGCTGGGCTGGAGCTTCTCTCACACAGCTCAGGGGAAGGGTCCTGAAGGCTGCCGAGTCTCCAGCTCAGGGGCCAGGCTGGAGGCCAAGGTCCACACTGTAGACGTCTTTGCTATACAGTTGCTGGGGACAGAGTGCCAGGATAGTTCACGACAGTGGGCCCAAGGAGGAGGGCAACAGAAACAGGGTCAGGTGGCCCCCAGGAGCTCAGGGAGGAACCAGTTCCAAGGGAAGCCAGTGACCAACACATGCGCCATCCTGCGCCATTGACAGCAAGACCAGGCTGCCAAGAGTGGAGGAGGCTGGTGGAGACCCTGTTGGAAGTGGTCTCAGGGGGCTTTGAGAGTGAGACCTTTTCTTTTTGAGACAGGCTGTCTCATTCTGTTGCCCAGGCTGGAGTGCAGTGGTGTGATCACAGCTCACTGCAGTCTTGAACTCCTGGGCTCAAACAATCCTCCTGCCTCAGCCTCCCAAGCAGCTGGGATTACAGGCATGAGAAACCATGCCTGGCTCATTTTTGTATTTTTTGTAGAGACAGGGTCTCCCCATATTGCCTAGGCTGGTCTCGAACTCCTGGGCTCAAGTGATCCGCCAGCCTCATGAAAGTGTTGAGATTACAGGCATGAGCCACTGCACCCAGCCAAAGAATGAGAGTGCTTCAACGGGGATTAAGGTGAGTCAGAAGAGCAGAGACGGCCATAGGGAGTGGGCACATTTGAATTCTGAGGACAGGTGCAGTACTGTTTGTGGGGCCAGGGGAGGGCTGATGGGTGGCTGGCACTTAATAGGGGGCGTGAAGTGTTCAACCACGGTAACAGGAGAGAAGATGGAGGGGAGCAGAGGTTTGGTGGGTGGGGGGCACAGGCGGGACAGATGCCGTGTTGGGAGTGTGGGGTACCTCTGTGGATTGTCCCCAGGTGTCAGTGACACAGGAAGCAAGGCCTCTGCCCAGAGTGGCCAGGGAGGGGAAGCGGGCAGGACGGGCTGAGGACAGGGGCCGGGGCCCAGCCGAGGTACATGGAGGCTCAGAAGACCGAAGGCTGGGCTGGACCAGGGCTTAAAGGGAAGGAGAGGGGCAAGGGCCAGCCCCGTGGTGGCTCAGATGAGGATTGTGTCTCGCTGAAGTATTGTGATGCACACAAGAAAAACGTTCTTTTTTAAAAATATTTTATTTAATTTTGAGACGGAGTCTTGCGGCCGGGCATCATGGCTCACGCCTGTAATCCCAGCACTTTGGGAGGCTGAGGCGGGCAGATCACGAGATCAGGAGATCGAGACCATCCTGGCCAACGTGGTGAAACTGCGTCTCTACTGAAATACAAAAAATTAGCTGGGTGTGGTGGTATGTAACCCGGGAGGCAGAGATTGTAGTGAGCCGAGATCGCGCCACTGCACTCCAGCCTGGTGACAGAATGAGACTCCGTCTCAAAAAAAAAAAAAAAAAAAAAAAAAAAGAGACGGAGTCTTGCTTTGTCGTCCAGACTGGAGTGCAGTGTTGCGATCTTGGCTCATAGCAACCTCCGTCTCCTGGGCTCAAGAGATTCTCCCGCCTCAGCCTCCCGAGTAGCTGGGATCATAGGCACGCGCCACCACACCTGGCTAATTTTTGTATTTTTAGTAGAGACAGGGTCTCACCATGTTGCCCAGGCTGGTCTCAAACTCCTGGCCTCTAGTGATCCGCCTGCCTCCGTCTCCCAAAGTGCCGGGATTACAGGCATGAGCCACCACACCCGGCCAAGATAAAAGTTCTTAATTCCAAGGACTGTTAATCATTTGTGACCTAATCTAGATTCAGTCTGGATGGAGTCTCTGATGTCATTACTGAATACCTTGTTGTCAGACATTTTTGGATACAATTTATAGTTTTTGAGCCCTTCCCAGTCAACTGAGGCCAAGGCTTTTTCCCCAAATCTGAGACCACCTAGGCATAGCTACCCTCGAAAATGTACATCATCAGGAAATATGGATCATCTATTTACCAAGCAAAAGAGGGAGCATTATTCAGTGGAATCAAAACCTTCTTCTCCCTGAAAACCTGTTTCTATTTTCCACGTGTGACTAATTTTTAATCTCGGTGACTGAGCGGTAATGGTGTTGTCACTGATGCTGACGATGGGCTTTTTAAAAAGCATATGATCTATGCTGCCTTCATAGTATCCTTTTTTGGTTATTGTTTCTGTGGCTTTCTGAGTAAAATAAGCTCAGCGTCTGTGGCTCTAGCAACCCCGGCGCCATTGTAGAGGAGATGCCATCTGCATGCAAAGGTTCTGCGGTGCCTGCTCCACAGAAGGCTGCCTCTCCTGGCCATTACTCACCACAACAGGAAAACAGCTATCTGCCTATGTCCATTTGTTAAGAAGGCAGTAACATGGCATCTTTAATAAACTCAAATAAATGCACTAAAACTTATCACAAAATAGCCAAGTTGTAAAGTGAAGGAGTGTTTGTAATAACCTCTTCTGTCTTCCCCAAGTGTACGTTTTCCAGGCAGTTCTCCTTACCGTGACAGGGCTTTAGGGCCAGAAGACAGCGCCACTCACCGGACCACCCAAACTAGAAGCCTGGGCACCATCCTCAACTCGCTCATTCTCATTTCCACACCCTACTAATTATCAGACACCTCCCCTCAACCTCTGCAGGCCTGCGGTTTAGGCTCCTACTGTCTCTGGCCTGACCAAGCCCTGTTTCCTCCTGACCTGCGAGCAGTGTGCCCACTGGTGCCATCATCTCTCTGCAACATACAGGGGATCATGTGGGGGTGGTGCTCCCCGGTGCCCGCACCATCGTGTCAACACGCGCCAGCCCTTCCCCAGCCCCACCACGCACACACATGCAGTGCGGCTGACGCTCTCAGCACCCTGCCTTTCCCATGCACCCCAACGCCCCCCCGCCCCCAGCACCTGCAACTTCCTGCCTGAGCGCTTTTCTCAGTGCTTAGGGGTGCTGGCCTATGCCCGGGGCTTGCTGGAAGTGCAGTTGGCAGAGGTGGGGCGGCAAGGATGGCCCCTCAAAACCAGAGCAAACCCACTCGGAACTGTGTCCTGTGCTCTCCCAGAGGCCTCCAGGAGGACTAGTCCAGGGGCCCCGGCTCTCACCTGCTCCCCAACACGTGTACTTCCCTACTCCCTTACCTGTGCTTCCTGAGTCCACCTCCCGGATAAAATACCTGCAGGAAGAGCCTGCTTTGGAGGGAGCCGTACTCCACACTGGCCACCGGTGGCCACTTGCCGTGCCCTTGTACACAGAGCTCCCTCTCGGCCTGGAGGCCTTCGTCCATTCTGCTACCGCGGCCACATCCGCTCAATTTTCCAGACTCAGCCTCTGGGATCTCACGTCACCCCAGACTCACGGACCCCGACATGGCGCATCCTGCACCCCACGGGTGTGGCCTGGCGGCCCTCCTCCTCCCAAGCACTATGTTCAGGCTGAGTGGAGACTCTCGCTAGCAATGTGCAGGCTGCTAAGCAGATGCGACCCGGTGACAGCTTGCACCTCAGGCCTTGCTCCTTGAGCTCCTTGCTCCATGAGCTTTTCTCAAAATACGATCCTCTTTATCTTCAGAGTCGCAGAAGCGCTGCAGGGACTGGCGAGACTCCACCACGTCGCGGAAGCCAACAGCACGTCGGCCCAGGAACGCCCCTCCACCCCGGCCGGCCGCCTCCCACCCCACCTCCTGGGTGCCCGTCAGCACCGCGGCCCACGGAGCGCGCGAGCCCAGGGGCCCAACCGAGCGCAGCCACCGGACGCCCCGCGTGGCCACCGCGTGGGCCTCTCCCGCGCCTGCGCAGCCCGCCCCCTTCCCGGCAGCACCGGCGGCGTCAAGGCAGGCACGTGGCGGCGGCTGCGCATGCGCGGGCTCGGGCCTTCCCGGCGTCTCCGCGCAGGCCTCGGGGAAGCGGGGTCCGGGGGAGCCGTGGTGCGGTGGGACCGCGTGGGTCCTGGAAGAGCTGCAGAGGAGGTGGGACTCGGCCTGAGGGCGCAGGGCCACCAGGAGGGAGGGGTCAGGCGGGGCCCTCAGTGGCCCTCTTCCTGTGGGTGACCCAGGTCGCGCTGTTGGTGACGACCTCCCACATCCCTCGCCTCTCCGCGACTCCTCCGTGTACCTCCCCCTCCGCGCACGACGCCACCAACGTGTCCCCTCCTCCTCTGTGTCCCCCCTCCGTGTGCTTCACCCCTCAGTGTTTCCTCCATCTCCATGGGCCCTCCTTTTGTGTCCCCCCTCCAGGCCCCCTTGTTCTCTTCCCCCTTCGCTTACCCCTCCCGCTCGGTGTCCTCTCCCCTGGCTGCCCCACCCCTCCTCATCGCTCCCTTGGCTCCTGACTTTCTGCTTGGGCCCTGCACCTGGCCAGCGGTGCCGGTCTGGCTGCCTAGGAAAAGGGTCTGGAAACGGCCGTCGCTGATGGGATTCCGCTCTGTCTTCTGCCCCAGAGTGACGGCTTTGGATGCGCTTTGCCCCAGGGCCTTTCTTCCCGGAGTTGGCCTTTTCCCTGCCCTTCTCTTCTCCTGGCGTGGTGACCTGCCTCCCTTCTCCTGGATCGCTTTGCTGGCAGCCACCTTGTAACACCTCAGGTTTGCAGCTGTTTTTTTTTCTTTTGGTCTGGCGCATCTAAAGCCATAAGCTCCCAGCTAAAACCCAAGAACAGGCTATTTTCAGGGGAGTCTCTATGCAGCATTCAAAATAGTCTACTTAAGGGCCGGTGCGGTGGCTCACACCTATAATCCCAGCGCTTTGGGAGACTGAGGCAGGAGGATCGTTTGAGCTCAGGGTTTGAGACCAGCCTGGGCAACATAGTGAGACCCTGTCTCTAAAAAAAAAACCAAAAAACAGAAAACAAAAAAAACGCTTTACTTAATAGTGATTTAAAAAACATGAACATGATGGCATATCACACCCAGGAATATGCTCCAGACCGGCTAATGGAAACTTTCTAGTGAGCCTGGTTGCGTAGTAATGGGGTCAGGAATAAGCACCATCCTTTGGTGGTTGGAGCCAACAGAGGCTCGTGGCCGGTTGCCTCTCCTGCCCTCTCAGCTGCTGCTGTGTTTTCGGTGTCACTCCAGCCGCAGGTGCAGCAGTGTCCCTGCTGCCTGGGTCCAGGCTCACCTCTGTGGAACGGTCCTGCTGCTCACCCCAGGGCCCTGGAGATGTGTGTGTTTTCTTGCAGGTGGGGACACTCAGTTGCAGATAGGTGATGGGAGACAGTCGGGGCCCAATTTGAAGCAGTTGCCAGTGGATGATAAAGTTGCTCTCAAGAGGTAGCAAATACTTTTGGGAAGCAGTGGCCTTTGCATGTTTATGATGATGGATTTTGTTGCTGGGGGTGCTTCACCTGCTTGCCCAGCTCTTGTAACATTCGGGTCTAACCTCATCACTACAATGGTAGAGAATGGGGTGGAAGGAGCTGTCTGGGCTGTAGGTCCTGTCTGAACCACAGCCCAGGATCAGAACAGGGGAGGAATGGGAGGGGCGTGATGTCACTGCTTTCCTGTGAAGTTTATGTTTCTTCCTGTCAAAAACATCATTTTGGCACTGGTGTTGCCGTTTCTTCTTTGGAGTTACAGGAGCGTATTTCTTTGATTAAAGGAAGAGAGAGAGTACTGGGCAGATAAGGCTGGAAAATGCAAAGAAGCTCAAAGTGAAGAAGCCAAAGCATAAAAATCAGGGAAGACAGGGCGAAGACCAGGTTCCAGCCTTTTATTTACTGTGAATGTTTCATTTTTATTTATTTATATTATTACTTTTGTGTAGAGACAGAGTCTTGCTGTGTCACCCAGGTGGGAGTGCAGTGGTGATCATAGTTTACTATAACCTCAAACCCTTGGGCCCAAGTGATCCTCCGCCTCAGCCTCTCCAGTAGCTGGGACCACAGGCGTGTGCTACCATGCCCAGCTAATTTTTTTTTTTTTTTTTGAGACGGAGTTTCGCTCCTGTCACCCAGGCTGGAGTGCAATGGTGCAATCTTGGCTCACTGCAACCTCTGCCTCCCAGTTTCTAGCGATTCTCCTGCCTCAGCCTCCTGAGTAGCTGAGACTACAGTCGTGTGCCACCACACCCAGCTAATTTTGTATTTTTAGTAGATACGTGATTTCACCATGTTGGCCAGGCTGGTCTAGAACTCCTGACCTCAGGTGATCCGCCTGCTTCAGCCTCCTAAAGTGCTGGGATTACAGGCGTGAGCCACCGCACTTGGCCTAATGTTTTTATTTTTATTTTTGTAGAAACAAGGCCTGACTATGTTGCTCTGACTGATCTTGGACTCCTTGCCCCAAGCAGTCCCTGCCTCAGCCTCCCAAAGTGCTGGGATTACAGATGTGAATCACCACACCTGGCCTTAATGTTTCATTTTTAAACTCACAATCTTCAACATGTTCAATATGTTGTATTCTTAATTTTTGTTTTTACTCTCGAACTTTTTTTTTTTTTTTTGAGACAAGGTCTCACTCTGTCGCCCAGGAGTGCAGTGGTGATCATAGCTAACTGCAGCCTCAACCTCTTGGGCCCAAGTGATCCTCCCACCTCAGCCTCCTGAGTAGCTGGACTACTGGTGTGCACTATTGTGCTGGCTAATTCTTCTTTTTAATTTTTGTAGAGATGGGATCTCCCTATCTCCCTATGTTGCCCAGCCTAGTCTAGAACGCCTAGGCTCAAGAGATCCTCCTGCCTCAGCCTCCCAAAGTACTGGGATTACAAGTGTAAGCCACTGTGCTCAGCCTCATGAAGCTTTTTTTTTTTTTTTTTGAGATGGAGTCTCACTCTGTCGCCCAGGCTGGAGTGCAGTGGCACTATCTTGGCTCACTGCAAGCTCTGCCTCTCGGGTTCATACCATTCTCCTGCCTCAGCCTCCCGAGTAGCTAGGACTAAAGGCGCCCGCCACCACACCCATCTAATTTTTTCTATTTTTTAGTAGAGATGGAGTTTCACTGTGTTAGCCAGGATGGTCTTGATCTCCTGACCTTGTGATCCACCCTCCTCGGCCTCCCAAAGTGCTGGGATTACAGGCGTGAGCCACTGCATGTGGTCTTTTTTTTTTTTTTTTTTTTTTTTTTGAGACAGAGTCTCACTCTGTTGCCCAGGCTGGAGTTCAGTGGCGCGATCTCAGCTCACCACAACTTCTGCCTCCTGGGTTCAATCTATTCTCCTGCCTCAGCCTCCTGAGTAGCTGGGACTACAGGTGCATACCACCATGACTGGCTAATTTTAGTATTTTTAGTAGAGACGGGGTTTCACTATGTTGGCCAGGCTGGTCTCAAACTCCTGACCTTGTGATCCGCCCGCCTCAGCCTCCCGTAGTGCTGGGATTACAGGCGTGAGCCACTGCACCTGGATGAACCTTTTTGAAATGAGTATTTTACAAGTATAAAAAGCTTTTTTGATCATTTACTTAGATAAATTTAAAAATATGTACTTTGTGTTCACACAAGGTGCATTTATGTCAAATTTCAGAAGGGTTGGATCTGCTGCCAGCATGCTGCCTGGGTCGTGTGTAGGGTGTAGAAGGAGCTGGAGTTAGGTGTGGGGACTGCACGCTTGTCCATCCTGGGAGGGTTGGTTACTGGTTACCTGGAATCCTTTGACGGCTGCTGCCAGGCTTTGGTTGAACTGTAATGGCAAGCAGCCGTGGGCCGGGGAGTGAGTGGCCTGGGCCTGGCCGGCCCCATTCTCAGAGTTGTGTCTGTCTGCCCGCTGGCCACATGCAGGATGCTGTGGTGGGGTTCATCCTAGTGTTTTCACAGAAGTTCTGTTTATTATGACATGGAAATGTCCTCAACGTAACCCTGTTCTCTTGTGACTTATAGCAGTGCTTGAGGGAAGAAAATAAATTCTCCGTTTCAAAAGAAAATCCAGGGCGGGACAATCTTACTGTTGGGTAAGGTTTGTTCCCTTTATCCCTCTTCTAAGAGTGAGGTGAAATGGGGCAGTGAGGGAATGGGGGGAGCGAGGGCACAGGGTGAGATCAGCTTTCGTCCTGAGAGCCTGGCCTTTGCAGTGGAATTGGGACCTGCCTCGTGTTCTTTTTCCAGTCTTTGTTTCCGCTTGAGCGGAGTTAGGAATCCACAGGACTGTGGAGCAGGTTCGTAATGCGAGCCGCCTCTGACAGGTGCAGAGGTCCGGCTCTTGCACATTCGTGTCGGGGGCCCAGATGTAACAAGGGGGTCTGGCATCTCCCTCATGTGCCAGGGGCCCTTTCTGTTTGTTTTTGTTTTAGATAAATCATCTTGTCAGATTGTTACTGTGGTTAACAACCAGTGTGACCACATCTTTTTCAAAGATTAGAACCAAAAAAAAGTTGAAAGGCATTAGGCCTGCAGTCCTCACTCACCTTTCTCTCCCTCTGCTCTCTTCTCTCCTGCTTTCTTGTGTCAGATAATCATGTAAATAGCTTTCTGTGTCCCGCAGAACAAAGAAAAGAGCCCGATGGAAAAACGGTTAGCTTTTGCTTTTGAGAAATGTGGTACCTCCGTGGCTTGATGGCAGGCTGCATGCATCCATTCGCGGCGAGTAGAATCTAAGGTAGGATGAGTCCGTTTGAGCTAATTGTGTCGTTTTAAGTAAGGTTTCCATAGATGAACTAAGCACCTGGCCTTGGAACGCAGGAGCTGTTTAATGCGGTGTTTGCTCTGCGTCCTGTCAAATCGTGTTTGCTGGTTTCCGGTACCTGCCCTCTGGTGAGGAGCTGGGTCATCCCCGGTTGTGTCTGCCATGTGCCGCTTCCGCACTCTCCTGCCATCCCGGCTGTGAGCTGGGAATGTAATTCTAAGTAGGCAGGCGGTGCACGGGCCACACCTCCCAGGCTGCTGAATCTGTTCAAATGAAGCCAGAAATGGAGACTTTTATGGTGAAATATCCCAAGCGTTAAATGTTGCTGCAACTTCACAAAATTGCGTGACTGTTTTCTGTCCGTCACTTTCCTTTTTTTCTTTTCTTTTTGTTCTGTTTTTGTCTTTTTCACTTTTTGTCCCTTTTTTTTCCTGTCCTTAAGTGTGGTCTGACCATGCAGCAGCCCCGGACTTGCTCTGGACCTGTTCTGGTTCTGGGAGCTGCCCAATTCTCAGATGACTCTTTGCTCAGTTAAACTTTGTTAAATTTAATTTATCTAAAGTTTTTCTTTTTTTTTTTTTGAAATGGAGTTTCACTCTTGCTGCCCAGGCTGGAGTGCAATGGCACTATCTCGGCTCACCGCAACCTCCGCCTCCCAGGTTCAAGCGATTCTCCTGCCTCAGCCTCCCTAGTAGCTGGAATTACAGGCATGCACCACCACGCCTGGCTAATTTTGTATTTTTAGTAGAGACGGGGTTTCTCCATGTTGGTCAGGCTGGTCTCAAACTCCCGACCTCAGGTAATCCGCCTGCCTCAGCCTCCCATAGTGCTGGGATTACAGGCGTGAGCCACCACGCCCGGCTAACGTTTTTCTTTTAATGTTCCCATTCTCCATTCCCCCAGCCCCTGGCAACCACTAATCTACTTTCTATTTCCATGGATTTGCTTATTCTGGATATTTCCTGTAAACAGAATCCTGCAGTATTTTTCCTTTTGTGCCTGGCTTCTTTCATGTCAGGTGTTTTCAAGATCCATCCACACTGTGCTGGGTTAACACTTCATTCCCTTTCACAGCCGAAAACACCCTGCTGCGTGTATATCTGGGATTCGTTGATCCGTTCGTCTGCTGATGTACATTTGGGTTGTTTGTACCGTAGGGCTATTGTGAATAATGAGGCTACAAGTATTTCTTTATAAGTGTTTGTCTGAATACCTCTTTGCAGTGCTTTCGGGTATGTAGCTAGAAGTGGAATTTCTGGCTCCTGTGGTAATTTCATGTTGAATTTACTGAAGAACCAACAGACTTTTTTTTTTTTTTTTTTTTTTTTTTGGGATGGAGTCTCTCTTTGTCGCCCAGGCTGGAGTGCAGTGGCGCGATCTCGGCTCACTGCAACCTCTGCCTCCTGGATTCAAGCGATCCTCCTGCCTCAGCCTCCCGAGTAGCTGGGATTACAGGCACCCGCCACCACGCCTGGCTAATTTTTGTATTTTTAGTAGAGACGGGGTTTCACCATGTTGGCCAGGCTGGTCTCAAACTCCTGACCTCAAGTGATCCCAAAGTGTTGGTTCAGGCATGAGCCACCATGTCCGGCCCCAATAAACTTATTTAAAGCAGCATTACCGTTTTACATTCCCACCAGCATTGTACAAGGAATCCAGTTTTTACACATTCTTGCCAACACTTATTTTCTGTCTTTTTCATTATGGCCATTCTGGTTGATGTAAAGTGGTAACTCAGTGTAACTCACTGTAGATTTGATTTGCATTTCCCTAGTGATTAGTGATACCAAGCATCTTTTCATGTGTTTATCGGCCATTTGTATCTCATCTTTGAAGAAATGTTTATTTACAATCTTTACCTTTTTTTTTTTTTTTAAAGAGACAGGGTCTCACTTTGTTGCCCAGGCTGGAGTGCAGTGACACCGTCATAGCTCACTGCAGCCTTGAACTCCTGGGCTCAAGCCACCCTCCCACTTCAGCCTCCTGAGTAGCTGGGAATACAGGTGTGCGTCACCACGCCCAGCTAATTTTTTAAATTTTTGGTAGAGATGGGGTCTCCCCATTTTGCCTAGGCTGGTCTCAAACTTGTGGGCTCAAGTGATCCTCCCACTTTGGCTTCTCAAAGTGCTGGGATTACAGGTGTGAGCCACCCCGCCTGGCCCTTTACCTGGTTTTAATTGGATTATTTGTTTTTTATCGTTGAGTTGTAAGAGTGTTTTGTATATTCCAGATACTAGACCCCTATCTGTGGATTGTCTTTTTGCTTTCTTGATGGTGTCTTTTGAAGCACAAAAGTTTTCAGTTGATCTCTTTTACCTGAGTTCAATTTATGTGTTTTATCTTTGATTGTTTGTGCTTTGCCTGTGTGTGTTTTTAAAAACCATTATCTGCCTATGATCCCAGCACTTTGGGAGGCTGAGGCAGGAGGATCACTTGAGGCCAGGAGATTGAGACCAGGCTTGGCTTTGAAGTGAGGCTGTGACTTGACGAAAAATTTAAAAATCAGCTGGACATTGTGGTGAGCACATGTAGTCCCAGCTATGGTAAGCTGAGGTGGAAGGATTGCTGGAGCCTGGGAGTTCAAGGCTGCAGTGAACTATGATTGTGCCACTTTACTGCAGCCTGTGTGACAGAGTGAGACCTGGCCTAGACCAACCAACCAACCCAAAAACCATGATCTAATTCAGGGTCATAAAGATTTATACCTATGTTTTTTTCTAAGAGTTTTATAGCTTTGGCTCTTACATTTAGGTCTTTGATCCACTTTGAGTTAACATTTGCATTTGATGTGAGGAAGAGGCCTAACTTCATTCTATGCATGTGGACAGTCCGCACCCCTTGTTGAAAAGACTGTTCTTTCCCCATTGAGTGGTCTGACATCCTTGTTGAAATCAGTTGCCCACAGGCATGTGGGTTTATTTCCGGACTCTGAGTGAACCCACCGGTCTCTGCGTGTCCTTCTGACAGTGCCCCGCTGTCTTCATCACTGTAGCCCTGAAGTTTTGAAATCAGGAAGTATGAATCCTCTAATTTGTTCTTCTTTTTAAAAGACTGTTTGACCCTGGGTCAAACAATCTGGGTCCTTTGTGTTTCCTTGTGAATTTTAGGATCAGGTTGTCAATTTCTGCAAAAACACTAGCTGGAATTTTGATGGGGATTGCATTGAGTTTTTTGATCCGTTTGGAGAGTATTGTTGTCTTTTATATATTTTGAGACAGAGTTTCACTCTTGTTGCCCAGGCTGCAGTGCAATGGCACAATCTTGGCTCACCACAACCTCCACCTCCCAGGTTCAAGCGATTCTCCTGCCTCAGCCTCCTGAGTAGCTGGGATTACAGCATGTGCCACCACACTCAGCTAATTTTGTATTTTTAATAGAGAGGGGGTTTCTCCATGTTGGTCAGGCTGGTCTCGAACTCCTGACCTCAGGTGATCCACCCGCCTCGGCCTCCCGAAGTGCTGGGATTACAGGCATGAGCCACTACACCTGGCCGAGTATTGCTGTCTTAACCATATGAAGTCATCTAGTCCATGAACACAGGATAGCTGTTCATTTATTTAGGGTGTCTTTAATTTCTTCTGGCAATGTTTTACAGTTTTCAGAGTATAAGCTTTATATCTCTTGTTAAATTTATTGCTCAGTATTTTACTTTTTTGATGCTATTGTAAATGGAATTGTTTTACTTTCCTTTTCTTTTTTTCTTTTTTTTTTTTTGAGACTGGGTCTCACTCTGTCCCCCAGACTGGAGTGCGGTGGCATGATCTTGGCTCACCACAAGCTCCGCCTTCCAGGCTCAAGTGATTCTCCTGCCTTTGCCTCAGCCTCCCAAGTAGCTGGGATTACAGGCATGCGTCACTCTTGCCAGGCTAATTTTTGTATTTTTAGTAGAGACAGGGTTTCGCCATGTTGGCTGGGCTGGTCTTGAACTCCTGACCTCAGGTGATCCACCCACCTTGGCCTCCCAAAGTGCTGGGATTACAGGCCTGAGCCACCGCACCTGGCCAAGAAAATGTTTTTATGACACTTGTTGAAGATGGTAAGGCAGATTTTCCAGGAGAGGCCGCTGTAATGGGGTTTTGCAGTAGGGGAGAGAGATTGAGCTCAACTCCAAATACAACAAAGATGTGGGGATGTACAGCCAAGAAGCAGAGTTGGAAAGTTACCATGAGGAGACATCGGGGGTAGGGGTTCTTGCTGAAGGCAGGCCAGGGTGATGAGCTGTAGAGGCTGAGGGAGGAGGAATTTGACCCGATGATGAAGGCGATCAGATACCAAGGTGGGCGTTTTCACTGAAGCGACCAGCGGGAGTCTTGCTGAAACTGGACTAAGTAGGTCAAGGACTAAGCCAAGGTCAGGGCCTGGTCGAAGAGGAGGACCCAGGAGCCAGACTCAAGTGTGGTCGAGGACAGTCTCTGTCGGTGGGGAGTGCTTATAATTCTGCATGTGCTTGAAATTTTCCAAAATAGGAAGTTTTCTAAAAATTTAAATTGAAGTAGATTGCAGTAAAAATAAAAAGAGAACCAAAAAGTCTGTTCAGATGCATTGGACTTTGTTTCAATTCTGATTTACAGAAAGATTTTTTAAATGATGAGACAATTAGGGAATTTGAGCACTCCGTGGATATTCGATAATAAGGAATTTGTTTTTTGAAGTGTGATAGTGGGCTGGGTGCTGTGGCTCACGCCTGTAATCCCAGCACTTTGGGAGGCCTAGGCAGGAGGATCACTTGAGGTCAGGAGTTCGAGGCCAGCCTGGCCAACATGGCGAAACCCCGTCTCTACTAAAAATACAAAAATTAGCCAGGCATGGTGGCAGGCGCCTGTAATCCCAGCTACTCAGGAGGCTGAGGCAGGAGAATCACTTGAACCCGGGAGATGGAGGTTGCAGTGAGCTGAGACCGTGCCACTGAACTCCAACCTGCATGACAGAACGAGACTCAGTCTTAAAATAATAAAAGAAAAGAAAAGTGAAAAGAAAGAAAGAGTGATGGTGTATAGTGGTTGTGTTCTTTAATTGTTTTTGTGGAGAGCGTGATGAATTTGCCTGTCATTCTTGCACAGCGGCCATGAGAATCTTCTCTGTATTGTTCCACTTTTAGCGTATGTGCTGCCGAAGTGGGCACGTGGTTGTGGTCTTTAACGGAAGAGTTTGCATCTTTGGACATAATTGGAGATGTTTGTGGGTGAAACGATGTGCTGTCTTGGAGTTGCTTCAGAATAACCCAGTGGGGAGAGAAGAGGGTGGGCACTCAATGGAAGGAGATGGGATGTGAGCTGATAAGTTTTGAATTGGTGTAATGGGGTTGTGGGAGTGTATTAATACTTGTCAGACTCAAATGAAAATACACAGATGAGGCCCAGCACGGTGGCTCGTGCCTGTAATCCCAGCACTTTAGGAGGCTGAGGTGGGCAGATCAATTGAGGTCAGGAGTTCGAGACCAGCCTGGCCAACATGGCGAAACCCTGTTTCTACTAAAAATACAAAAATTATCTGGGCGTGGTGGTGAGTGCCTGTAGTTCCAGCTACTCGGGAGGCTGAGGCAGAAGAATTACTTGAACCCACGAGGCAGAGGTTGCAGTGAGCCGAAATCATGCCACTGCACTCCAACCTGGGTGACAGAGCAAGACTCTGTCTCAACAGAAAAAAAAAAAAAGTGTACAGATGAATCTCTAAACAAAATGTTTTATTGGGAAAAACAGAATTGCAATTCAGGCATACACACAGACCAGAGTGGTCTTTGGTCCCAAGAACGAAGAGCATGCTGGGGGGTTTATTGGAAAGAGAAATGTTACCTATTGTTTTGAAAGAAAACACATTGGCACTAATGAAGTTTTGGGGAGCTGGCAAGCTCAGATTGGTGAAAGACACAGTAGGTAAACCTAGTCTTTGGGTCAGGTAGGTTGTTCCAACAGCCATTAGGTACACCCGGTTGTAAGGTTGCAGCAGGTCATTTCAGCAGCTAGACTTGCAGGGGGCAGGGGGGTGGGAGGGGGGCTCTGGGAGCAGGTGCCGTGTGCCTGAGAGCTTTTCCTGGGTCCCTCGACTCTGATTTGGTTGGGTGTGGTAGGAAAAGCTCAATTTGTATAATGAGTTTTCATAAGCCGTTCTCTCTCTGTTTGTGTGTGCTTGAGATTTTCTCTAATGAAACATTAAACAGAAGAGGCTCATGGCCCGCCTGTTGGTCTCTGGTGGGTAGTTTTGTGGTGAGGAGCTGAGAACCTGCCTCCTGAGGAGAGGATCCTCAGGTGATTTGGCTGCTGCCCTGGAGACCGCGGTTCTGCCCTCTAAGCCAGCTACGAGCATTCTGTGCAGGCAATAAGCAATGCCTGGTCATAGCTCACAGTTCTGTAGGTCAGATGCTCAAGTGGGTTTGGCAGGATTCTCAGCTTAGGGTGAGTTGGGGTGTGCTGAGTCGGGGTACGCTGGCCGGGCTGGGCTCCTGCCTCAGGGCACCAGGCTCCTGGGAGTTGGGTCAGTCCCTGTAGCTGTGGGACCAAGGGCCGTTTTCTGGCTGGCTGTCAGCTGGCGTCCATTCTCCATGCCCCTCCATTTGGCCCTTCATCCTCACAGCCTGCAGAGGCACCTGAATCCAGTCTCTGACTCTCCCTGTCACCACCTGGAGGAAACTGCTTTTCAGCGGCGCATGGGGCTAGATCAGGCCCACCTGGAGGGCCCCCACCCCCCCCCACCCCCCAGCTCTCAGTGAGTACAAGAGTGACACAGGATGAAATATGCTGGTCTTCTTAGGACCCTCCTGCCACACCCCTGCAGGGCACCCCTTTACATGGCAGGATTAACAGGCTACACAGCTGGGCTTGTGGGGGAGGTCGGTGGGGGGTGTCTGTCAGGTGAGTGTGGGACAGAAGGGCCACAGGGTCACATGGAGTCTTGAGCCGTAGCTGCGGCTCAGGGCATGAAGTCCTGGGCCCTTTCAAAGCCGTGACTGGGTTTTCTATCAATTCTCTTGTTGCCCCAGGTGGTCTCATGGTCTTACCACCCCTTGTGCTGTCCTCTGTGTGGACATTTTCTTGTGATTTTCTCACATGTCTGCTGCTCACTATTTGTGACAATGACTGAGGGACTTTGGAGCAGGGAGCTGGTGGGAGTATCTCTGGATGGGGCGGGCCTGGGTTTACCAGTGGGCTTTGTCCTGAGTGGGGCCTCTCCAGGGTGGTAGGGCTTAGGCGGCAGGACTTTCCAACTCCAGGAACTCCACTCTTAGCACAGAAGGAGGCCCTGGGTGGAGGTCCCCTCTGGCTTGCAAGGCTGCTGTGGGATGTGGAGGCCCTGGTCAGGCCCCACATCTCCTGGGCACCCTCCATGGCAGCCACCCCTCCTCACCCTCCTCAGCGTGGGGAGACCCCTGGCTGCTACAGCTGCGTCACAGAGGAGCCTGCTGAGCTCCAGGTACCCGTCCTCACCTCGGTGCCTGAGCTTCGAGGCCTGGCCTGCTGTGGGGCTCAAAGCGGTGGTCCCGCACAGCCCACCTTGGACTGAGGGTGGCTCTGCCCTCTCTCCCATTGTGCTTTATAAAGTTCCTGGATTGTTTCAACTCTTCCCCGCTGGCTGGCTGGCTGGCTGGCTGGCTGGCTGGCTGGCTGGCTGCCTGCCTGCTGTGGTTTCAATGTTCCTTCTAAAACTCAGGTTGCAATTTAGTTGCCATTTGTAATACTTAATACTAAATAGTAACTACTTTTAAGAGGTGAGGCCTGGCCAGGCACGCCTATAATTCTAGCACTTTGGGAGGCCGAGGCAGGTGGATCACTTGAGGTCAGGAGTTCAAGACCAGCCTGGCCAACATATAGTGAAACCCCGTCTCTACTAAAAAATACAAAAATTAGCTGGGTGCGGTGGCTCATGCCTGTAATCCCAGCACTCTGGGAGGCCAAGGCGGGCGGATCACGAGGTCAGGAGATCAAGACCATCCTGGCTAACATGGTGAAACCCTGTCTCTACTAAAAATACAAAAAAGTTTGTTGGGCATGGTGGCGGGCACCTGTAGTCCCAGCTACTTGGGAGGCTGAGGCAGTAGAACGGCGTGAACCCAGGAGGCAGAACTTGCAGTGAGCAGAGATCGCGCCACTGCACCCCAGCCTGGGCGACAGAGTGAGACTCCATCTCAAAAACAAAACAAAACAAAAATTAGCCGGGTGTGGTGGCGTATGCCTGTAATCCCAGCTGCTTGGGAGACTGAGGCAGGAGAATCGCTTGAACCTGGGAGGCGGAGGTTGCAGTGAGCCAAGATCACACCACTGCACTCCAGCCTGTCCACAGAGTGAGACTCCATCTCTCAAAATAAATAAATAAATAAATAAATAAATAAATAAATAAATAAATAAAGAAGTGAGGCTTTTGAAAAGTGATTTGGCTCTACCCTCATAAGTGGACAATGTTGTTATCTTGAGAGTAGATTTCTTACCATGGGAGTTGGTTCCTGATCAAAATCGTGATTTTGCTTAGTGTCCTCCCTCTGACCTGTGCGCTAGTTCATCTTCTGCCCCTGGGGTAATGCAGCAAGAAGGTCCTTGCCAGATGCAGCTTCTTGATTTTGGCCTTCCCAGCCTCTGGTGAGCCAGATAAATTTGTGTTCTTTATAAATTGCCCAGTCTGTGCTATTTGTTACAGCAGCAGAAAATGGACTAAAATACATCCCCCTTCCTTCTCTTTTTCTCTTTTTTAAGATGAGGTCTTGCTGTGTTGCCCAGGCTGGCTTCCAGTTCCCGGGCTCTAGTGATCCTCCCATGTCAGCCTCCCGAGTAGCTGGGACTACAAGCATGCTGCTATACCCAGCACAGCCCCCTTTCTTATTCTCTTGTGCTGCTTTGTTTGTTTAAAATATATCTTTTTTTAAAAAATCATTTTGTGAGATCTTGGCAAGGGAAAGCAAATTTGAGGGGCAATGCCTGGTCCAAGAACTAAGTTTCTGGGTGTCTCAATATCCCATTAGTTGGGTGGTAAAAGTGCTCTATGAAGATAACCCCTTTGGGTGTTCTGTTCCTGCACTGCCTGTAAGGAGTTTGGAGCAGCCTCATATTTAGGAACCTGGCATTTCCTCTTCACTCCTGAGCTTCAGGAGGCCTGGCATTGCCTTCGGAGCTGTTCTGGAGGTGAAACAAACCCTTGGCCAAGAGCCAGAAGAGCTTCCCATTCTCCTGGGCTCTGGAGTCACACAGGAGCACTTTGTGAGAAGTGAACTTTACAGACACATTATCTACACGTGATAAACTGTACTCGTTGACAGTGACCATTGGATGAGTTGTGGCAGAAGTGTCCCTCTGGAAAGCCACTGCCACACTCAGAATACAGACATGTCCACACACACTCGACCATCACCCCTGCCCCCGGCATCTCCCTGGTGATGATTTCTGCAGGTGTTTCCTGCGGATGTGCTGATAGGGCAGAATCAGACCCTCCACAGTCTACCCCATTAACAGTGGGTTGTTAGATAACGGTTTGTTTGAAAAGCAATGCAATAGTAAATGCTTTGTGGGACTTCAATTTAGAAAAAGTGTCGATGATTTGGATTTTGCCATTTTACTGATGACTGACTTCATCAGTATAGTTTAAGTGTGAATTACTTTATCTCTTCTCTGTGTTCTGGTACTATGTAATGTATTCTTCTATAATTTATGAAAGCCCTGAGTTGGCGCTAAACTTTTCTACTAAATTAATGCAAGCCTTATCTGTATTTTAATTTAAAACAGTGAAAAACTCTCTGCTGAAGTGCCAGCCAGAGGTGTGGGAGTATAGCCCGAGAGGCCCTGTTCCACGTGGGGTGTGAGTGACACCTCCCAGCCGCGCGTGGCAGCAGGAGCTGGAGGGGCCAGCCTGCTTCTCTGTGTCTGTGTCGAGTTTGCAACTGTGTCCTCCGGAGACCAGCAGACGCCTCGGGCTGGCATTGCTGGGCTCCTGTGCCCAGTGCTGGTTCAGACCTTTTCAGCCACCAGGGATGCCCTGTGGACCTGCCTCCTGCAGGGCTCTGCCAGGTCAGGCATGGGGGTGACCTCGGCTGCCAGTGGGCTTGTGGGCTCTGCCCCTCAGTGCGTGGCTCTGCCCAGTGAGGGTAAGCTCCTCGGGAAGGACTGGCTGGTGCCTGCAGTGTGGTACGTGTCTGTGTCCGGGGACTGGGACCTGTCTATGGGGAGTCTCCCATGCATACTCTTTTACAAGCCCCTGTGCTGGCCCAGGTGGAGCCAGGATTGTGTCATTGAGTTGGGATGAGGTAGAGAATGAGTTACCTTTTAACACGGCCCCTGGGTCTCTTATTGCTTAAAACTTTAACGTTTCCTTCCTTCTGATTTTTCTACCCCAGACTGCAGCCCGTGCTGATGACTGTGGCTGTGATGAATTCGTGCCTGTGACCACAGCTGCTCTCCAGGTGCTGGGTGGCTCCTCCCTTGACGCCCATCCATTCTGTCTCCTGCCTGGCCTTGTTCACTGTCGCTCATCTCGCTCAGCTGAGGTCCCTCCTCCTCCGCTGTTTGGTGTCCTTGCCAGTTAATCACCCTTAGGTGCTGGGCCCTGGACTTACGGACAACATGGAGCCTGGCTTGTTGACAGGACAGTGTCTGCGCCTCTCCGTCTACACCCCCACAACAGGGGTTACTGGGGAGGGGGCGTCTGGGAGTGACAGAGATCGCTGTGGGGTCTGTGTGACCATCAGCTGTCCCTGTAGCTGGGGAATGGTGCTGCGCGGCGGGCGGGTGGCACAGTGAGCAGCCCTGGGTCCTCACTGAGTAAGGGAGTGGCTGGGGAGTGGGGAGGCTTGCCTTTGTATCCTGGGTGGGCATGGGGCTGGGGGAGTCACGGAGACCTGGAGGACCAGCTGCTGCTGGCCAGTGGGTGGTGGTGTCTCAGGGCCAGCCCAAAGCCTCCTGAGCTCCTGCCACTGCTACTGAGTGCTTCCTAGCCTGTCCCTCTGGTGTCCCGCCACTCCTTCTTCCTCAAGCAGGAGGGCTGAGCTGGGCTGGGGCAGAGGGGGCCTCCCACGGCTTCCCTGTGGGACTCTAGGCCTCTGCAGTCAGCACATCCTGAGAGGACCGTGGGTGTCTGCTGCCCTTCCCTCCCTAGTCCTCTCGTTTCGGTGAAGCGGCTCCTTCTGTCTTCTCAAGCACAGACCTTGGTGTCATCTTTGAGGGCCCCATCCTTGAGGGCCTAGATTCCACATGAAATCCATCTATGAATCCTGCTTTCCAGCTGTGTTACAACAGGGCCTCCTCTCACCTTTCTCGGCTGGCCCAGGCCTCTGCCTCAGTAGGGCTCTAACATGATTTTCAGAAATCTCACAGGTTTTTCCTTGCAAGACGCGTGTTTCACTGTGTCTCCAGTCTGCATGGATGTGGGCGTGTGTTGTGATGGTCAGATGGTGGAGTGAGAGCAGCCATAGTGTGAGGTGTGGGTGAGGGTGGCCAGTCAGCCGATGAGTGGGAGCGTTCAGACCGGGGTGCCTGGTGCCCCCATAACCTCCTCGGGGTTCCCAGGGATGGCGCCTCTGACCCAGCGTGCAGCCCGAGGTGGGCCCCGTGCCATTCCCACTTAAGCGAAGTGTCTGTTCCTCTCTCTGTTCAATGTGGGTTTTGTTTCTGAATATATTTTCTCACACTTCTTCTTCAAAAGTTACTTTGGAAAGACTGTTTTTCCAAATTGATGATCTCTGAACTGCTGTGGTGTTGGTGGGGACAGAGATGGTCCCAGAGGGGACCTGGGAGCTGCCTTTTACTGCCTGCCCACTCTTCCCGAGGCCGGGAGGGGCCTGAGATGTGTTCGCAGCTTCTGGCCTCGGGCGGGACTTCCCACCGCCAGCTGGTGCTGTGCTCAGAGTCAGAGGTTCCTTGATGCCCAGCACGTGGGTCACCAGCAGCTTTGCCAGGTGTACTTTTGAAAAATGAGAAAAGGGTCATGAAGAGCTTGGGAGGCTTCCATGAGGTTGTTCTGACTCTCTGTTGTTAGAATGGCAACCCTAAATGAGCCGCAGAGCTGCATGTTTATGTATACATTTGAATTCTAGATTTGCACAGATCACCACGCCAGTGAAGACTAATCACCATGAAAAGCCACCCAAGAAAAAAGGCCAAGTCGGCATCTTAAATAGGAAATGAATGTGTGAACATGATTCTGATAAGCAACTTCCCAGGCACTCATGCCTGATGAATGCTTATTCTTGCAGATATGACAACACAAATGAACTTAGTGTCTGATTTTCTTCTAAGATTTTATGGTGAAATAAGTTAGCAGGCCAGGCGTGGTGGCTCATGCCTATAATCCTAGCACTTTGGGAGGCGGAGGTGGGTGGGTCACCTGAGGTCAGGAATTTGAGACCAGCCTGTCCAACATGATGAAACCCCCTCTCTACTAAAAATACAAAATTAGCCGGGTGTGGTGGTCGGGAGGCTGAGGCAGGAGAATCGCTTGAACCCGGGAGGCAGAGGTTGCAGTGAGCCGAGATCACGCCACTGCACTCCAGCCTGGGTGACAGAGCGAGACTCTGTCTCTAATAATAATAATAATAATAATAATAGAGCAAGACTCTGTCTCTAATAATAATAACAGAGCGAGACTCTGTCTCTAATAATAATAATAACAGCGAGACTCTGTCTCTAATAATAATAATAATAATAGAGCGAGACTGTCTCTAATAATAATAATAATAATAGAGCGAGACTGTCTCTAATAATAATAATAATAACAGCGAGACTCTGTCTCTAATAATAATAATAACAGAGCGAGACTCTGTCTCTAATAATAATAATAATAACAGAGCGAGACTCTGTCTCTAATAATAATAATAATAACAGCGAGACTCTGTCTCTAATAATAATAATAATAACAGAGCGAGACTCTGTCTCTAATAATAATAATAATAACAGAGCGAGACTCTGTCTCTAATAATAATAATAATAACAGCGAGGCTCTGTCTCTAATAATAATAACAGAGCGAGACTCTGTCTCTAATAATAATAATAACAGCGAGACTCTGTCTCTAATAATAATAATAATAACAGCGAGACTCTGTCTCTAATAATAATAATAACAGAGCGAGACTCTGTCTCTAATAATAATAATAATAGAGCGAGACTCTGTCTCTAATAATAATAATAACAGCGAGACTGTCTCTAATAATAACAGAGCGAGACTCTGTCTCTAATAATAATAATAATAACAGAGCGAGACTGTGTCTCTAATAATAATAACAGAGCGAGACTCTAATAATAATAATAACAGAGCGAGACTCTGTCTCTAATAATAATAATAACAGCGAGACTCTGTCTCTAATATAATAACAGAGCGAGACTCTGTCTCTAATAATAATAATAACAGCGAGACTCTGTCTCTAATAATAATAATAACAGAGCGAGACTCTGTCTCAATAATAATAATAATAACAGAGTGAGACTCTGTCGCTAATAAGAAGAAGAAGAAGGGGGAGGAGAAAGAGGAAGGAGGAGGAGGAGGAAGAAGAGGAAGAAGAAGGAAGAAGGAAGCACTAGATGGGGCAGTGGTGTCGGGATAGTGCTCTGTGACCTTCCCTTTCTGGTGTTTTGTGTCTGGGTCAGGGTGGACGCTGGCAGTATGGCCTGTTGCGGCCTGCACCTGCTCCGGAGTTGGGAGCAGCCCCAAGCTGACCCCTGGCTCCTTTGTTCATTGCCCTTGGTTTCTGCTCCTGACAGAGGCCACAAGGGCTGAGATCAAGAGGCCATTTTCCAAAGCTGAGTTAAAAGCATCTGTTAGGCCCATGGAGGGCAGCCATTGCTGGGGTGGGGAAGGTGAACCTTCCCTCCTCCTCTGGGGTCTCCGGGTGGGTATGTTTGTGGCCCTGTGGCCCCTCTCATGGTGTGTGCTCTCTGTTCTGGGCAAGGTCCCAAGGCCACACGGAGGTTCCTGCAGACAAGATGAAGATGGCCCTTGGTGGATGTGCCCGGGGTCCTGACACCCAAGAGAAGAGATAGAAGGGCATGGCCCTGCAGGCGGTGCCCAGCCGGAAGGGGGCTCTGGAAGAGGACCTGGACTGTGAGCTCACAGACACTGGCCGGGGCAAGGGCTGTGTGGAAGAGAGGCACAAACTGAGAAAAAAAAAAGAATATCCGAAGAGAAAGGGGAGAAAGGGCTTCAGGACAAACGTGTGGGGAGATGCACTGGGGCGGCAGCACGAGAAGAGGGTGGCGGGGACGCTAGGGGCAAGCCTGAGACCCTCAGCTGTGGGGAGCGGAAGAGTGCAGGGGCCGCCGTGGGAGCTGGGGAGGAGCGCGCTCTGGGCAGTGGGATAGACAGAGCAGTTCCCACAGAAGAGGTGCGAAGCGTGGCCAGGAGCAGGTGCACAGTGAGGGCATGGTGCCCACCCCAGCACGGAGGACGAGCCAGGGCCACACTGAGCAGAAAGGAGAGTTACGGGCCAGGAGACAAGCACAGAACGAGGACGAGGATGTAAAAGAAGTGTGGGTGGGAAAAACCAAGAAAGAAGAAAGTGACAAATTAGGTAGTGGCACAAAAGTGGGACAGGAGGCCTTGGTTTCCAGAAAAGAAAAGAAGAGGGAGACAGACAAAGCTGGGGAAGAGGGGACTCGAAAACCAAAGAAATGAAAAGCTCAGGACCTGGAGGAAGACAGAGAAGTGCAGTGTGGGAGTGAGCTGGACGGGGCACCACAGCCAGCGGCGTGGCCTCGCCATTGCCCTGGGGCAAAGGGTGACTGGGAGGTGGGGGGCCTGGTGAAGAAGCCCCAAGAAGAGAAAGCTCAGGGCAGCCGGAAGCCAGCCAGAAGCAGAGAGAAGTGGAAGGAGGGGGAGCCAGTTGATGCTGGGGTGTCCAGAGGGAGAGAAGAAAGATGGCCAGGAGGCAGCTAAGCCACAGGAGGAGAGCCAGAAAGGGTGGGAGAAGGCCGAAGGCAGCAGGTGGAAATGGTGTGTACCCTACCCCACCCCTTCTCTCCCTCCATGTCCTGACGGGGTGGTGGGAATGCTGTGTAGACCAGTGCTGGGAGGGGGGGAATGCTGTGCAGACCGGTGCTGGGAGGGGGGAATGCTGTGTAGACCAGTGCTGGGAGTGTGGGAATGCTGTGTAGACCAGTGCTGGGAGGGGGGGAATGCTGTGTAGACCAGTGCTGGGAGTGGGGGAATGCTGTGTAGACCAGTGCTGGGAGTGGGGGAATGCTGTGTAGACCAGTGCTGGGAGTGGGGGAATGCTGTGTAGACCAGTGCTGGGAGTGGGGGAATGCTGTGTAGACCAGTGCTGGGACGGGGGAATGCTGTGTAGACCAGTGCTGGGACGGGGGAATGCTGTGTAGACCAGTGCTGGGAGTGGGGGAATGCTGTGTAGACCAGTGCTGGGACGGGGGAATGCTGTGTAGACCAGTGCTGGGAGTGGGGTAATGCTGTGTAGACCAGTGCTGGGACGGGGGGAATGCTGTGTAGACCAGTGCTGGGAGTGGGGGAATGCTGTGTAGACCAGTGCTGGGACGGGGGGAATGCTGTGTAGACCAGTGCTGGCAGGGGTGGAATGCTGTGTAGATCAGCGCTGGGAGCAGGGGAATGCAGTTTAGACCAGCACAGGCCCACTTCCCCTCCCTGTCCCTGGTGGGGGAGGCGGGGAGTGCTGTGTAGACCAGTGCTGGGAATGTGGGAATGCTACAGTGCTGGCCTTTGCCTGCCCACTGTAGGTTGCCAGGGAGCCTGGGTGCCCCCCAGAGTGCCCTCTTGCATCGGCAGCTTTGAGCTGTGGGTTGTAGGGTACTGGGAGCAGCCAGCAGTAAGTGAGTGTTTGCTGTGTGTCTGGCATTGCTTTTGGTCAGTCCTCTATGAAGTAGGTACTGCTATGTCCATTTTTCAGATGAGGAAACTGAGGTACAAAAAGGTTAAGTAACCGGGCCAAGGTCACATGGCCACAAGTGGGCCACACTGCAGTTGTAGCCGTCACCCCTGCTGTGTCCTGTACGCAGCCACGAGCTGCGCAGCTCTCCCAGTGGAGACGTGCTGGGGGTGTGATACGCACGCCTGCTTTGAGAAGAACGATGCATACCATCGCATTAGCATATTATGTTGAATGACAGTATTTTGGTTGAAATAGTTGAAATTAAGTATATTGTTAAGGTCAAAGTCACTGTTTCTTTTGCAGTGTGGCTTCTGGATGGGGTAAACTCCACCACTGCTCGCAGCTGTGTCTGCTGGGCGGCGCCGCCTCCCACCTGGGCAGTCCCTGCATAGCCTTGGAGCTCCGGCTTCTGGGTGGGAAACGTCTTTATAGGTATCAGCTCCTGCATTCAGCACCTGTTTGATTCTGGGGAAATTCTTTAAATTTTCTAAGCCTAGTTTCTCTCATGCAAAACAGGGGTCCTCCTACCTGCTGTGAGGAAGAGTGCGTGAAGCCCTGTCCCCGCTCCCTTGGGCAACCCCTGAGTGGCCTGGGGAAGAAGAGGGCACAAGGGGAGGAGGCCGCCAACCCCAGGAATATTGGCAGACAGTTCATAGAAACCCCTTCTGGTCTGCAGGCCCAGACTCCCCAACTGTGTCTCTGGCCTTGTGCAGTGGGTGCCACTTTTCCACGCCCTCCCCAGCATGTTGACTGCAGCCACCCAGGTGTGAGGTGACCTCACTGTGGGTTGGATTTGCATTTCTCCCATGGCTGATGATTTTGAGCATCTTTTTACAGGATTGTTGGCCTTTTATATCTCATCTTTGGAGAAATGTCTATTTAGATTATTTATCCCCCTTTTTAAAATTAACATTTTTTTTTTTTTGAGACGGAGTCTCATTTTGTTGCCCAGGCTGGAGTGCAATGGTGCGATCTCAGCTCACCACAGCCTCCACCTCCCGGGTTCAAGTGATTCTCCTGTTTCAGCCTCCCGAGTAGCTGGGATTACAGGCATGAGCCACCACGCCTAGCTAATTTTGAATTTTTAGTAGAGACGGGGTTTCTCCATGTTGGTCAGGCTGGTCCTGAACTCCCGACCTCAGGTGATCCGCCCGCCTTGGCCTCCCAAAGTGCTGAGATTACAGGCGTGAGCCACCAAGCCCAGCCAAAAAAAAAATTTTTTTTTAAGAGATGGAGCCTGTTGTTCAGGCTGGAGTGCAGTAGCCTGATCATAGCTCACTGCAGTCTTGAACTCCTGGGTTCAAGCAATCCTCCCACTCAGCCCCCTGAGTAGCTAGGACTACTGTAGCAGGACACGTTGCAGACAAAACCTCTCGGACACCGGTTTTAGGGAATAAGAGGTTTTAATCAGCTGGGAGCATCAGTAGAATCGCCTCTCAAGATCCGGGCTCCCCGAGGTCCAGATTCCTGTCCCTTTTAAGGGCTTACAACTCTAAGGGGTCCATGTGAAAGGGCCGTGATACATTGTGCAAGTGGGGGCTACGTAACTGGGGCCGCATGCACCGGTGATCAGAACAGAACCAAACAGGGAGTTACGCAATGCTTCCTCATAAGAAGTCTGGAATCTGTAGATAACAGAAGCGATTAGGTCCGGGCCGATCTTTAACTACCAGGCCTGGGGTGTGGCGCCGGGCTGTTTGACTATTGAATTTCACTTCTGCCTTTTCTTTAACTCCTACTTTTTCTTTTCTTTGAGGCAGAAATTAGGCAGAAGACAATATGAGAGGTGGTCTCCTCCCTTACTACAGGTGTACACCATCATGCCTGGCTAATTTAAAAATCTTTAGTACAGATGGGGTCTTGCTGTGTTCCCTGGGCCAGTTTTGAAGTTTTGAAATCAGCAAGTATGAATCCTCCAACTTTGTTATTCTTTTTCAAACATTGTTTTGGCTATTCTGGGTCCCTTGTATTTCCCTGTGAATTTTAGGATCAGGTTGTCAATTTCTGTAAAAACGCCAGCTGGAATTTAGATGGGGATTGTATTGAGTTTTTGGATCAGTTTGGGGAGTATTGCCGTCTTTTTTTTTGAGACGGAGTCTTGCTCTGTTGCCCACGCTGGAGTGTAGTAGCGTGATCTCGGCTCACTGCAAGCTCTGCCTCCTGGGTTCACGCCATTCTCCTGCCTCAGCCTCCCAAATAGCTGGGACTACAGGCGCCTGCTATCATGCCAGGCTAATTTTTTTAGTAGAGACGTTTTAGCCAGGATGGTCTCGATCTGACCTCGTGATCCGCCCGTCTCGGCCTCCCAAAGTGCTGGGATTACAGGCGTGAGCCACTGCACCTGGCCAATGCTGTCTTAACCATATGAAATCATCCAGTCCGTGAACATGGGATGGCTGCTCATTTATTTAGGCTGTCTTTAATTTCTTTGGGCAATGTTTTACAGTTTTCAGAGTATAAGCTTGATACTTCCTTTGTTAAATTTATTGTGCAGTATTTTATTTTTTCATGCTATAATAAATTATTTTCTTAATTTCATTTTCAGTTTGCGTATGGCTACTGGTTAGAAATACAACTGATGTTTGCATATTGATCTTGTACCCTACAATTGTGCTGAATTCATCTATTAGCTCTACTAGTTTTTGTGGATTCTTTTTTAAATTTTATTTTCCATAGAGATAGGGTCTCACTATGTTGCCCAGGCTGGTCTTGAACTCCTTGGCTCAAGTGATCCACTTGCTTTGACCTCCCAAAGTGCTTGGATTACAGGCATGAGCTACGGTGCTCGGCCAATTTTTGTGGATTCTTTGGGATTTTCTATATACAAGATTATGCCACCTGCAAATAGACATAATTTACTTCTTTCTTTCTGATCTGGGTGTCTTATTTCATCTGCTTGCCTGTTTGCTCAGTTAGAGCCTCTGGTACCATGTTGAGAGGCAGTGGTGAGAGTGGACATCCTCGTCTTATTCTTCATTTCAGCAGGAGCGTCCAGTCTTTCTTCTGGCATATGAGGTTAGCTGCGGGGTTTTGTAGATGCTGCTTTTCAGGTTAAGTTTCTTTCTATTCTGTTCTTGAGTGGGTTTTCCATTCTGTTTATCATGAAATGGTGCTGGATTTGTCTGCTGCTTTTTCTGCATCTATTGAGAAATCTTAGGGTTTTTGTCCTGCCACACTCCCTCTTACAAAACCTGAGGAACCAACTGGGCATCGGCTCACACCTGAAATCCCAGCACTTTGGGAGGCCAAGGTACTTGAGCCCAGGAGTTCGAGACCAGCCGGGGCAACATAGGGAGACCCCATCTCTACAAAAAGTAAAAAACAAAAAATCAAAAACCCTTAGAAACCTGAACTGGAAAACACATTGACCTCAGGATTCCGTTGAAGGAATGGTGGGCCTGGGCCAAGGCCCTCTTCTGGTTTGTAGAAAGGGTTACCTGAAAAAATATGCATCACTGTTCCGCAGCCCCTGGGAGGAGGTGGCCCACCTGGAGAGTCAGCTGCTGTGTCCTGGTGTGTGTGTACCTTCAGCTGCTGAGCTGCTCATTCTGAAATGATGGGACACCTACCAGGTCTGCCTGGGCCCTAAGAGCGAGCAATTGCAGCCCTCGGCCTCTGCCCATGGCTTCCAGCAGCTAGATGACATGGACACTGAGTCAGTTGGTGGCAGGGGAGGGTCGCTGAGGGCGTGCGGTGGCAGCCCGGACTCCTTTCCTGCCTGTGTCCACTGCATTCCCCCCAACGGTCACAGTGAAAGTGCGGAATGCATGTGAATTCATCTGCTTCCCACGGTCCTGGTGTCAGGGTTTTACCGGGGAAGACCAAGGCTGCGGTGCTGCCAGAGGTGAGCGGTGTGGCCTGTTGTGGCTCAGGGCCTACCGCCAAGTGCTGATCTAGAGGTTTTGCCCCTTGGCCATGCTCCCCAGTGAAGACACTGGGGTTAAACCCTGGTCAGGGTCAGCAGTCACGCTGGGGACTGAGCGCAGGAAGGAGGCTCCAGCTGTGCCTGGTCTCTGGTCTCCTTGGGAGTGAGAGGCTGGTTGGCAGGGATGATTTCGCAGGACTTCCTGTGACCTTTGTCCAGAGGCACCACCTCTGAGGGGCTGCTGTGGGCTGGACAGCAGGTGCTTCTGCCGGTTTCTGCGTCCTGGAAGTGCTGCTGTTTGTAGGGGATGAGGTAGGGGGCCATCTGAGCCTGTGTGGTCCCTTCTCCAGAGCAGCAGAGCGTGTACTTAGGAAGGACCTGCTAGGTGCCCCTGCCCTCAGAGGCTCTGGGAGAGAGCTGTGTGCAAGCCCTGGGCAGGAGTTCACTGGCCTGGTCGTGTGACCTGTGGGGCATCCTGACAGCCAGCCCTGTGCTGCAGAGGTCAGTGGGACTGGGTTTGGATCTGGGTCCCCGCCCAGCGTGAAGGGGCGCTGGACCACGAAGGCAGGGAAACCAGGGGGAGGCCGGCAGGACAGTCAGTGGTCCTGCTGCCGCAGCCCCGTGCAGGCTTAGACCGCCCAGCCTTGGGATGAGCGCCGCTGGGGGCGGAGGCCGCGCTCGGGGGCGGGGCTGGCCGCTGGGGGCGGGGCGGGGCTGGCCGCTGGGGCGGGGCCCAGCTTGTCGCTCTTTCCCGGAGGCTGGCAGATGCGCGTGGTGCGGCTGCTGCGGCTCCGGGCGGCTCTGACGCTGCTCGGGGAGGTCCCCCGCCGCCCGGCCTCCCGGGGTGTCCCGGGCTCGCGCAGGACGCAGAAGGGCAGTGGAGCCAGGTAAGGTGTCCCAGTGAGCAGGCGGCGAGGGCCCTGAGCACCGGGCTTGGGTAGGTCCAGAAAGGGGAGTGGCAGGCCTCGTGGGACGGCCTTGCCCTGCTTCCGGTTTTCCCAAAAGTCGGGCCAGGAGAGCATGCGTGCCGCGGTGTGACCGGCCCGCCTCCTGCCCGGGGTGTACAGGCCCCCCCATGACGTCGCCCTTGCTTCCCCAGGCACCACCCCACCAACCCTATTTGGGGAAATCTCCCCTCTTTTTTTCCGCTTGTGGTTTCATCATTTGTGTAGCTGTGCCTGGGCCTCAACACTGTAGGGTTTGGTTAGGTACTTTATAAAAAGCTTATGTTGCTGTGCATGGTCTTCTGAGACCCGCTCTTTCCTGGAGTCGGTTCCCGGGTTGTCTCCAGGACCGATTCTGCATGGCGGCGGGCGCTCACTGTCATATCTACATCACCAGGCACAAGCCGCATGGATCCAGTGGCCCTGGTGGCCGTTGGTGGTCCCAGGCGCTTTCCTGGAGGACATGTGAGAAGCCCTGCCGGCGCATACTGGGCCTGGGGTAGCCGCATGGGGATGGGTCTCTGCGCATGAAATGCTGGAGTTTCCGAAGAGCTGGAGAGTTGACAGCCTCACTGGTGCGTGGGAGATCCTGCAGGAGTTCCCGCCAGGTCTCGCGGTTTATCATCATTCACTTAGTGCTTCCAGCGTGGCATGTCTCTGTGACCTGGTGGTGCGCTATCAGCATACCCATTCACAGCTGAGGGCCTGCACAGCTGCCTAAGGCCATGCTGCAGAAATGTCCTGTCTGCCTGCAGGAGCTTGGGACCCAAAGAGAGCCCCAGATGGGGCAGGGTGTCTTGGGAGGAGGGAGTTCTGGCCTGCGCTTGGAGCTGGGGCTGGCTGTGGGCCCTGCATTGAGGCACATCTCTCCGAGGGTGCACAGGCAGGTAGGTGCTTTCCAAAAAGTGCTGCTGAGCTGCAGTCGCCCAGGTGGACAGGTGGGTTTGGAGCAAGGTCTCTGGCTTTGAAAGCCAGCTTGTGTCTGATGGTGGTGCTTGGTGCCCTGGTCTCTGCAGGGGTGAAAGAATGTCACTACAATGTGCAGCCCTCAGTTGGGCTTGAGCGCACACCCAGTGGTGCAGCCCTGCCTGGCCGCTGGCCGGCAGGTTGTTTCACCTCAGTGTCTTCATCTGTGAAATGAGACTGGTGATGTGACTACCCTAGAGGCTTTGTGAAGGACTTGGCAGTCAGGGTCACTGTCAGTTCTTTATTTTTATTTTTATTATTATTATTTGAGACAAAATCTTGCCCTGTCACCCAGGCTGGAGTGCAGTGGTGCAATTTCAACTCACTGCAACCTCTGCCTCCTGGGTTCAAGTGATTCTCCTGCTTCAGCCTCCTTGAGTAGCTGGGATTACAGGCACCCGCCACCACGCCTAGCTAATTTTTGTATTTTTAGTAGAGACGGGGGTTTTGCCATGTTGGCCAGGCGGGTCTCGAACTCCTGGCCTCAAGTGATCCGCCCGCCTCGGCCTCCCAAAGTGCTGGTATTACAGGCGTGAGTCACCGCGCCTGGCTCCTATCAGTTAGTTCCGAGATACACGTGGTTTCCCATTTTCTCACACCCGACATGATCCATCTTCCCTTATTCTCTAAGAAGGCGTTGTCTAGGTTTGCATCCTTCAGGGCACTTAGTGGTGCAGCCTCCTACCAGCCCCACCCTAGACATGCTGTATCAGGGCTGGTGGGCTCTCTTGAACTCCTAAAACCTGTAAGAAAGGTGAGGCTGGTCTCACCTGACGTGGAAAAGCTCTGCAGAGTCAGCAGAACCCCCCTCTCCCCGAGTCTCCCTCCAGACTCCAGCTGCCTGCAGCATCTGCCAGCTAGTTTTTTTGTACTTTCGCCATGTTGGCCAGGCTGGCCTTGAGCTCCTGAGCCTGCCTCAGCCTCCCAAAGTGCTGGGATCACAGGCGTGAGCCACCACGCCCGGCTCCACCCTGGAAGGTTCTTGAGCCCGTTAACTTCTCCCTACTTTATCAGCTCCGTCTCTACGTCTTCTAACCTTGCCCATTCCCTCCTCTGCAGAAACAGCCAGAAAGGCCCTTTCAGAAATGTCTGTTGCACATGCTTTCCCCTCTCAGACCCTTCAGAGACTTCCTGTTGCTCTGAGGACACTCATCCCAGCCGACCAGGCCCACCAGGCCCCCAACAGCACTACCTGGCTGGGGTCACGTGCAGGTCTCCTGGCTCTGGCAGGTGGGGGTGTGATCTGGAACCTTCTGTCCTTGTGCGTCTGGGGGAGGCTCAGAAGGTGTGCCCATCTCACTCTCCCCCATCCTGATGGTGCTCCCACCCTCTCGCCAAAGCCTCTCCCACTGAGGCCTTTGCACTGGCCATCCTGGGTGCTGGACTTGCTCTTCCCGCAGCCCTGCTGACCGAGCCTGCCCACTGCCTGCCAGCCACGCCCCATCTCGCTCCTCTTCTCCCAGGCCCATCTCAGAATCTAGGTTCAGTTGAGCCCTTCGTATGGGTTTTGGTGATCTGCATCCGCAGGACCCAGCGCAGTGCTGGTTCAGGGCAGGCTTGGGCTTGCCTCAATGGATAGATGATGACTGGCCTGGAGAGTTAGGATGGGCTGTAGCCGCCACGCTGGCTGTGTCCCCCCACCCCCTCCAACACCCCCCCAATCTCCAGAGCTGGGCTTGCCAGAAGGGGGCGCCCTGGGGAGGGGGACCTTGGCAGGGAGCCCTGTGGAGCCTCACTGTGTTAGTGCCTTACAAAAGGAGCCCTTCCCTGAAAACCCCTGAGGCTTCTGGCTTCAGGGCCTCCCCTCCCTGCCCCGCCTCCTCCACCCCGCCCTGCCTCTTCCACCCTTCCACCCTGCCCGATCCTCTGTGGGCGGCGGTCCTGCGCCCTGCTGTGGTGCCTCTCCACTGGCTGCACTGCTGGACCCCCTTCCACCCAGCTCCTCGGAGGCAGGGCTCTCTCATAAGCAGCCAGGTCCTTTATTTAGCAAATGAAATGGTCCCATGGAGAGGTTCCCGAAGATTCTAGACCGGCTCTGAAGGGACCCATCTGGGGAGAGGCCCTAGAGCCTGGGAGAGGCACGTTGCCTTTCCCACTTAGCTGGGCTTGCCCTTTCCCGCTTAGCTGGGCTTGGTGGGATCCGTGACTCAGCAGCACACGGGCCTCTGCAGGTGGGGGGCATGGGCGGGTACACGGGCATGGGGTCTGAGGTCAGGTAGGGTTGCCTCCCTCTGCAGGCCTTGTTTTCCTCCCCCGTGAGGTGGAGGCCACACTGCTCACCTGCTAGGAGCCACAGGGAGGAGCCACTGTGGGAGCGGGGAAGAGGCTCATGCAGGGCCTGGCCCAGGAGAGTGACACGTCCTGTCTCCGTCTTTAGGTGGGAGAAGGAGAAGCACGAAGACGGGGTGAAGTGGAGACAGCTGGAGCACAAGGGCCCGTACTTCGCACCCCCATACGAGCCCCTTCCCGACGGAGTGCGTTTCTTCTATGAAGGTAAGGATGCAGGGAGCGGCTCCTCCCCAGCCTGCGCTTGGTTCCCTGGGCGTGGGCTCCCAGTGGGCATCTGGCTCGCTCCCTCAGCCCCCCTGCAGGCTTCTGGCTATGAGCGCTCTGTGCCCTCTTCTTGCAGGTGATGCGTGGGGGCTGCTGACCAACTGACCCATGCTCAGAGGGTGGCAGTTCGGGGGCTCCCGTCCCTGCCTTTCCTGCTGAGCCTGCACTGGCTGTGCCTGTTGTGTCCAGGACCCTCTGGGCAAAGCGGACCCCCCCTCCCTCCCCCCGCACCACTGTGTTCCCTGTGTGTTCTGAGTATACACAGTACGTACACTGCGTGTACACACATGGATCACAGAACGGTCACTTGACCCCAGCTTGTGATTCTCAGCAAGAAGCGGAGCCCGTGGTTGACATGAGCGCTGAGCCACCCTCAGAGGCAGGACCCGGGGGCTCTGGGGCAGCAGGGCCCACACACCCCTCCTGCCCTTGAGCCCTCCTCTCTACCCCAGGGCCCAGGAGCTTTGGCTTGGCTCTTGTGCTGCTGATTTTAGCTGCTTCAGCCTATTTTCTTCATCTCTGCTAGAAGGCATCCTTCTAAGAAAAGCAAACCTCTTCTCCCCCAGGGCAGGCCCCCACGCCATGCTGTGCCCCTCCCACCAGCCCTCCCGTGGGCCCCCTGCCGAGTCACATGCACACCTGAGTTTGCTGAGCTCCTTTGATGCAATGTTTTGTTCAAAGCCTGTTTCTCCAAAGCGGTACTGGAGCTTCCACAGGGACAGAGGTTCTAGCTGTGTCTGTGGGGGCTGCCCACGGGAGGCCATGGGACCTTACTGAGCGTCTCGCGCTGTGCCCCTGGCCTGGTGTAGCGGCTGCCTCGCCTGCCCCACAGCAGCCCTGCAGGACCTCCCTGGCCAGGAGGGACATGGCAGGCGAGGACTGCTTATGCAGGGCCATGGTGGACAGTCCGGGGAGTGGTGGTGTCGCGTGGGGCCCAGTGGGGCCGAGCCTCCACAGAGGGGCAGTGGGAGCTGAGCCCCTCGGGCCTGTGCTGCTGGTCTCTGGGCCTCTCGTCCTCTGTCCTGAGAAGCTAGTTTGGGGAAGGATTGCTGCTGTTTATCAGAAATGCCTTCCTCCTTCTTACCAAATGATTATGCATTTATTTCTCTAAAATTTTCTTATGAAAGCTTTTCAGACGTGCAGTTGAAAGAATTCCTGGTGAACACCCTCGTTCCCACCACGAGCCTCTCACTCTGCTCGCCTGCTCCCAGCTCACCCCCCATCTCTAAACCACACTGATCTTAGAATAAAATGCAGGGAATGGTGGGACAGAGGCCGCAGAGTTGTAAAAGGGTACACCTAGTTATTCAGTTTTCTGCTTTGAAGCCTTAACTTTTATTTTACTTGTGAAATTTTGTGGAAATTGGTGTGTTTTAAAATTGTACATGTTCCATTTTCATGTAATATAAATGTAGTAGCAACGTTAAGTGGTAAAGGAGGAGAAAGCAGTAGCGCCTGAAATCTTCTGCAGCTTTCTCACGACCCGCTCCCAGATCACTGTGGTCGCCACCTCCACGCAGGTTGATTGTCGTGTGTCATGCAGAACATGCTTCTGAACTTACAGAAGAAGGCCTAGCTTCTTGCTCTTGGCATAGTACGCACGAAAGCGTAGTTTAAAGCAATGAGGTCATGTCAGCTGGAGGCCGAGCCTCTGGCCGCTCTCTCATACGATGTGTCTTCCGATGCCTGCAGGAAGGCCTGTGAGATTGAGCGTGGCAGCGGAGGAGGTCGCCACTTTTTATGGGAGGATGTTAGATCATGAATACACAACAAAGGAGGTTTTCCGGAAGAACTTCTTCAATGACTGGCGAAAGGTAGGTACCCTGGGCGGCCGCCACAGCTGTCCTGGACCTGGCTGGCTAGGCGTCTGCGGTTCTGCAGTGCTGCCTCTGAACGCCCCTCGCAAGTTCTCGGTGGCCCCTGTGTGACCACTCACAGGTGCCGTCATGGCTCTTTGCAGCTTCGAGCTCCTGGGCTCAAGCCATCCTCCTGTCTCGGCCTCCTGAGTAGCTGGGACCATAGGCGGTGCCAGTGTGTCCAGCCTAGTGCACCTCAGACCTTTCCCTTCCCAGGCAGGCTGTGGATGTGGAGGCCGATTTGTGGTCCTTACTCCATGGACCGCTGAAAGGACAGGGGTCTGGCATATAAGAAGGAGAGTAGAGGAGGCCGCATGCCATTTCCCAGCCCCCAGGAAGACATGCTTGGCGAGAAGCTCTTTGGAGGGGAGGGTGCTGCCTCAAGGCTTTTTCCTTGCTCATTTTCAAGGTGACTGCCCTTCGCCCATGGCCTGACTGATTTTATGTGTGTGCCGCGGATTCTGTGCCCTCCGGGGTTTCTGTCTGCCCCACACCTGCGAGGCTCGCCCCTGACTGCTTGTCCCGCAGCATCTTCCTGGCTCTGGCCGGGTCGCGTTTCCTCTGTTCCGTGACTCATGCTAGTCCATTTCCCTATTCGTGGGTGTTTGATTAATTCCTGTTTTAGGCCTTTGCATGTGTAAAGCTGCCATGAACATTCCCACGTGGGTGAGGGCACATATGTGTGAGTTGCCTCTGACAGGACTTGGGGTGAAATTGCTGGGTCACGTGTGTCCAGCTTACTAGCAACACCAGGCTGAACTGTCCACACGCCTGCCGCGGGTGCGAGGCACCTTTCTAGTGGGCACAAAATGACACCTCGCCGTGGGTGTGGTTTGCGTTTCCCTAATGACAAGTGATATTAAGCATCTTTTGGTGTACTGACGTGTCATTTCAGTATTTTCTTTCGTGAACTTTTGTCTATTTAAAAAACTGAGTTGCTTGCGTATTCCTCGCTCATTTATCGGAGTTTTAAAAACGCATCCTGGGTGCAGGTTCTTTGCCAGACGCACATGCTGTGAATGTCATCTCCCAGACTTTGCCTTTTCACTTCTCAGTGAGGTCTCCAAACAGAAAACTGTAACTTAGTTATGCCGTTTATCAATCTGTCTTTTATGGTGAGTACTTTTGTGTCCTGTTTTAAGTCCATTATCAGAAATATGATTTGCAAAAATCTTTCATGGTGTTTGTAGTTTCTATTTGCGTTCTCTTAACAATGTCTTTGGAAGGTCAGGAGTTTGGAATACTGATGAGGTCCCACGTTTCATGTTTTGTCACAGGTTTGCTTTTGTTGTTTTGTCTAAGAAATCTGCTGAATTCGGCAGCACAGAGATTTCCTCCTATGTTTTTCCTAGAAGTTTTGGTTTTAGGTTTCCATTGAGGTCAGCTTGGTTTAGGTGGAACTCTGAGTTAATTTTGGTTATAGTGTGGGGTAGAGGCCGAGGCTCGTGTGTTGCATGTGGGTGTCTGACTGCCCCGAGCCAGCTGCTGGAGCCTGTGCTTCCTTGTCCCCTGTGCAGGCTCCGCTTCTGGACCCTCTTCTTTGGCCTGATGCCACCCCTCTGCCTTTCACGACAGCTTTGTGAGGTGGCACCAGCTGCCCGGCATCCTCATTCTCCCTCTGGTCAGCACTTCTTCCAGTCACTAGCAGAGCTAGGAAGGGAGGCAGTGTCACAAAGCAGCAGAACAGGAGTGGGTGGCACATCCGGCGGCCCCGGGAGACACAGGGACGGACCCTGAGCCCGTGGTTGTGGCCGAGCAGGGCTCCATCCTGGCACAGATGGTGTCGTACCTGAGCTCCTCGGAAGAGGCGGATCATCCCCATCCCACAGCGAGACACGTTTGACAGCAGCTCCTGAGGTCTCACAGGCCTAAGTGGCCGAGCCTGGACTGGGACCGTGAGCTGGTGCCCGCAAGCCTGGGCTTTTGTCCATGGGCTGTGCAGAGTTTTTGTTGTGTAGGAAACGAAAGGAGAAACAGTTGCCTGTGATCTGCGGCTCTCCCTCAGGTCAGTGTCTCCTGTTCCCGCGTCCTGGCTTTTCCTGGGCACTAGTTTTCGTGTGAGTGTGATCAGTGTGCCTGTAATGTTTTCCCCACTTAGCATTTTATCCCGCTTAGTCTCCACACGGGTAGATCATCGTCAAACTGTTTTCTGCTGTGCTTTCCAAAATTCACCTTGAAACTGAATCCCCAGCACCACAGGACAGAGGGAGGGCCTTTAGGAGCTGATTGGGCTGTGAGGACTCCACCTTGCTGCAGCCCTTAGGATTAATTTAGGGCCTTAGGGCAGGGCTGGGTGGAATTAGCTGGGCCCCTTCTGTCCTTCTGTCCCCTCCACTGTGTGAGGACAGCCTTCAGGGCATCCTCTCAGAAGCAGGGACTGGGCCCTCCATAGACGTCAAATGCTGGGACCCTGATCCCAGCCTTCCAGCCCCCAGAGCTGTGACTATGATTTACAACTGACCAGTCCCCGGTATTTTGTGGCAGCAGCACGTATGGACTGAGACTTTGCCCTCGCGAATCCCGTCACGTTCACCAGATGAGCTCCCGACCATGTATCCTGCTCTGTCCGGTCATGACGTTTCTGCAGTTGCCCTTAGTGCGGTCGTCATCCGGGTTTTCATACTGGAGAGTTTATTTAGGATGGATCTCAAAGTGGAATTATTGGGTGCAAAGGTTTTAGCCAGTTTTACTACTGACTTGTTGTGAAGTTGCTTTTGGAGAACTGTGCCCTCCGCTGCCCCACCCAACTCCATGCCTGCAATAACAGAACCAGCTCTATCTGTGGGGTCTGCGGGGAGAGGCTCTATTTACGGGGCCGCAGGACCGTGCGCAGGTTCTGCCTATTGCACACACGCCTCCGTCGGACATGGCGAGAGCGCGTTTCTGTCCGTCAGACATGGCGAGAGCGCTCTGCATGTCTGTCCTTCAGACATGGTGAGAGCGCGTGTCTGTGGTTTTTGCAGGAAATGGCGGTGGAAGAGAGGGAAGTCATCAAGAGCCTGGACAAGTGTGACTTCACGGAGATCCACAGATACTTTGTGGACAAGGCCGCAGCCCGGAAAGTCCTGAGCAGGGAGGAGAAGCAGGTTGGGCTGCCTCGAGCGTTGTGTGACCTGAAGTGGCCCCTGGGAACGAGAGGCCGGCCTGGCCCAAAGACTGAGAAAGGCCTGTGGCCTTAGAGAAGCCCCTTCTCACAAAGCTGCTCTTTTCTCGTCAGCCTTAGCGCCCCTGCATGTGCTTAAGTGTCGTTCCGCTTCCCCAGAGCACATTTGAGAGTAAACCCGGTTTGAAATGGATAATTTACCATCATTGATCAAGGGTGGGTTCCCAGACGGGCCGTGGGCTGAGGGCGGGGCTTGTGCAGGCCAGTCGGCTTCTTGCTGTTCTGTGCCATGCGTCTCCCTACATCTAACAGGAACCTGCCGTGCTGTGATCTCCATGTGGCCTTCTCAGGGATTCCCTTAGCCCTCCTCCTCCATGGCGGGCAGCCACGCTCCCTCCACCTGGCTTTACTGCTTAGGCCTAAAACAGCCGAAGTCTGTGCAGGGGCCGGGGAGTCCAGGCCATGGGGTGGTTAGGCCATGGCTCTCGGTGCCCCCTGCAAGCCCACCTGCACTGTCCCCTGCCCCTGCAACCTCCATGGATTGTGAAGGGCTTTGAGGGTCCAGCTGAGTTAGCCAGACAGAGCAGGGTGGTCCCGGGTTAGCAACAACGGACTGAGGCCTGTTCTCTTCTCTTCACTGCTAATGTCCACTGACTGTTTTATTAACTCAGAAGCTAAAAGAAGAGGCAGAAAAACTTCAGCAAGAGTTCGGCTACTGTATTTTAGATGGTCACCAAGAAAAAATAGGCAACTTCAAGATTGAGCCGCCTGGCTTGTTCCGTGGCCGTGGCGACCATCCCAAGATGGGGATGCTGAAGAGAAGGATCACGCCAGAGGATGTGGTTATCAACTGCAGCAGGTGCGTGGCCGGGCGGGCAGCAGGCGGGCACTGGACCCCCGCCACCCGGGTGAGGCTGGCTTTTCTTCACCTCCTGGGAGAGGGAGGCACACCGAGAAACATGTGGTTGGTGACCCCCACACCATTCCTGTGGAGCTCAGCCTGTAGGCGTGGCCGGGCAAGGGCGGCCTTCCCAGGGTGCTTCCCACGGGGTCGGAAGTCCTCGCCTTGCTATGGCTGAGACTTTCTCCCGCCAAGGACACCTCCATGTGGTTTTCATATCCCACACCATCTGGATGGCCCAGTAGCATTAGGTGTTTTGAACTTATTGGAGGGACATTCCAAGTGGTGGAGAGGGGACTGCTGGGCCACATGTTGTACTGTGTGACCACAGGGTGGAGTAGGGACCCTGCCTGCAGGACCCCCAGTGGCCAGGCTGTGTGGGGCAGGGCACTCGTCGTCCCAGTTGGTGCTGAGAGGTCTGTGCAGAGCGGTGCCTTGCTTGGGTGGCCGCCCAGCCTCCTGGTGCACTGTGGCCTTCCTGTGTGTGCAGAGGGTAGATTGAGTGGCTGCTTTTGTCTGAGCTGCCAGGCAGGCCACCTCTGATGCCAGACTCGGTCAGGAGCCATGCCACCACCATAGCCACCACGTGGGACGGTTGACCAGAGCAGCTCCTTTTGCTTGCATTCCAGAGAATAAGGTCTCCAAGTTATGTTTGGGTCGTTGTTCTGCTGCAGGGACTCGAAGATCCCCGAGCCGCCGGCGGGGCACCAGTGGAAGGAGGTGCGCTCCGATAACACCGTCACGTGGCTGGCAGCTTGGACCGAGAGCGTTCAGAACTCCATCAAGTACATCATGCTGAACCCTTGCTCGAAGCTGAAGGTGAGCGCAGGGCTTGGCAGGGTGTTTCCTCCCCAGGAGGTCCCCCTGAGGACGCCGGCAGGGAGGTGTGTAAGCCGGGCACCGGCAGAGGCTTCTGAGATGGGCTGGGAGTCGGCCAGCCCGTGCTGAGGTCATGCTGTGCCAGCAGGCACAAGCCCCAAAGCCAGGAGTGGGCATGGGTGCTCACTGCCGGCATCACCCAGCTAGATTTGCTGCCCCAGCCCCTGACCACGGCACCACTGAGTGGAGAAGCACGAGGTTTGGGGGAGGGAGAGTTGACAGCCTCCTCCGTTATTTAACAGGAATGTGAATGTTTTCTTTCCTGTTATTTTCTTCGTTTAGGGGGAGACAGCTTGGCAGAAGTTTGAAACAGCTCGACGCCTGCGGGGATTTGTGGACGAGATCCGCTCCCAGTACCGGGCTGACTGGAAGTCTCGGGAAATGAAGACGAGACAGCGGGCGGTGGCCCTGTATTTCATCGATAAGGTATGCGGCCTTCTCGCTTCCTGGCGGCTCTTCATCCTGGTTCTCCTGGCGAGGACTCCCAGTTGGATGGTGCAGTGTGGCGACGTGGGCCTGTGTGTGGGGTGGAACCTCATTCTGATGGGGGGGGTGTGTGCATGTGCACACGTGTGTGGGTGTGAACATGTGTGTAGGGTGTGCATGTGCATTGTGTGGTGTGTGTGCACTTGTGCGTGTGGTGTGCCTGTGTGTGGCATGTCTGTGTGGGGCGTGCATGTGTGTGGCGTGCATGTGTGTGTGGCGTGCATGTGTGTGGTGTGCCTGTGTGTGTGGCGTGCATGTGTGTGGCGTGCGTGTGTGGTGAGCATGTGTGTGGCGTGCGTGTGGCGTGCGTGTGTGGCGTGCCTGTGTGTGTGGCGTGCGTGTGTGTGTGGCGTGCCTGTGTGTGTGGCGTGCATGTGTGTGGCGTGCGTGTGTGGTGAGCATGTGTGTGGCGTGCATGTGTGTGTGGCGTGCCTGTGTGGCGTGCATGTGTGTGGCGTGCGTGTGTGGTGAGCATGTGTGTGGCGTGCGTGTGGCGTGCGTGTGTGGCGTGCCTGTGTGTGTGGCGTGCGTGTGTGGCGTGCCTGTGTGTGTGGCATGCATCTGTGTGGCGTGCCTGTGGGTGTGGCGTGCATGTGTGTGGCGTGCATGTGTGTGGCGTGCGTGTGGTGAGCATGTGTGTGGCGTGCGTGTGTGGCGTGCGTGTGTGGCGTGCATGTGTGTGGCGTGCCTGTGTGTGTGGCGTGCCTGTGTGTGGCGTGCCTGTGTGGCGTGCCTGTGTGTGGCATGCGTGTGTGGCGTGCCTGTGTGTGTGGCGTGCCTGTGTGGCGTGCCTGTGTGTGGTGTGCCTGTGTGTGTGGCGTGCATGTGTGGCGTGCGTGTTTGGCATGCCTGTGTGTGGCGTGCGTGTGTGGTGTGCCTGTGTGTGGCGTGCCTGTGTGGCGTGCATGTGTGTGTGTGCATGTGTGTGGCGTGCCTGTGTGTGGCGTGCGTGTGTGGCGTGCGTGCGTGTGTGGCGTGCGTGTGTGGCGTGTGTGGCGTGCCTGTGTGTGGCGTGCGTGTGTGGCGTGCGTGTGTGGCGTGCGTGTGGCGTGCGTGTGTTGCGTGCGTGTGGCGTGCGTGTGTGTTGCGTGCGTGTGTGGTGTGCGTGTGTGGCGTGCCTGTGTGTGGCATGCATGTGTGTGTGCATGTGTGTGGCGTGCCTGTGTGTGGCGTGCGTGTGTGGCGTGCGTGCGTGTGTGGCGTGTGTGGCGTGCCTGTGTGTGGCGTGCGTGTGGCGTGCGTGTGGCGTGCGTGTGTGGCGTGCGTGTGTGGCGTGCGTGTGTGGTGTGCGTGTGGCGTGTGTGTGTGACGTGCCTGTGTGGCATGCATGTGTGTGGCCTGCATGTGTGTGGCGTGCATGTGTGTGGCGTGTCTGTGTGTGGCGTGCGTGTGTGTGGCGTGCATCTTTGGCGTGCCTGTTGTGTGGCGTGCCTGTGTGTGTGGCGTGCGTGTGGCGTGCCTGTGTGGCGTGCCTGTGTGGCATGCCTGTGTGTGGCGTGCGTGTGGTGTGCATGTGTGTGGCGTGCGTGTGTGGTGAGCATGTGTGTGGCGTGCGTGTGTGGCGTGCCTGTGTGTGTGGCGTGCGTGTGTGGCGTGCCTGTGTGTGTGGCATGCATCTGTATGGCGTGCCTGTGGGTGTGGCGTGCATGTGTGTGGCGTGCATGTGTGTGGCGTGTGTGTGTGGCGTGCGTGTGTGGCATGCATGTGTGTGGCGTGCCTGTGTGTGGCGTGCCTGTGTGTGTGGCGTGCCTGTGTGGCGTGCGTGTGGCATGCGTGTGTGGCGTGCGTGTGGCGTGCCTGTGTGGCGTGCCTGTGTGTGTGGCGTGCATGTGTGGCGTGCGTGTTTGGCATGCCTGTGTGTGGCGTGCGTGTGTGGCGTGCCTGTGTGTGTGGCATGCATCTGTATGGCGTGCCTGTGGGTGTGGCGTGCATGTGTGTGGCGTGCATGTGTGTGGCGTGCGTGTGGTGAGCATGTGTGTGGCGTGCGTGTGTGGCGTGCGTGTGTGGCGTGCATGTGTGTGGCGTGCCTGTGTGTGTGGCGTGCCTGTGTGTGGCGTGCGTGTGGTGTGCGTGTGGCATGCGTGTGTGGCGTGCGTGTGGCGTGTGTGTGTAGCGTGCGTGTGTGTGTAGCGTGCGTGTGTGGCGTGCGTGTGTGGCGTGCGTGTGTGTGGCGTGCCTGTGTTTGTGGCGTGCGTGTGTGGCGTACCTGTGTGTGGCGTGCGTGTGTGGCATGTGTGCGTGGCGTGCGTGCGTGGCGTGCGTGTGTGGCGTGCGTGTGTGTGGCGTGCCTGTGTGTGGCGTGCCTGTGTGTGGCGTGCGTGTGGCGTGCGTGCGTGTGGCGTGCGTGCGTGTGGCGTGCCTGTGTGGCGTGCGTGTGTGTGGCGTGCGTGTGTGGCGTGCGTGTGTGTGGCGTGCGTGTGTGGAGTGCGTGTGTGTGGCGTGCGTGTGTGGCGTGCGTGTGGCGTGCGTGTGTGGCGTGCGTGTGTGTGGCGTGCGTGTGTGTGGCGTGCGTGTGCACGCACCACCCACTTTGACCATTCCCCACCAACTAGCTGGCACTGAGAGCAGGAAATGAGAAGGAGGACGGTGAGGCGGCCGACACCGTGGGCTGCTGTTCCCTCCGCGTGGAGCACGTCCAGCTGCACCCGGAGGCCGATGGCTGCCAACACGTGGTGGAATTTGACTTCCTGGGGAAGGACTGCATCCGCTACTACAACAGAGTGCCGGTGGAGAAGCCGGTGAGTGCCCTCGCGCCAGCTGCCCCCGCTATGTGACACGTATTTGCTCTGGATGTCTGGGGGCGTGCCGGAGCTGCCGTGGGGTCTGTGGCCCGTTTGCCACGTCCTGCCTGCTGGGTGAGGCCTGCTGTGCCGGGGCTGATCGGGGTAAAGGTGAAGGAGAGGCTGTGCACCATGGTAGACCCAAGGGTTCACAAGGGAGCTGGTCGGGGGCTGAAAAGGGCACGTGTGTCACGCCAGCTTCGTCTCCTGCCCCCCGGCCGGAGCATCTCCCAGGGCTGCTGGAGGAAGGCACTGCAGACCCAGTGGTTTAACAGACGTTTATTGTCGCTCAGCCCTGGGGGCCAGAGTCTGAGTCAAGGTGCTGGCAGAGCCACATCCCGCCCACACTCGGGGAGGATCCTCCTGCCTTCCCAGCATCTGGTGGGGCCACGGATCCTGCGTGTCCTTGGCCTGAGGCTGCCTCATCCCAGTCTCTGCCTCCGTTGTCACATGGCCATCTTCTCCCTGCATCTCTGCCTCTGCGTGTTCTCACAAGGACGCTGTCGTATTGGAGTTAGGGCCCAGCCCACTCTTTCTATGACTTCATCTTATCAGTCTCTAAAGACCCTGTTTTTAAATAAGGTCACGTTCTGGCCAGGCATGGTGGTGCACTCCTGTAATCTCAGTGCTTCGGGAGGCTGAGGTGGGAGGATCACTTGAGCCCAGGAGTTTGAGACCACTTGGGCAACATAATGAGACCCTGTCTCTGAAATAATAATTTAAAAAAACAGCCGGGCAAGGTGGCTCACGCCTGTAATCCCAGCACTTTGGGAGGCCAAGGCGGGTGGATCACGAGGTCAGGAGATCGAGACCATCCTGGCTAACATGGTGAAACCCCGTCTCTACTAAAAATACAAAAAAAATTAGCCGGGCATCGTGGCGAGCGCCTATAGTCCCAGCTACTTGAGAGGCTGAGGCAGGAGAATGGCGTGAACCCAGGAGGCGGAGCTTGCAGTGAGCCAAGATGGCACCACTGCACTCCTGCCTGGGTGACAAAATGAGACCCTGTCTTCTTTAAATTTTTTTTCTTTTTTCAAGACGGTGTCTCGCACTGTTGCTCAGGCTGGAGTACAGTGGTGAGATCTTGGCTGACTGCGACCTCCGCCTCCTGGGTTCAAGCGATTCTCCTGCCTCAGCCTCCCGAGTAGCTGGGATTACAGGTGCCTGCCACCAAGCTCAGCTGATTTTTGTATTCTTAGTAGAGACAGGGTTTCACCATGTTGGCCAGGCTGGTGTTGAACTCTTGACCTCGTGATCTACCTGCCTCAGCCTTCCAGAGTGCTGGCATTACAGGCATGAGCCACTGTGGCTGGCTGAGACCGTTCTAAAAAAAAAAAAAGGTTACATTCTGAGGTTCTGGTGAGGATATGAATTTCGGGAACACTTTTCACCCCAGTACACCTGGGAGGGGCTGCCCTCTTTCCTCTGCTGCAGGGACTAGTGGCTGCCCACCACCCCCACAGCCCCTAGCTCCACCAGCATAGATGCCCAGAGGGATGAGTGTGGTCGGGAAGGGCTGGGTAGATCTCTGGTCTCCAGACTGGCTTGAAGGAAGACTGGAACCTGGGGAGCATCCTCACCTTTGAATGGCTGTCCTGAAGAGTCACGGTGTCCCCTGTCTGGGTGGGCGCCACGTCGCAGTGACGTTGGACAGATCCACGCACGAACTCCCTGCACCTCAAAAGCACAAATGTGACTCAGGCTGGGCGCAAGGCCCACACCTGTAGTCCAGACACCTTGGGAGGGCTAGGTGGGAGGGTTGCTGGAGCCCAGGAGTTGGAGGCGGCAGTGAGCTATGATTGTGCCACTGCACTCCAGCCCAAGTGACAGAGCCAGACCTAGTCTCTAAAAATTAAAAAAAAAAATAAAAAAATTAATGTGACCCAACCGTGGGATGGAGTGGAGCCGTTGAAAAACAGAAATGGAAGTTTGGGGACAGGTGTTGAGGGCAGCAGAGAAACAGGAGTCCCTGGCAGGGCCCGGCCTCAGGCAGTCTGGTCGGGAAGTCATTCCTAAGGAATGAATTAATCGGAGGTAGGAGACAGAAGCCAACACACGAAAGGAAGAGGCAAGGAGGTGCTCACCACAGTGCCCCTGCCGTGGTGAAGCATCGGCTGTGGTGCAGGCCTGGATGGGGAGTTGCACTCTGTCCAGACAGAGGACTAGCCAGCCATTTGCAGTGCTGTCCAGGGGAGCACTCGGTAACGGAATGCATGTGATGTAGAGAAAAAGGCGGGACATAAAGCCTCGTCAAGATCAGCGGTGTGAAACCAAACGTGTAGAGGAAGATGAGGGAAGAAGCCAGAAGTCGGGAGCTGTGGGCTGGGGCTTCCCGCCATGTCCCGGTGCCTGTGGGTTTGTAGAATGGGGTTCATCAGCCATGGTGCCAGGCTGATGAGGGGGCCAGTTGGGGGTGCGGGGCCTCCTGCCCGTGTCTGGTGAGGGAGGGCTGCCATGCTGGTGCTGGAGAGAGCAACACAGAGGCCACAGCAACCTCCGCCCTGGAGCCGATGCCCAGCGCTCAGGGAGGGTGCCTGCCACTTGTAGGAGGACCAGCAGGTGAAACTGAGGGGAGGGCAGGCATGGGTGCAGGTGCAGGCTGGCGTTTCCTCGGAGCAGGGTTGGTCTTTCCAGAAGGGAATTAATGTCCTCTCCCCAAAGGGACTGGTGGAGGGAGGTTGGACACAGGAACCCCGAAGGCCCTGAGGTCCTGTGATGTCAGATGAGTGTCTCACATTACAAGGGTGTGGGCTCACCTGGTGGAAATCCGGCATTGATGGAAGAAGGAGCCGGGGACTCTGGGCCACCTGCCGCGGTCACCCAGGGGGTTTGCAGGGCAGGAGTCACGCCCACCTCCTGAGCACGCTGCCTGTGCGTGTGGTAGCGGTGACTGCCACACTGGAGGGTGGGGGCCGTGTCACGGGAGGATGCCGACAGGTGACGGTGATGCTGCTCGGGCCACCTTCCTCAGGGAAGCCTCCCGTGGGCTCCCAGGCTCTGCGTAGACGCCCTTCAGGTCCTCACTGGATTCGGGTTTTTTCTGTCCTCTGAAATTCCTTCTTTCTCCTTCAGGTGTACAAGAACTTACAGCTCTTTATGGAGAACAAGGACCCCCGGGACGACCTCTTCGACAGGCTGACCGTAAGCCGGCTCGTGTTTCCTCAGCAGTGGGCGGCGGCAGGACCCAGTGAGAGGGCGTGGGCGCTGAGTCTGGCCCAGGGTTTTGTCCTGACCCAACGGCTGACATGTCCTTTCCTTCCCGCGGGAGGCTGGGACGGCCCCGCAAAACCACGTAATTATAGAGACCATTTTCCTCCCCAGACGACCAGCCTGAACAAGCACCTCCAGGAGCTGATGGACGGGCTGACGGCCAAGGTGTTCCGGACCTACAACGCCTCCATCACTCTGCAGGAGCAGCTGCGGGCCCTGACGCGCGGTGAGCCTGCCCCACACCCACACTCAGCGCGGGGGGAGCACGGCCCCTGCCCCAGACCGGGCTCCCCGGCTGGCCCTTGTTGAGTGAGCCTCGGGGTGGGGCCGCTTCTTTGGGAAATGGGCTGAGGTTGTGGGCTGGCTGCTTGGCAGCCTAGGTGGCCAGAGTCCTGGGGAGGAGGAGGGAGGTTCTGGCTCTCGGGACCCCAGGCATCCCAGCCACGTTCTCCCTGCGGGGCGGCCCCTACTGCTGAGCCCTACTCAGGCCCCATGGCCTGGTGGTGTTCCTCAGCTCCTCCTCAGGGTTCTTTCTTGAAGGCCCAGGAGGCCTCTGCACTTTCCAGTGGTTCTGTCCCTCCCACCCTCAGCTGTCTGAGCACCCCGACCTCTGGGCCTCTGTCCACGGCCCTGTCTCAGCTTCAGGGCCCTCTGCTCTTTGTCCCCTGCCATCAACCTGGGGATGCTGTCTAAGCTTGGCGAGGGCCTCTCCTCCCTCTGTCCCTGGCGCTGCCCCTGCTCCGTGATGTCCGGGCTGCTCTGTGATGTCCGGGCAGATTGGACGCACAGACTGTCCAGAGGGTGCCTCCCACCCCGGCGCCCACCGCACTCCCCAAGCAGGGCTTCCTGGAGGAGGCGCCGAGGCTGGGTGCTCAGGGGCGCTGACGCTCGGCATGTGTTTCGCGTGCACCCGTGGGCCTCAGAGGCCGGTGCTGTGCTGCCCTGGGGACAACCTTGGAGCTGGGGCAGCACTGGGGCTGTGGGATGCGGAGGAGCTAGCTGGCATCCAGGTGAGAGCCCCAGGAGAGGAGACGCCCCCTCCACTGAGGGAGGCAGAAGATTCTGGGTGAGGGCATAGGGGCCGAGGCCGGGCCTGGGAGAGGAAATGAAGGTGCTGGGCCCACTGTGGACGTGCTTCCAGAGCTGGGTGGGCCATGCAGGATGGGCGTGAAGGAGTGGCCGCTCCAGTAGGTGCCTTGGGGCCAGTGCTTACGTTCTCTGAACCTCATTCTTGACTGGAAAATGGAGACAACGTGGTACCTTGAGGGGATGTCGCCAGGGGAAGCCGGGTGCTGGGGACTTGTGACAGGCAGGGACCCACAGACTCGCCAGGGGAAGCCAGGTGCTGGGGACTTGTGACAGGCAGGGACCCACAGACTCGCCAGGGGAAGCCGGGTGCTGGGGACTTGTGACAGGCAGGGACCCACAGACTCGCCAGGGGAAGCCGGGTGCTGGGGACTTGTGACAGGCAGGGACCCACAGACTCGCCAGGGGAAGCCGGGTGCTGGGGACTTGTGACAGGCAGACTCGCCCGTCCAGGCGGCTGGGCCTCCTCCTTGCCATGGGGCCTGGGAAGGCCCGGGTGGTGCTACCTGTGCTGTGGCCCCACGTGAAGCCTTGTTGCTGTGGTTAAAGACGCTGGGCCCTGCTCTCGAGGCCACCTTGGAGGGTCACTGACCCTTGGCCCTCACTCTCCCCATCCCAGTGGGTGCCTGTGTGAGTGGAAGGGGCTGCGCTGTGTGGCGCGTTAAGGCCGGCTCAGGGCAGACAGGGAGGGTGGCCGGCCCCGTGGGTGCTGCCTCTGACAGCCCGTGCCTCTCAGCCGAGGACAGCATAGCAGCTAAGATCTTATCCTACAACCGAGCCAACCGAGTCGTGGCCATTCTCTGCAACCATCAGCGAGCAACCCCCAGTACGTTCGAGAAGTCGATGCAGAATCTCCAGACGAAGGTAGCAGCTCCCAGGAGAGCCCCCAGCCCAGCCCTCAAGGGACCCCTCCCCCTCCCCAGAGCCTCGGCACAGGCCTGGGAGCCAGCTGCGGTGGGCACGTAGGGTGTGGAAGGGTGTGGGCACAGGGGCTGGTGCGGGATGGGGAGGGGCAGCCCTGTCTGGACCCTTTTCCTGCAGATCCAGGCAAAGAAGGAGCAGGTGGCTGAGGCCAGGGCAGAGCTGAGGAGGGCGAGGGCTGAGCACAAAGCCCAAGGGGATGGCAAGTCCAGGAGGTGAGTACCCGTGCCCTCAGACGCCTTCTCCCGGGGCCCTGTCCCAACCCGTAGGGTCCAGCCCCACAGGGTCGGTGGGAGACGACCCTTGTTGTCTCCTTGTGCGGAGACGAGAGATTGTAGAAATAAAGACACAAGACAAAGAGATAAAAGAAAGGACAGCTGGGCCCGGGGGACCACTACCACCAAGACGCGGAGACTGGTAGTGGCCCCGAATGTCTGGCTGCGCTGTTATTTATTGTATACAAAGCAAAAGGGGCAGGGTAAAGAGTGTGAGTCATCTCCAGTGATAGGTGAGATCACGTGGGTCACATGTCCACTGGACACGGGGCCCTTCCCTGTTTGGCAGCCGAGGCAGAGAGAGAGAGAACAGTTTACGCCATTATTTCTGCATATCAGAGACTTTTAGTACTTTCACTAATTTTCTACTGCTATCTAGAAGGCAGAGCCAGGTGTACAGGATGGAACATGAAGGCAGACTAGGAGCATGACCACTGAAGCACAGCATCACAGGGAGACGGTTAGGCCTCCGGATAACTGCGGGCGAGCCTGACTGATGTCAGGCCCTCCACAAGAGGTGGAGGAGTAGAGTCTTCTCTAAACTCCCCTGGGGAAAGGGAGACTCCCTTTCCCGGTCTGCTAAGTGGCAGGTGTTTTTCCTTGACACTGATGCTACCGCTAGACCATGGTTGGCCTGGCAATAGGCATCTTCCCAGACGCTGGCGTTACCGCTAGACCAAGGAGCCCTCTGGTGGCCCTGTCTGGGCATAACAGAAGGCTCGCACTCTTGTCTTCTGGTTACTCCTCACTATGTCCCCTCATATCTCTGTATGGCCTGGTTTTTCCTAGGCTATGATTGTAGAGCGAGGATTATTATAATATTGGAAAAAAGAGTAATTGCTACCAACTAATGATTAATGATATTCATATATAATCATATCTATGATCTATATATAGTATAACTATTCTTATGTATTTTATTATACTGGAACAGCTCGTGCCCTCAGTCTCTTGCCTCAGCACCTAGGTAGCTGCCGCCCACACCAACCCAGATGTGGCAGCTTCAGACGCGCCTTCCCATGGCCAGTTTTGTTTTCCTCTTCAATTGTTATTTTGTGATTTTTTTTTTTTTTTTTTTGAGATGGAGTCTCTGTCGCCAGGCTGGAGTGCGCTGGCGCGGTCTCAGCTCACTGCAACCTCCGCCTCCCGGGTTCAAGTGATTCTCCTGCCTCAGCCTCCCGAGTAGCTGGGGTTACAGGTGCGCGCCACCACGCCCGGCTCATTTATTTATTTAGTAGAAACGGGGTTTCTCCATGTTGGCCAGGCTGGTCAAACTCCTGGCCTCAAGTGATCCTCCTGCCTTGGCATCTCAAAGTGCTGGGATTACAGGCATGAGCCACTGCACCTGGCCAACTTTGTGATTTTTAAAAATACAAACTATATGCCTTGTGGACAAGAGTGGGACACATGGAGCCGTGGGAGGAGGAGACCCTGGCCGCCAAGGAGGTTTGTGATTGTCATTGTGGGGTCAGGAAATGAGAAGAAGGTGCCAGACTCTTCTCCAGGGCGGCGGCACCATCCCCTCCCCACCAGCAGTGTGTGAGGGCTCCGATTCCTCTGTCCAGGCGCCACTGTAGGGTCAGTTTTCCATGTGTCGATTAGAGCCCAGTGGGTGTGAAGGAGCGTCTGGCCGTGGGTGCTCTTTGCAGGTGCTTGTTGCCCACTTCTGTATCGTCTCTGGAGAATGACTGCTCAGGTCCTCTGTCCATTTTCCAGTCGGGTTGTTGTTTTATTATTGACTTGTAAGAGCTCGTCGATGTTTCGCCCACTCTTGGGTTGTCTTTGTTCTTTCTTTTTTTTTTTTTTCCTTTGGAGACAGAGCATTGCTCTGTCGCCAAGGCTGGAGTGCAATGGCATGATCTCGGCTCACTGCAATCTCTGCCTCCAGGTTTCAAGCAATTCTCCTGCCTCAGCCTCCTGAGTAGCTGGGATTACAGGCACCCGCCACCATGCCCGGCTAATTTTTTTGTATTTTAGTAGAGACGGGGTTTCACCATGTTGCCCAGGCTGGTCTTGAACTCCTGAGCTCAGGCAATCTGCCTGTCTCGGCCTCCCAAAGTGCTGGGATTACAGGTGTGAGTCACTACTCCCAGCCCTATTTTTTTTTTTTTTTTTTGGTGATGGAGTCTTGCTCTGTCACCCAGGCTAGAGTGCAGTGGCGTGATCTTGGCTTACTGCAACCTCTGCCTCCTGGGTTCAAGCGATTCTCCTGCCTCAGCCTCCCGAGTAGCTGAGACTACAGACACACACCACTATACCTGGCTAATTTTTGTATTTTAGTACAGATGGGGTTTCACCATGTCGGTCAGGCTGGTCTTGAACTCCTGACCTCGGGTGATCCACCCACCTCGGCCTCCCAAAGTGCTGGGATTACAGGTGTGAGCAACTGCGCCCGGCCACATCTTTCTTCTTTCTTGTTGGTGTCCTGTGACACATTTAAGATTTGGATGAGTCAGCGTGCTGAGAAGGCTTTGCCTAACCCAAGGCCATGAAGATAGATTTCTCTGTTTTCTCCTAAGAGGTTTATTGGTTTACTCTTACATTTAGGTCATTGGTTCTGAGTTAATTTTTGTGTGTGGTCTGAGGGAAGGGCCCAGGGTCATTCTCTTGCATGTGGACAGCCAGATGTCTCAGCATCCTAGCTCACCATAGTCTCAACTTGCTGGGCTCAAGCAATCCTCCCGCCTCAGCCTCCTGAGTAGCTGGGACCACAGGTGCCAACGGCCACAACTGGCTAATTTTTACACTAAGAAAATTTTTGTATGTTGCCCAAGCTACTCTTGAACTCCTGGCTTTAAGCAATCCTGCCTTGGCCTCCCAGAGCTCTGAGATTAAAAGTATGAGCCAACATGCCTGGCCCTTAGGACTGTATCTATAAAGGCCATATTGTATGCAAACAGAGATAGTTTTACTTTTTCTTTTCCAATCATATGCCTTTTATTTCATATTTTTGCATTATGGACCTGGCAGGAATCTCCAGTACACTGGACATGAGTGGGCAGCCTTGCCTTGTTCCTGATACTGGGGGCAAAACTCTCATGCTTTTATCATGGAATATGATGTTAACTGTAGGTTTTTCACAGAAGCTGTTTGTTAAGTTAACAAAATTTACTTCTATTCCTAGTTTGTTGAGGTTCTTTTTTTTTTATCATGAAGAGCATTGGATTTTGTCAAATGATTTTCTGCACCTGTTGAGATCTTGTTTTTGTCCCTTCCTTATATTGATAGGATGTATTATACTAATTGATCAGATATGAAACCATCCTTGCATTCCTGGGATAAATCCTACTTGAGCAATTGTGTAATCATTTTTGTCTATTGCTGGATTCAGTTTGCTGATATTTTGTTGAGGTTTTTGCATCTGTATTCATGAGCATGTTAGTCTATAGTTTTCTTATGATGTCATTGATTTTGGTATCAAGGTAATACTGGTAACGAGTTGAATAATATTTAATATAATATCTAATATTTCATGAAAGTTTATGAAAAATTGGTGCCTTTTTAAAGAGAGAGTCTTGCTGTGTTGCTCAGGCTGGTCTTGAACTCCTGGGCTCAAGCAGTCCTCCGAACTCAGCCTCCTGAATAGCTGAGACTATAGGCTTGCACTGCACTGCCTGGCTAGGGTCAGTTTGTTAAATGAATTCACCAGTGAAACCATCTAGGCCTGGGCTTTTCTTTGGGAGACGTTTAAAGTTACTGATATAATCACTTGTTATAGTTCTATTCATATTTTCTATACTTTGTGAGTTGGTTCTGGTAGTTTGTATCTTTCTGGGAATTTGTTTAGTCTAGGGTGTCTAACTGGCTGGTGCCCAGTTATTCATAGTATTCCCATATTATCTTTTTTATTTCTTTAGTGATGTTCCCTCTTTCATTCATTCCTCATTATTGTGGCTGCGGTTCTTTTTTTTTTTTTTTTGACACAGAGTCTCTCACTCTGTTGCCCAGGCTGGAGTGCAGTGGCATGATCTCAGCTCACCACAACCTCTGCCTCCCGGGTTCAAACTATTTTCCTGCCTCAGCCTCCTGAGTAGCTGGGATTACAGGTGCACGGCACCATGCCTGGCTAATTTTTGTATTTTTAGTAGAGACGGAGTTTCACCATGTTAGCCAGGATGGTCTCAATCTCCTGACCTCGTGATCCACCCGCCTCGGCCTCCCACAGTGCTGGGATTACAGGCGTGAGCCACTGCTCCTGGCCTGGCTGTGGTTCTTAAAGGGTAAAAGTTTTCTCTTCAGGATGAGCATCCGGAGATGCAGGGGTCTGTTTTTAATGGTGGCGTGTGCGAAGGAAATGTCAATTGGAACAAAGGGTATTCAGTGAAAAATAAGGCTGTGACTCACCCCTGACCTCCTGTCCCCAGAGGCAGCTGCTGTAAAATTTCTTTAGCATTTCCTGGCCAGGCAAGGTTGCTCATGCCTGTAATCCCAACACTCTGGGCAGCCGAGGCAGGCAGATCACTTGAGGTTGGGAGTTTGAGACCATCATGGCCAACATGGTGAAACCCTGTCTCTGCTAAAAATACAAAAAAAAAAAAAAAAAAAAAAATCATGTGCGTGGTGGCACATGCCTGTAGTCCCAGCTACTCAGGAGGCAGGAGATTCACTTGAACCCGGGAGGCAGAGGTTCCAGTGAGCTGAGATCATGCAACTGCACTCCAGCCTGGGTGACAAAGCAAGACTCCGTCTCAAAAAAAAAAAAAAAAAGCCAAGAGAAATTTCTTAAGCATTTCCAGAAGGACTGTGTGTGCGTGCTGGCTCTTCCTCTGTTTTCCCTCCTTGTTTTCACATAAATAGCAGCCCCTCATGTGTCCCTCGGCCCCTGGGGATGTGGCTCATGCTGGGAAGGCACTTCCCCGGACCTATGCTTCTGGCCCGGCGGGCTGCCCCATTCTCAGCCGTATTTTTGCAGGCGCAAGTTTGTCTTTCCACGCACATTCGAGTGTTTGTGGCACAAATTCCTAGAAGAGTTGGGGTCAGAGGTTGCATGTGTGGGTGATGTTCTGGCATTGGAGGGTGCAAGTAATGTGGAAAGGGCATCTCTGTGCTGAAATTTGCTTTCCCTAAGGAGGCAGGAAGGAGGGCTTAGCGGCTTCCCGGAGGTTAAAGGACATTTGTGTTTGCTTTCTCGGGCCTGGTCTCGCTGCCCTCATCCTGTTTGGGCCGGCCTCAGTCTGTTGTGTCGAGCATCTCACCCTCCTGCGAGTCAGGTCCTGACGGGCTGCTCACCCTCCGCCCACGGCCCTCCTCTGTATCTGACTTGGCAGCTGGGGTGGGGCTGAGCTTCCACCTTTGATCCCGGCTGGTCTTTTGCTGTGATGGATGACTGATGACAATGACAGGGACAGGGCTGCACTGGGAGGGAAGGCGGCAGGGCCAGAGAAGTGCAGGTCTCCTCAGGTGGCGCTAGTCCAGCGCGGGGCCTCGCGGCCTCCTCTTCTCTTGCCAGTGTCCTGGAGAAGAAGAGGCGGCTCCTGGAGAAGCTGCAGGAGCAGCTGGCGCAGCTGAGTGTGCAGGCCACGGACAAGGAGGAGAACAAGCAGGTGGCCCTGGGCACGTCCAAGCTCAACTACCTGGACCCCAGGATCAGCATTGCCTGGTGCGTGTGCCTGGGGTCTCAGTTCCCACCTGTGGCCTATGGGGGGCCTGGGTTTTCCAGGAGGCCTCTGTTCAGTCCCAGCATTGCCCTTGTCCCGTGTCCCCTGGGGTCAGCACAGGCCCTCCCTGTGACAGGGACCCATGATGCTGAGTCCTGTGTCATCAGCTCTCCCTGCCCTGAACGTTCGGATGGACAGGGTGAAGTGGGGGTGCTGACAGTGGCCTGGGACTCGGAGGCATCAGGAGGGCCTGTGGAGCTCAGCCTGCCCACAGGGAGTGGGAGGTGGCTGAGCGCCCTGCTCGGTGGACACCTAGGCCACAGCAGGTTGTCTTTGACACCTCGCTGATGCTCCAGGGTGGCGGCATGCGTGGGGTGGGGTTGGCCTAGAGGAGCAGGTCCCAGCTACACCAGGCGGCTCTGGTGTCTCTGCTGCATGGAGGACGCTCGCCCTTGCCGAGCACCCTGACCTGGCCTTCAAGGTGGGTGAGTTGCCTGCTTGCCTGGGCTGATGCTGCCTCCCGCAGGTGCAAGCGGTTCAGGGTGCCAGTGGAGAAGATCTACAGCAAAACACAGCGGGAGAGGTTCGCCTGGGCTCTCGCCATGGCAGGAGAAGACTTTGAATTCTAACGACGAGCCGTGTTGAAACTTCTTTTGTATGTGTGTGTGTTTTTTTCACTATTAAAGCAGTACTGGGGAATTTTGTACAATAAAATGTGTGCAAGTGCTTGTACATCACTAGAAAAAGTCCCCAGGCCGGCCGGGCACGGTGGCTCACACCTGTAATCCCAGCACTTTGGGAGGCTGAGGCGGGCGGATCACAAGGTCAGGAGATCGAGACCATCCTGGCTAACACGGTGAAACCCCATCTCTACTAAAAATACAAAAAACTTAGCCGGGCGTGGTGGCGGGCGCCTGTAGTCCCAGCTACTCGGGAGGCTGAGGCAGGAGAATGGCGTGAACCCGGGAGGCGGAGCTTGCAGTGAGCCGAGATCGTGCCCCTGCACTCCAGCCTGGGCGACAGAGTGAGACTGTCTCAAAAAAAAAAAAAAAAGAAAAAGAAAAAGTCCCTAGGCCAGGCACAGTGGCTCATACCTGTGATCTTGGCATGTTAGAGGCCTGAGGCTGGAGGATTGCTTGAGCAGACATTGAGGCTGCAATGAGCTGTGATTGCGCCCCTGCACTCCAGCCTGGGCAACAGAGCAAGACCCCATCTCAAAGAGAAAGAAAAGTCCCTGACGCCTGCCGTGTCCTTTGAAGCCTCCACCCCGAGCATGGAGTCTGCTGGGCTGTCACATCCAATCAGCGTCCCAGCCTGGACCCCCGGTTCCCGCTCGACAGGGGAGGAGAAACACCTTCGTGTGCTCTGAGGCTGAGGACTTTGGGTGAGGATTCCACATTTGCGCACGCGCCACCCTCTCAGCGGGGCCCGGACTCTTCACCAAGTTCTTTAGCGCCTGGAATTCAGCAAGGGCACAGTTGCTGCCTGGTCACTAAGCCCAGCGGCCCCCGTTCAGTTCTCATCACCTCCACACTCTCCATACGTAGCTCTTAGCTCTTACGATGGCCTTCTGCCTGAGCTTCCCAACCCTGTATCCTCTCAGAGCTGCCTGTCGGCTGCCCTCTGCCACGCGGGATCCTCTGCCGCCCTCTCTGCCACGCGGGACCCTCTGCCGCCCTCTTCTCTGCCACGCGGGACCCTCTGCCGCCCTCTTCTCTGCCACGCAGGACCCTCTGCTGCCCTCTTCTCTGCCACGCGGGACCCTCTGCCACCCTCTCTGCCACGCAGGACCCTCTGCCGCCCTCTTCTCTGCCACACGGGACCCTCTGCTGCCCTCCTCTGCCACGCGGGACCCTCTGCTGCCCTCTTCTCTGCTATGCGGGACCCTCTGCCGCCCTCTTCTCTGCCACGTGGGACCCTCTGCTGCCCTCTTCTCTGCCACGTGGGACCCTCTGCCGCCCTCTCTGCCACACGGGACCCTCTGCCGCCCTCTCCTCTGCCACGTGGGATCCTCTGCTGCCCTCTTCTCTGCCACGTGGGATCCTCTGCCATGCGGGACCCTCTGCCGCCCTCTCCTCTGCCGCCCTCTCCTCTGCCGCCCTCTTCTCTGCCACGCGGGACCCTCTGCCGCCCTCTCCTCTGCCACGCGGGAACCTCTGCCGCCCTCTCCTCTGCCACGCGGGACCCTCTGCCGCCCTCTCCTCTGCCACGCGGGACCCTCTGCCGCCCTCTCCTCTGCCACGCGGGACCCTCTGCCGCCCTCTCTGCCACGCAGGACCCTCTGCCGCCCTCTTCTCTGCCACGCGGGACCCTCTGCTGCCCTCTCCTCTGCCGCCCTCTTCTCTGCCGCGCGGGACCCTCTGCCGCCCTCTCCTCTGCCACGCGGGACCCTCTGCCGCCCTCTCCTCTGCCACGCGGGACCCTCTGCCACCCTCTCTGCCACGCAGGACCCTCTGCCGCCCTCTTCTCTGCCACACGGGACCCTCTGCTGCCCTCTCCTCTGCCACGCGGGACCCTCTGCTGCCCTCTCTGCCACGCGGGACCCTCTGCCGCCCTCTCCTCTGCCACGCGGGACCCTCTGCCGCCCTCTGCTATGCGGGACCCTCTGCTGCCCTCTCTTCTGCCACGCGGGACCCTCTGCCGCCCTCTCTGCCACGCAGGACCCTCTGCTGCCCTCTTCTCTGCCACCCTCTTCTCTGCCACGTGGGACCCTCTGCTGCCCTTTCCTCTGCTACGCAGGGCCCTCTGCCGCCCTCTCTGCCACACGGGACCCTCTGCCGCCCTCTCCTCTGCCACGTGGGATCCTCTGCTGCCCTCTTCTCTGCCACGTGGGATCCTCTGCCACGCGGGACCCTCTGCCGCCCTCTTCTCTGCCACGTGGGACCCTCTGCTGCCCTCTGCCACACGGGACCCTCTGCCGCCCTCTCCTCTGCTACGTGGGATCCTCTGCTGCCCTCTCCTCTGCCACGTGGGATCCTCTGCCATCTGCTCCGCGCTTTGCTTTCGGGGCTGCCTCTGTGGCTGTCTCCCTCACACCGGGGCTCCCGCCAACCCCATGAGGCAGCCCCTGTGTAAGGCTCCTGGTCAGCCAAGAGGACCCCAGCGCCCTGGAGGCTGCACCCCCATCCCTCCTGCTGTGGGGCCCTTGGTGCTCCAGGCCCGAGTCTCTCACACCGCGGCTCACCCGCTGCCCCAAGGGGCTCCGGCAGCAGGTCCAGCTCCTCCCGGGGCCTGTGACAGAACAGTTCCAGCAGGGGGCTCTCACGTCCCCACCTGCTCCCAGAGAGGTGCTTCTGTGCCCAGACATGGAACAGCTCCACAGAAAATGAGGGCACTGGCCGAGCAGGCCCAGACTCCAGAAGGGAAACCACTGAGGGTGCAGGCCCGACCCACATCACCTCGGAGTCTGTCCTCGCGGAGACGGTGATGGGCCTTTCCCTCTCTGTACAGATGAGGACACACAAGGAGCTGACTTCATGCCTGGACATTAAGCCCAGGAATTCCCAGCCTAGAGCTGGCTCTCTAGGTTGCGGGGTCTGGTCCCAGTCCAGAAACATCTCCCAAGCCACAGCTCAGGACACAGCAGGGTGGGGGTCGAGGGGGTGAGTGGGAGCTCCAGGGAGAGGCCCCTAAGGCTGTTCCCCGTCATCAGAACTTGCAGGCCAGTGGCCTCTAAAGGTACTCATTAGAGGGGTGTGGACCTCACTTGCCCAAAACCCCGGGACTGCTCAGCGCATCCTTCTGAGACGTGAGGCTGTGACCACCTGCTGCCTCAGCGTCCCCTTCTCACCCCGAACAACCTGCCTTTAACCCAACTCTCCAGACTGACACGATCCCTGTAGACTGTCAGAGCCTCGTTTGGATAGTCACAGACTACCTGGATAAAAGATAAAACATGGCCGGGCGCGGTGGCTCACGCCTGTAATTCCAGCACTTTGGGAGGCCGAGGCGAGCGGATCATCTGAGGTCAGGAGTTCAAGACCAGCCTGGCCAACATGGTGAATCCCTGTCTTTACTCAAAATACAAAAATTAGCCAGGCATGGTGGCAGGCACCTGTAGTCCCAGCTGCTCAGGAGGCTGAGGCAAGAGAATCACTTGAACCTGGGAGGCGGAGGTTGCAGTGAGCTGAGATTATGGCATTATCCTCCAGCCTGGGCGACGAGTGAAACTCCATCTCAGGAAAAAAAAAAAAAAAAAGATAAAACATGCAGAGTAGAAACCCCAGGTGGACAGATACCTGTCCCACCCAGAGAAAAGCTGGGTGGTGCCATCGACGGGCAAAAGTAGTGGAAAAGCCAGCTGCGTGTGCTGGTGCGAGATGCGTTTCCATGATGGAGGATGCCGCGCACTCAGCCTCTCCTGTTATCCTGTGGCCTGCGAGCCCTCTCTTAAGTGCACCAAGAGCAGCAAGGGACTTAGAGCAACTTCATTCACTGCTGCCCAGGCGGAAAAGGGCGCCCAGGCCCTGCAGCTGGAACTGGGTAACAGGCCGGGTGGAGACTCACACTGGATCCCACTCAGCCATGATCACAAGAACAGAGCGACTGCTGCTCGGGTCTCACGGGCGACTGACAGCAACCGGGAGCCCTGACGCCTTCCCGACACCCCCTGTTCCATCCACGAACAGGCACGCCCGCCGTTGTTTGAGTTTTTACATGTTGACACCCCCTGCTCCATCCACGAACAGGCACCCACCGTTGTTTGAGTTTTTACATGTTGACACCCCCTGTTCCATCCATGAATGGGCAGACCCGCCATCGTTTGAGTTTTTACATGTTTGTGAGTAATGTTCCATCTCAACAGCCTGGGCAACATAATGAGACCCTGTCTCTCCCAAAACAAGCAAACAAAAACCCCCAAAATTAGCTGGGCATGGTGGTGCGCGCCTGTAGTCTCAAGCTACCCGTGGGGCTGAGGTTGGAGGATGAGCCCGGGAGGTTGAGGCTGCAGTGAGCTGTGATTGTACCACGGCCCTCCAGCATGGGTGACCCTGGCTTAGGAAAATTTGTAATAATAACATCCCATCTCTCAGTTTACATGTAGAAATCTTACACATCTTTCCTAAATATCATGTAAGTCAGTCCCAGGTGTGTTATGTCCTCTGAGTCTATTCTAAATGGTTTATTTTGGATTTTTTTTTCCTTTTCTGTCAGATGCTTTAGGTACTGATTTTCTCCTCTCCGCCTGGCTGGAACATCCGTCTGCATCGGACGGGCTTCCTTCTGCACCTGTGACCTCACAAGGGCTCTCCTTGGGGAGGCAGGACCAGAGCAGCCCTGAGTAACCGGGCACAGCCGAGGAACAGGCCCCAGGGAGGCCAGGACCCGGGTCCTCACGCCTGCGGCCACAGAAGCACCGTGTCCCTGCAGCTGTGAGCCACCAGGCGTCTGGGTGGGTGGTTACTCAGCAAGTGCCAGTAGAGAAACTGGGTCCCAGAGTTGGGGTTGCTGTGGACTGGATACTTGTCCCTCACCTCCAGTTCACATGTTAAAGTCCTCACCCCCAGCAAGACAGTGTTGGAGGTGGGGCCTTTGGGAGGGGAGCAGGTTTAGAGAAGATCCTGGGGGACCCTCACGATGAGATGAGTGCCCTCATGGGAAGAGACACCGGAGCCTCCTCTCCAGGAGCACACACGGGACGGTCACATGAGCAAGAGGCTGCTGTCCGTAAGCTGGGGGTGGTCCCTCAACAGGAACTGGGTCTGTGGCACCTGGAGGCTGGACTCCCAGCCTGCAGAGCTGGGAGAAAGAAATGTCTGCTGTGAAGCCAGTCGGTCTGTGGAATTTTGACACAGCAACCTCGTCTAAGACAGGTGCCGGCAGAGCCACCTCGTCTAAGACAGGTGTTGGCAGAGCCACCTCGTCTAAGACAGCTGTTGGCAGAAGCAACACCTAAGACGCAGTGCACTGACTGCGAGTGCAGTCTGGGGCTGGAGAACAGAAACACGGGGAGGAGACTATTAGCAGAAGAAACCATGATTAGGTAGTAGTGAAAAATTTGGGTGAAAAAAATTGCCTTTGGGCGGGTGCTGTGGCCTGTGCCTCTAATCCCAGCACTTTGGGAGGCCAAGGTGGGTGGATCACCTGAGGTCAAGAGTTCAAGACCAGCCTGGCCAACATGGCAAAACCCTGTCTCTACTAAAACTACAAAAATTAGCCGGGCGTGGTGGCGGGCACCTGTAATCCCAGCTGCTCAGGAGGCTGAGACAGGAGAATCAATTGAACCCGGGAGGCAGAGGCTGCAGTAAGCCGAGATCGCACCACTGCACTCCAGCCTGAGAAACAGAACCAGGCTCTGTCTCAAAAAAAAAAAAAAAAAAAAAATTGCCTTCAGTAACTTGGAAATTAGAAAATGGACCCAGCTAAGCAGAGCTCCAGACAGAGTGGCAAAAATGTCAGCGGAACGCTCCTCGTGGCACTGGTGAGGCCTGCGAGCATGAAATGTGTGAAAGGAGGGATCGTCTAGTCTGCAGGCGGAATCTGGAGGACACAGAGCCGGGGCCTGAACTGGCTTGGGAAACAAAACCATCTCACATCTTGTCTCTGCAGTCAGCAAAGCATTTTCTTTCAAAAGTTGTTTTAAATTTACTTTTATTTTTTAGAGACAAGATCTCCCTATATTGCTCAAGGGATCCTCCTGCCTCAGCATCCTGATCAGTTGGGACTGTAGGGTGTATCACCACTGCCTGCAAAGAATTCAAGTAGTAAGTGGCCTCAGGATAAAGATAAAATCAAGGTTGTGGCCATATCCATTGTTAAGGCCCCAGAAAAGTTTACCATGTTGGGGCTGGGTGTGGTGGCTCACACCTGTAATCCCCGCCCTTTGGGAGGCCGAGGTGGGAGGCCAGGAGTTCAAGGCTGCTGTGAACTGATTGCACCACTGCACTCTAGCCTGAGTAACAGAGCAAGAGCCTGTCTCTAAAAAAAAAAAAAAAAAAAAAAAAAAAAAAAAAAAAATATATATATATATATATATATATATATATATATATATATATATATGCTGGAAGATAGTATATAGTACAAATCCTCTCAGCTAGACAAAAGTGTTTCTAAGACCCTAAAGGATGTTTTCCCACAACATGCTAACACATCATATGAAACAGAGAAAACACTGACAAATGTTTAAGTATATTTTTTGTCTAGTGGAGAATATAATCTAAGAAACCCACAAGATTTTGTTTGTTTGTTTTTTTGAGATGGAGTCTCGCTCTTCTGCCAGGCTAGAGGGCAGTGGCGCGATCTCGGCTCACTGCAACCTCTGCCTCCTGGGTTCAAGTGATTCTCCTGCCTCAGCCTCCTGAGTAGCGGGGACTACAGGTGCGTACCACCACACCCAGCTAAATTTTGTCATTTTTATCAGGGACGGGGTTTCACCATGTTGGCCAGGATGGTCTCAATCTCTTGACCTCGTGAGCCACCCACCTTGGCCTCACAGAGTGCTGGGATACAGGCGTGAGCCACCGCGCCCGGCCCGAAACCCACCAGATTTTTAAGGGCATTGTGTCAGTTTAAATGAACAGAGATGGAAACAGCTGAAAATGAAGCCTTTGGGTTCCCTCCTTCTACAGGCAGTAAGCAGCTAAGAAAGCTGCTTAGCCTCAAATACAGGCTATCGGACATCTAAAAACACAGAGGAGAGAGACCAAGGGCAGAGCCAAAATCTGAGGGAAAAAAAAAGGATAATAATGTCACTTCCAGGGAAAATGAGGCCCTAAAAAAGACACAGACTCTGCCCCCTTAATGAGGTCCCTTGGCAACATGCTGTTGACTGAGTCAACAGAGTACTACAGACTGGGGTCTGCAGTGAATGAGCCCCCACCGCTCTCTTTTTCAAACGAGAGAGTTATTGTGCTTATCCTGGGCCTGTCTCAAAATCCTGTGCTGGGGTCGAGGCAGGTAATTTTTTCTTTAGTTTATAGCCTCAAGAGGCATCTCACACACATCCGGACCAGAGGAGAATCATGAGCTGACGGCCTCTGAGCTGAGACAGCAGCAGGAAGAGACCTCTGGGTGGCTTGAGTGGGGGGTGGCGAGCATATTTCACTTGTGGAAGGAAAGTAAGTCACTGTGGCTCCAGAGTGGACTGTGGGAAATATCGGACGGTCCCAGGACACGCGGCTCTCTCTGCCCAGCCCTGGGGCTCCGTTGTCACGTGGGGATGCCCCTCACCACTTTTTTTCTATGAAACCCCATTTACAAGATTCCACTTCTTCCTTTTTTTTTTTTTTTTAAGACGGAGTCTTGCTTTGTCACCAGGCTGGAGTGCAGTGGTGTGATCTTGGCTCACCGCAACCTCCGCCTCCCGGGTTCCAGCGATTCTCCTGCCTCAGCCTCCTGAGTAGTGGGGACTACAGACACGCGCCATCACACCCAGCTAATTTTTGTATTTTTTAGTAGAGGCGGGGTTTCACCATATTGGACAGGCTGGTCTCGAACTCCTGACCTCATGATCCACCTGCCTCAGCCTCCCAAAGTGCTGGGATTACAGCACAGTGGCCAGCCCCTTCTTCCTCTTTCTTGGTTTGCTCCCTTGATTTGGAGCTCCTCCTTTAGTAGGCTCCTGAAAACATGTATTTTGAAAATGAATTTTTAAAAGTAAGAGTTTGCATATCTGAAAATGTTGTCATACTGTCACACTTGACTGACCACTTGGGTAGGTATAAAGTTCTAGGTTGGAAATTATTTTCACTTGTAATTTTCGAAGCATTGTTCTGTCATTTTCTAACTTCCAGTCTGCCCTTGGGAAGGGATTTATTCCTCAGCCTGTGTGTGTGATCTGCGCTTTCAGATCGTCTCTATGTCCTGGACTGTCTGATGTTTCACGTCATGCCTGGATGTAGGTCGTTCCTTCCATCTTTGTGCGAGATATCGGTAGGTGCTTTTACTCTGGAGATTCATGTTTCTCGGTTCTGGGGGAAAATTATTTCTCTAATAACTTCATTCCCACCATTTTCTGTTTTTGTTTTCCCCTCCTTGGAATTCCTGTTAGTCTTAATCTTTCTATCCTGTCACCCACCTTCTTGTCTTTTCATTCTTTCAAACAGATTTTCTCCACTTTCCACCTTCTTGCTAATTTAATTTTGCCCATTACATTTCCATCTCTAAGACATTTTTATTATTTTTTTATTTTTTTCGAGGTGGAGTCTCACTGAGCCTGAGTGACACCCAGGCTGGGAGTCAGCGGTGTGATCTTGGCTCAGTGCAGCCTCCGCCTCTCAGGTTGAGTAACGCCCAGGCTGGAGTTGGCGGTGCGATCTTGGCTCACTGCAACCTCTGCCTCCCAGGTTGAGTGAAGTCCAGGCTGGAGTACGGTGGCGCAATCTCGGCTCACTGCAGCATCTGCCTGCCAGGTTCAAGCGATTCTCGTGCCTCAACCTCCCAAGTAGCTGGGATTACAGGCGCAGACCACCACACTTGGCTAATTTTTGTATTATTAATAGAGATGGAGTTTTGTCATGTTGGCCAGGCTGGTCTCGAACTCCTGACTTCAAGTGATCCGCCCGTCTCTGCCTCCCGAAGTGTTGGGATTACAGGGGTGAGCGACCATGCCTGGCCCATCATTATTTTTGAGTTTCCTTTTTAAAACAATGTTCTGGACTTCATATGGCACCTGAGCTTGCCTTTCTTCCCCTGGTTGACTCACGCCTCCCTCCTGTCTGTCTTCATGTGTGTGACTCTGGGTCACAGATTTTCCTCCTAATCTTTATGTGTGTTTGTGTGTATGACAGTCTCACTCTGTCACACAGGCTGGAGAGCAGTGGCGCAATCTTGGCTCACTGCAACCTCCGCCTCCCAGGTTCAAACCATTCTCCTGTCTCAGCCTCCCGAGTAGCTGAGATTACAGGCATGCACCACCACAACTGGCTGATTTTTGTATTTTTAGTAGAGACGGGGTTTCACCATGTTGGCCAGGCTGGTCTCAAACCCCTGACCTCAGGTGATCCACCCACCACGGCCTCCCAAAGTGCTGGGATTACAGGCATGAGCCACTGCACCCAGTCCTAACCTTTACCTGTCAACCGGCAATTCTATACAGCTTACTGTCGTTAGGGACATATTTAGTTTTGTTTCCACCATCTTAATTTGCCCAGTTTGTTTCTGATTTTTTTTTCTTTTTTGAGAGAGGGTCTCACTCTTTTGCCCAGGCTGGAGTGTAGTGGTATGACTACAGCTCACTGCAGTCTCGAGCTCCCAGGCTCAGGTGATCCTCCCACCTCAGCCTCCTGGGTGGCTGGAACTATAGGCTTACTTACTGTATTTTTTGTAGAGACAGGTTCTCCCTATGTTGCCCAGGCTGGTTTCGAACTCCTGGGCTTAAGCGATCCACCCACCTTGGCCTCCAAAGTGCTGGGATTACAGGTGTGAGCCACAGCGCTCAGGCCCAGCCTGATTTCGTTCTTATTTTTTAATTGACAGAAGTTTGTGTTCAGTTCATTTATTTATTTTATGGGCTCTCACTGTGTTGTCCAGTCTGGAGTGCAGCGGCACAATCGTAGCTCACTGCTGCCTCAAACTCCTGGTCTGAGGATCCAAGCCGAGATCCTCCTGCCTCAGTCTCCCAAGCAGCTGGGACTACATTTTAAATCACAGTGTTTTATTCTTTTTATTGGATTAGAGATGTATAGACTGGTTACACTCTTTTAGTAATTAACATTAAATTACACTATGCACATTTAACTTATCAAAGTCAAATTAAACACTATCTTACACCCTCTTCCCAACAACCGGAGGGTCTTAGAACATTTCTGTCCCTTCTAATTTACATGCTATTGTTGTCTAGTATTTTAGTTGACACTATTCTTTTATATATACATATGTATTCATATTTATAATTTTATTTGCTTGCCATTCCATCTTATATCTAAGACCATCACTCGGCTCATTTTCCTTTATTTATTTATTTTTTTAAGATGGAGTTTTGCTCTTTTTGCCCAGGCTGGAGTGCAATGGCGTGATCTCGGCTCACTGCATCTTCTGCCTCCCAGGTTCAAGGGATTCTCCTGCCTCAGCTGCCCGAGTAGCTGGGATTACAGGTGTGGGCCACCATGCCCAGCTAATTTTGTATTTTTAGTAGAAATGGGGTTTTGCCATGTTGGCCAGGGTGGTCTCAAACTCCTGACCTCAGGTGATCCACTGCCTCAGCCTCCCAAAGTGCTGGAATTACAGGCGTGAGCCACCGTGCCCAGCCCTATGTTGCCTAGGCTGGTCTTGAACTCCTAGGCTCAAGTGATCCTCCCCCTTAGGCCTCCCAAAGTGTTGGGATTATAGGCATGAACCACTGCACCTGGCCTGTTTTTCATTTCCAAAAGTTCTTTAAGGAGTCCTGCCTATTCATGCGTGACAGTATGTACCCTACAGCTTTCTCATCACTGACTGCGCGACTTCTTTGAACACCTCACACATAACTATCCTCTCACCTGTATGATGACAGTTTCAGGATCTGCGTTTCTTTGTGGCTGACAGCGGCTGCCTGCTGTTTCTGTTGGCCCTCAGTCAGCTGACTCTCCTTGTGTGCTTGGGGATCTTTGCAAGCTGAATGCCTGACTTACGAGCAGGAATGAGGCTAAGCCAGGTAAGCTTCCTTCAGGGAGCAGGTGCTTTGACCGCTACTGGTACCTGAGGATCTTGGCTCAGCATGGGAGACACAGGCTCATCTTCCCACCTCACCACCGGCCCAGGGGTCAGGAGCTTAATTAACGGTGGGGCCACCAAATCCATTCTGAGACCACCCCTGCCCCTACAGGCTGCACAACCCTAAGCTCATGCATTTTAACAAAATCGGTGCCAAGAGCCCTCAAAGCGACTGTCTTGGAAGCGGCAGCCAGCTCAGGACCCAGAATTCTTCCCAATTAGTCCTTACCTGGGCAGAGAACTGCAGGAGGTGGTCACAAGCCACACCCAGACCAGGATGGGCGAATCCTGCAACCGCACCCCAGGGGCTCACGGCCAGTAGGCGGCTCACATTTCCCTGTCATCCCAAGAAACTCAAAGCCCACCTCGCTTAATTCATGATGACAGAGCTTTACTATACGCCCCCAAAAACGCTCCCCAAAGAGACACTTCTACTTTTCTATCTAGAAAATAACATTTTAAAAAATGAAAATATTTTACAGGAAATAACATTTGTACATACTCATAACAGTCTCAAAGAGAAAACGATTCCTCTACCCACAGAACGCTTCTGAAATCACATGTGTGTAAGCCTTTCCCTCCACACCAACCAGCTCTCCAACTCCCTCTCAGACACCAACGCGATGTCCTACAATTTAACTCGATTCTGTCACCAATTGCCCGGAGCTAGTGCAGAACCCACAGGGTAAGGGGTCAGTCCCACAAGACCACCCCGACTTCAGATGCCAAGTGCAGACGGTGGGCCCCGGGGACCCCACGACCCCCTTCTCAGGTTCCAATTTTTTTTTTGAGATGGGTCTCTCTGTCGCCCAGGCTAAAGTACAGTGCCCAGATCTCCGCTCACTGCAACCTCCGCCTCCCAGGTTCAAGTGATTCTCCTGCCCCAGGCTCCCAAGTAGCTGAGATTACAGGCGCACGCCACCACGCCCAATTAATTTTTTGTATTTTTAGTCGAGATGGGGGTTTTGCCATGTTGGCCAGGATGGTCTTGATCTCTTGACCGTGTGATCCGCCCGCCTCGGCCTCCCAAAGTGCTAGGATTACAGGCGGGAGCCACCGCACCCGGCCAAGTTCCATAATTTTCTAAGCACACAGAAGTCGGGACCATATGAACCGGCTGTGAAAAGGCGTTGAAATACATGGATGAACCACCGACCCGCAAGGTACGGGGGAGGACGCGAGGCTTCCATGCCCTGTCTGGGCGCCCCCTTCCTAACTGCCCCCCCACCCCGCCTTCACCAACCCGAAGCCCGAGGCCCTCATCTCATGCAGGGTTTTGATGGAGGCCTGGTTGCGGAGGAATGACCGATTCAATCACCGGCCACTGCCCCGCAGCAGCTGACCGTGGGAGGCGGGGAGTCTCAGAGGCGGGCGGCCGGCCCGGGACAGACCCCTGAGACCTCCCCGCCTCTGGGAATCGCCTCCCGCGGGCAGCGCTCGCCTTCCCCGAGCCCTGTCTCTCCTGATTGCTCCCAAGCCAAGGCGGATGCAGGCCTGGCGAGGCTTTCGCAACCCGAGAACCAGGCGCGCAGCCGGCTGTTACTTCCTCACCGCGCACGGGGCGGACAGGAGCCTCCCCCGGCCTCGGCCTCGCGCCCACCAGGCCGCCGGCATCTCTTCCGCCGCAGCCCCGGCTCACTCGGCGCCATGCACCCGCCGGTGCTGGATGAGGTGGAAGCTCAGGCGGAAGGCGCGGCCGCACTCGGTGCAGCGGAACGGCTTCTCGCCCGTGTGGAGTCGCTGGTGCCGGAAGAAGCCCGACAGCGCCCGGAACGCGCGCCCGCAGTGGCCGCACTGGTGGGGCTTCTCCCCGGTGTGGATGCGGCGGTGCTCGCGGAGGAAGGAGCTGCGGCTGAAGGCGCGGCCGCAGTCCTGGCAGGCGAAGGGCCGCTCCCCCGTGTGCACGCGCTGGTGCTGGAGGAGGTTGGAGCTCTGGCTGAAGGCCTGGCCGCACTCCCGGCACTCGTACGGGTTCTCCCCGTGGTGGGTCCGCCGGTGCCGGACCACGTTCGAGCTGTGCAGGAAGCGCTTCCCGCACTCGCCGCACGCGTACAGCCTCTCCCCGGTGTGGGTGCGGCGGTGCTTGGCGGCGTCCGACCTCTGGCCGAAGGCCTTGCCGCAGTCGGCGCACGCGTAGGGCTTCTCGCCCGTGTGCACGCGCTGGTGCCGGAGGAGGTTGAAGCTCTGGCCGAAGGCCTTGCCGCACTCGGCGCACGCGTAGGGCCTCTCCCCGCTGTGCGCCCGCTGGTGCCGGACCACGTGCGAGCTGTGGATGAAGGCCTTCCCGCAGTCGCTGCACTCGTACGGTTTCTCCCCCGAGTGGATGCTCCGGTGCTTTGCCGCGTCCGAGGAGCACTTGAAGCTGCGGCCACAGGCGCCGCACGGGAAAGGCCGCCCCTTCCAGCTGCCCCCGCCCTCTGCGCCGGGGCCTGCGTTCGGAGGGACGTCTGACTCGAGGCCACTCTGTCCTCCAGTTTTCTCAGAAGTGACCGGGCCTCGAGGGGAACCTCCGGGCCTCTCTCTGGCTTCCTGGTTTTCACAAAGGCCAAGAGACCCCAACGCCCGGGGAGGCCCCCCTCTGTGGCCCTCTCCCTCGGGAGCGCCTGCCTCTGCGGCAGGCTCCGTGCTCTGAGCTGCCTGCACCTCGGCTGACCGGCTGCCACTCGGGGCCTGCGCCAGGAAAGCAGCCTTCACAGCTGAAAAAGAGGCCAGACAGGAACGATTTTAGATGTAAGAGAACGTGAGTCGAGGGTGGCTCTGGCAATCGTGGTGACGACAGAGTGACAGTGATGGTGACGTCAGTGTGCCACAGACACCTTTGATTTTGCCCATTCAGTTCCCGCCTCGTTTTTTTTAGTTTTTTTCTCCTCCCCACCTTCTTAACCCCCATGGTTATGAGGTAGACGAGAATCCTGCACTGCCACTCCAGAAACGGGGCTGTGGGGCCGGATGTGGTGACTCACACCTGTATCTCCGCACTTTCAGAGGCTGAGGCAGGAGGACCACTTGAGACTTGGAGTTCAAGACCAGCCTGGCCAACATAGTGAGATCCTGTCTCTTAAAAAAATAGAATTTTAAAAATATACAAACAGAAACGAGGCTAAACGGGGCTAGAAACAGGGCTAAACCTCTAGCCTCGGCCCACCCAGTCCTGGGAGGGGAGGGGACAGAAACGCAGGCTCTGGGCACTGCCTTACTCTGCGGGACAGCTGGGAAAGCAAAGGAGGCTGGAGACAGCTGGCAGCAAGCCAGGACGGGAGCGAGGCAGATGTAGCAGGAGGCCCGGGGACAGTGGCACCCAACAGAGCCCACGGCCCAGCTCTGCCTTCTGTCTGTCCTTCCTTCCTTTCTTGTGAGCCAGGGTCTTGCTCTATCACCCAGGCTGGAGTGCAGTGGTACCATCATGGCTCACTGCAGCCTCAGGGCTCAAGTGATCCTCCCTCCGCCTCCCAAGTAGGTGGCGCACCTCCAGGTGAGCACCACCACACCAGGCTATTTTAAAAATTTTTTGTAGAGACAGTGTGTCAATGTGTTGCCCAGGCTGGTCTTGAACTCCTGGGCTCAACCCTCCTCCCACCTGAGCCTCCTAAAGTGCTGGGATTACAGGTGTGAGCCACCACACCCAGCCATGGCCCCAGCTCATTCCTTTTACCTTGGACTCCCTGAGACAACGCAGACTCCTTAACAACTGCCCCCAAACACCAAACTCTAAGGGCTTCTGTTATGTGCAAACAGGAGCGTCCTCACTCAGACAGAAATCCGGACCAAGAGGCCAGTCGCGGTGGCTCACGCCTGTAATCCCAGCACTTTGGGAGGCTGAGGTGGGCAGTTCACGAGGTCAAGAGATCAAGATTAGGTGAAACCCTATCTCTAATAAAAATACAAAAATTAGCTGGGTGTGGTGGTGCACACCTGTAGTCCCAGCTACTTGAGAGGCTGAGGCAGAAGAATCACTTGAATCCAGGAGGTGGAGATTGCAGTGAGCTGGCGCCACTGCACTCCAGCCTGGCGACAGAGCAAGACTTTGTCTTAAAAAAAAAAAAAAGAAAAGAAAAGAAATCCGGAACAAGAGCTGGAAGCAGCAACCCACGTCCCATGTGGGCTGGGCGGCGGCGGCGCTGGTCAGGCTGAGCAACCCCATCCAGGCTGCGTTATCAATGGCCCTTGTCTGGCAGTCAAGCCACTGGTTAGATTTGGTTCCACTGGCTCACAGGGACAGACCATGTGGCCATTTAGAAAAAAGGCTTAAGGGGTAGGGGTGAAACCCTGGGACATGAGAAAGCTGGCAACTGAGCTTGGCCTGCATAGGAGGCAGGAGGACTCAGCCAGGAGGGGCAGCAGGAGGAGGGGGGCCAACGAGGCCAGCACAGCAACTGAGGAGGACTTCTCAGTCTGCAGGCAGTCCGCTGTGGCAGCAGAGGAGAAGCGGCTGAGTCCCAGCTGCACCTCTCAAGAATGTGGAGGGCGCAGATAAGACGGAAGCTCCTGTGGAGGTGGGGGTGGGGCAGGGATGTTCCAGGGCAGATGAGAGCAGGCTGCTATCGACAGTCCCCACCTCTCTCTGCCCTTGCAGACCCCTGACACTGAGCAGCCAGGGGGCGGGAGGCGCTCAGGGCGGCCTGCAGAACAGAAGCCCCTTGGCAGAGGCCCAGCCCTGGTCTTGTGGTTTGCAGACTTGGAAGTTCAAGAACTGACTCAAAGGTATTGCTTATGAGGAAAAAGAACCAAGACTATGGTGAGAAGGGGACACATACGTGGTGGAGCTCTACTGGATCCAGCCTGCAGGCCCCAAGGACGCCTTTCCGATGGAGGCAATCCCAGACCTCACAGCAGGGCCTGCACTGCCCACGCCATCTCCCGGGCTGTTGCTGTGACACACTCTCAGGGTGGCCCCAAAACATAAAGCAGTGTTCTCATGGGGGCGATTTTGTCCTGAGGGCACATTTGACAATGTGTGGAGATGTTTTGGATTGTCACAACTGGGAGGGGGCCCTACTGACACCAAGTGGGCAGAGGCGAGGGTGCTGCCGAACGTCCTACAACACACAGGATGGCCCCTCAACAAAGACTCGTCCATTCCAAAACAGCCACGGTGCCAAGGTGGAGAAGCACTGAGAGAGAGACCTTCCCAGAGGCAGAGCCTGGGGCTGCCAGACTTTCTAACCAAAAGCTCTCAGTTCACTGGCAAAGACAGTCACCAAACAGATGCCCAGGAGATCTGATGGGCCTGCGTTTACCTCCCTCCCTCACCCTGCGCCCAAGGACACAGTATATGCTCTGCGTCAGTGACTGAGACATGGTGTTTTTCCTGTATTCCTGTTCAATTCCTGCCCTGGAACTCTGGGCCCGACTGTGGACATGTCCCCTCACCTGCAAGGGACTCCATCAGGGTACTGCTCTCTTTAGCACCTGTGGGCTCTCCTCCTGGCTCCATCTTGCAGAACACCAGCAGTTGGAACAATTTCTGCTTAGGTAAAAGAAAAGGAAAATAAATCACAGCCAGGGCTAGGTACAGGGGCCAGGGGCAGTGAGGTCAGAATGCCTTCAGAGGAAACTGTCAGAACAGGCCCTGTGGGAGCTGCATCACCCAGCTGGGCCCACTCCTGTCACTAGCAATCAAGGTCCTGGCTCAACAGACACTCCCAGAAGCGGGTGTTCTGTTCTGTGGGATGCCCAGGAACTCTGGTCCAGGCTCTGCGGGTCCCCCTCCACCCAGGGCTGACGCAGAGCACAGGTGGGCGTGGCCACAGCTTCCTAGCTCCATGCTGAGGAAGCCCGCGCCCTCCAGCAGTCTTCAAATGTCTAGAGAAATTCCCATGGGTTTTAAAATTTTCTTGGTAGTTATAAGGATTTGAATATAAAAATGTTAAACCAGAAGAAAAGAACAACTTATTTGAATGGTAAAGTTTTGGAATGAGGAATGATTTTTCTAAGCCTGACATCAGATGTCTGACAAATTCAACTACATAAAAAAATTTAATGTAAAAAAAAAAAACCAAAAAGGGAGGAATACGTGCAATGCAAAGATTCATCCCTATCTGATAAAGACCTCTATATATTAATGAGAAAGGAAGGAAAATTGGCAAAGATCATGAATAGGTAACTCACAAAGAAGAAAAACCAGTAGGCAATACATTTTTTTAGGTCTCACCTCAAGTGCAATTAAGAAATGTAATTTGGCTGGGTGCTGTGGCTCACAGTTGTAATCCTAGCACTTCAAAAGGCTCAGGATGGAGGACTGACTGATTACAAGAGTTCCTGACCAGCCTGGGCAACATAGTGAGACCCCGTCTCTACAAAAAATCAAAAAATTAGCCAGGTGTGATGGTGGGCGTCTGTAGTCCCAGCTACTAGGGAGGCTGAGGTGGGAGGACTGCCTGAGCCCAGGAGGTCTAGGCTGGGGTGAACCGAGATTTCGCCACTGCACTCCAGCTGGGCGTTGGAGTGAGACCCTGTCTTAAAAAAATAAGTAAATAAAGTGATTAATTAGTAAATTTAATTTAAGCCGCCTGTAATCCCGCCTGCCAGGGAGGCTGAGCGGGAGGATCGCTTGAGCCCAGGAGTAGGAGGCCAGCCTGGGAAACATAGCGAGACCCCGCCGCTTTTACAAAAAGGTAATTTAAAGTGCAATTTTTTAGTCTGGAAGCAGATTTTTGCAAGTACCTTACCGGCAAGAATTAGGGAACAGGCCCTCCTGTTCACAGCTGGGAAGAAGCTCGATGAGCTGGGCCGGTGGGAAATTTGACAACTTACAAAGGCCTGAAGACGCGCAGCGGGGACTCAGCTCGCAGGAAGCCCCGCACGTGTCGGACCCCGGGTACGCACCTGCAGGGCCGCCTCCCCCACGCCGCGCCCGAGAGCGGCTGGGGCCTGCACTGCAAGGAGAGCGCGGGACGCGCGGGCCACGGCGGCGGTGACCGCCCCGTTCTCTCGGCCGCGCCCTCAGCCCTCCCGAATCGACACCCCAGCAAGAGAAGCCGGGGCCTCAGCGTCCAGAGCAGCTGGACTGCACCCGCTACGGTCCCCGCCCCGTCGCGCGCCGGAAACGCCAGTCTCCACCCCTGGCCCGCCCCCTCGGCACTTCCGGCGACGCTCTGGGCAGCGGGAGGACAGCGCGCTCGGCGGCGGGAGAGCGGGACGGCCCAGCCGCGGCGCCTTCAGCTCATCGGTTGCCCGCAGGCGCCGGCCGAGTCCTTCCTGCCGGGCAGGAAGCCCTGCCTCGTGGGGGGCAAGGTCGAGCCGTTGGCGCGCCGGGATCCGGCTCGAGCCAACTGAGGACCGGGCACCCGCAGGACGTGTCAGGAGGTGTCGAAGGCCCGCTGTGGGGCGGCCACGCGCGTTCCCGTCCGTTCCCCGCGGCGTCCCGCGCTTGTCCCGGGTCCCGCTCGGCTCACGGGACCCTCCAGGCCCCCGGGGCTGTGGCAGCACGCGGGTCCCGAGCGTGGGCTTCCTTGGGGCCGAGAGCTTGGAGCGCCCCAGGCGCTGCCCCCCGCCTCCCTGCAGGACGCCGCCCTCGCGTCTCCGCTGCAGAGAAGCCCTTGCTGCCCGCCTCTCGCGGGCTCTGGGCTCTTTCTCACCAGGGACCGAGCTCTCATTCGTTCAGCCTTCCCCGGGCAAGATGCACCTCCTGTCCAAGTCTCTCGCCCTTCCGCCTGCCGCAGACCGAAGGTCACGCATCTCCAGCTGGAATGCTGCAAAAGTGACGCTTTTCATCATGGGTGCAAAGTGTACAGCTGCAATGTGGACTTGTTCCCTCTTACAACGAGTAGACAGACCCTCTCTGGGGAGAAAAGAAAGGCTGAAGAACCGATTCCCATGAGAGAACCCTAAGAAGACAGCAACAGAGGGCCAGACGCGCCCCTGGAACTGGACCCTGGACTGGGGCGGGAGGGCCACAGCCTTGGGAGCCCAGGTCCCTGCCCGCGCCTCCGACAGTCCCGCGCCGCCGCCACCCGGCATCTGCCTCTGGGCCTCCACATCTCGTGCCTGGAACCGCGTTCATTGCGCACTGCACCAGTAAACACCTGAACACTCCCACCACATGCTGCACGTTTATTTGTAACAAATTAGAAGCTGTTGTAAAAGATAAAAATTAAAACACTTAGACTGGGTGGGCGAGAGGCTCATGAATGTAATCCCAGCACTTTGGGAGGCCAAGGCAGGAGGATTGTTTGAGTCCAGGAGTTTCAGACCAGCCTGAGCAACATAGTTAGAACCGTGTCGACTAAAAATTTTTTTTAAAAATTAGCCGGGCGTGGTGGCCGGCGCCTGTGGTACCAGCTACTCGGGAGGCTGAGGCGGGGGGACCACTTGAGCTCGGGAGGCGGAGGCTGCAGTGAGCCGAGATTGGCACTGCACTCCAGCCTGGGTGACAGAGATTCTGTCGCAAAACAAAAACAACAACAACAACACACACCACACACACACACATCTAAAAGAGATGATGTAGAAGTACAAGTAACCGTTTCCCTCTGCATCCCAGTGGAACGTCGTGGGTCTTCTGAAGACCCTCTCTTGCCCTGCAGGCTCCGGTACTCCAAGCACGCGAGTCTGCGCAGGAGGCGCTTCGCTCTCCGGAGCTCCCCACTGCCTCCTAGACACAGTCCCGGCTCCTTACCCCGGGCGGAGGCTCTTCCAGACGGGTCCCGACTGCCTCTGTATGCCCACTGCTGCCGTGCCAGAAGCCACTGCCCTCTCCTCGCCCCTTTCCAAATGTGCCCTGCCTCAGGCCCGTGTCATGCTGTTCCCTGTGCCGCTTTCGCCCGTCCCCTCACTCCCCGCCACCAGAACCGGGAAGGCGGTGCCCCCTTTCCAGGCCCAACTTCCGGCACTGAACCTCTAGGAGTCCGCAGCCTCCTCCGCCCGGGCCTCTCCCCGCTGGCTCAGACCGCAGGGCCAGCAGCCCCGCCCACACGGAAGCCCCGCCCATCAGGCCGACCCCGCCCCTCCTGCCTCGGCCCCGCCCTCGCCTTGGCCCCGCCTCCTCGCTGGCAGCCGGCAGGCGCAGTCGGGGTCGTGGGACCCAGGAGGGGCCTCCAGCAGGTGCCTTGGCGAAGATCCTGGACTGCGTCACAGCCCAGGGTAGCCGTCCCGCGGCCCGGCTTTGGAGCTTCCCACGGACACCCGGGGCTCTGCCTCCTCCGAAATCACCCCTCACCGCTTCCCTCCTGCTCTCCCACAATGGGAGGCCACACGCTGGGGCCCCTGAGAAACAGAATCGAAAACACAAGGCAGGACTCCAGGGACATGGGGGTGGGGGAGTGAATCCAAGCAACTCAGGACGCCCGCGAATAGCTCAGATCCTGCGAAGAGCCCGCGCCCTGGAATTCTGTTTGCTAAGGGGGTCCTCACGGTGTAGGGTGAGACAGAGAACCTCTGGGCAGTTGCAGGTGGTAAATGTCCATGATAAAGGGCAAGTTCACAGTCTAGAAAATTCTGGATTTCTTGATCCAAAAGTAGCCGAGTCCAGGCCGGAGAGGTGGCTCACGCCTGTAATCCCAGCACTCTGGGAGGCCAAGACAGGAGGATCACTCGAGGTCAGGAGTTCGAGACCAGCCTGGCCAACATAGTGAAACCCCATCTCCACCAAAAAAAAAATTACAAAAAATTAGCCAGGCATGTTGGTGCTTGCCTTAGTCCCAGCTACTCGGGAGGCTGGGGCAGGAGAATTGCTTGAATCCAGGAGGCGGAGGTTGCAGTAAGATTTCGCCACTGCACTCCACAGTGAGACTCCGTCTCAAAAAAAAAAAAAAAAAAAAAAAAAAAAAAAAAGTAGCTGAGTCTTAGAATACCACCCCTTCAAGGACTGTTTCCATGAGCCTATCCACTGAGTCTCTTACCTGCTACCCTGAAAAAAAAAAGTACGATGAAGAAATTACCAAAGGCACCCCTGAAAAACAAAGACAGCTGGGCCTGGCGCAGTGGCTCACTCCTGTCATCCCAGCACGTTGGGAGGCCGAGGCGGGTGGATCACCTGAGGTCAGGGGTTTGAGACCAGCCTGGCCAACACGGTGAAATTCCATCTCTACTAAAACTACAAAAATTAGCCGGGAGTGGTGGTGTTCGCCTGTAATCCCAGGTACTCGGGAGGCTGAGGCAGGAGAATCACTTGAGCCCGGGAGGTGGAGATTGCAGTGAGCTGAGATCACGCCATTGCACTCCAGCTTGGGTGACAGAGTGAGACCTGTGGGGAAAAGCAAGAGAGATCAGATTGTTACTGTGTCTGTGTAGAAAGAAGTAGACATAGGAGACACCATTTTGTTCTGTACTAAGAAAAATTCTTCTGCCTTGAGATTCTGTTAATCTATGACCTTACCCCCAACCCCGTGCTCTCTGAAACATGTGCTGTGTCAACTCAGGGTGAAATGGATTAAGGGCTGTGCAGGATGTGCTTTGTTAAACAGATGCTTGAAGGCAGCATGCTCCTTAAGAGTCATCACCACTCCCTAACCTCAAGTACCCAGGGACACAAATACTGCGGAAGGCCGCCGGGTCCTCTGCCTAGGAAAACCAGGTATTGTCCAGGGTTTCTCCCCATGTGACAGTCTGAAATATGGCCTCGTGGGAAGGGAAAGACCTGACCGTCCCCCAGCCTGACACCCGTAAAGGGTCTGTGCTGAGGAGGATTAGTAAAAGAGGAAGGAATGCCTCTTGCAGTTGAGACAAGAGGAAGGCATCTGTCTCCTGCCCGTCCCTGGGCAATGGAATGTCTCGGTATAAAACCCGATTGTACGTTCCATCTACTGAGATAGGGAAAAACCGCCTTAGGGCTGGAGGTGGGACATGCGGGCAGCAATACTGCTTTGTAAAGCATTGAGATGTTTATGTGTATGCATATCTAAAAGCACAGCACTTGATTCTTTACCTTGTCTATGATGCAAAGACCTTTGTTCACGTGTTTGTCTGCTGACCCTCTCCCCACTATTGTCTTGTGACCCTGACACATCCCCCTCTCGGAGAAACACCCACGAATGATCAATAAATACTAAGGGAACTCAGAGGCTGGCAGGATCCTCCATATGCTGAACGCTGGTTCCCTGGGTCCCCTTATTACTTTCTCTATACTTTGTGTCTTTTTCTTTTCCAAGTCTCTCGTTCCACCTAACGAGAAACACCCACAGGTGTGGAGGGGCAACCCACCCCTTCAAGACTCTGTCTCAAAACAAACCAATCAAACCAAACAAAACAAAAACAAACAAACAAAAAAAGACCTCAGAGAAAGAGGACTGTTGTTCAAAGAAGAGGCCGTGGGTCAACTGAAGCAAGTGGACACGCAGCCAGGAAACAGGTGACACAGAAAGGAAGGACTCCCAGTCTCCTGGCAGAAGGAGCAGGGGAGGCAGAGACCTCTGAGTTACCCCTGGAAGCCGAGGGCCTGACCCCCACAGCCGCAGGATGGAAATCCTGCCACGGCCCGAATGGTCAGGGAAGGACCTCAAGCTCCACAGGAGTTCGGAGACCAGGACAGCTTAATGGCAGCTCCAGGAGACCCTGGCAGAGACCTCAGCCAAGCTGTGCCGGGCTCCCGCGTGGCAGGATCTGTGAAGTAACAGACGGGTTTTTGGTGAGCAGGTTCCAGGTGAGACACACCAGTGGCCCTAAGAGGAGAAAATGCAAGGGTGGTAGGAAGTGGCGGGTGCACCAAGACCTAGCGGCCAGCCTGACCAGCACTGACTGGCACCTTGGTGCTGTGCAGTCAAGGAGAACTGGCTCAGGCTCAGGACATTCACTCCTGCTGCGCTGGGCACCAGGGACACCCCCGAAGGTGGACAGAGCACCACGGGGGCTGCCCTGGGAGCTCGCGAAAGAGAAGGGAGAAACACAGGCACAGCAGGCACCGCCTGCCAGGTGCCAGAAAGCAGCGCGTGGAGGCCTCATTAGAAGCAGAGAGCAGGGAGCAGTGACTCAAGCAGCACTGCCAGCGGGTCCTGAAGTGTGGGCAGGAGTTTGGGGAGGGCGCTGAGGTGGGGAGGCCGCTTGGCTCTCAGGGAACCCAGCCTTGTCGCACGGATGCTGGGCTTCCTACTCTGGGGTCCTTGTAGCCACTAGGGTGTTCTAACTCAGAAAAGACACCACAGGTTTGGGATTGGAAAAGGGCTTGAGAAGCACACAACCCCAGCAATAAAAATGGGGTCAGAGCAAACACTCAGAATGGGAAACCACACGCCGGCGCGGACGGGGCCAACAGACACACAGAACCACCCGGAGTGACCTCTAGCACATCGTGTGGAGCAAAAGGAGTGCCAGGAGGGCGGGCAGACGAATCCATTCCTGAGAGGCCCGATGGCAGACAGGGCCCTCCAGAAGCTAGAATACCCATCAGCTGGGGGAGGGGAAGGGAAAGGGAGGAGAAGCTCTGGAAAGTTCCATGCTGTGACCTGGGGGGATTAGCAAGAGTGTAAACATGTAAACAGTCAAGCCGAGTGCTTAAAATTTGGGCATTTTCGCTATGTAAATTATACCCTAATTCAAAAAAATCAAGAACACCATATCCCAGGAAAACTTAATATAAAATATTGACACCAGCACGGATCTTGGTGAAGCTATTCAAGGTTATGGATGAGGAAAGAATGACCAAGGCATCCAGGCAGAAGAGGAGCGTTTCAGAGAAAGGGCAGAGGCCAAGGGCTTCCCAGTGGTGCAGGCTCAGCACAGTCCTGCAAGGAAAAACCTAAAACCCAACCACATGCCCCAAGCCCTTGCTATTCGCCATGCCCTCCGTCGAGTGTAATGGCTACAGAGGGCATTCTAGAGCTTTCAGGAGCTCAGCATGCAGCCCCTCTTGCCTGCCCCCGTGGAGCCCTCTCCCCAGATGGGAGCTGGGCTCAGGGTCCTGCTGGATGGGCACATGGACCGAGGTCCTGGGAAGCCGCCTGCTCCCACTTGCATCCTGCCTGTTACTCTCGTCACCCAGACGCTGTTCACCCAGGCTCTGCAGCAGGCGCTGGGCTGGATGGTCTACCGTGTAAACGAGGGGATTTCCCATCCCACGGGCTGCTTGAGGAGCAGCAGCCTCACAGAATGGCCATGCACAGAGTGCAGGGCGGCAGGACGGGAAGGCCCTGCCTGGAGTCAGGCACACGAGTGCCACAGTAGTGGCATGATTTTGCCCACCTGAGACTCAAGGACTGGGACACCTGTCCCTCCTCCTCCACCCACGCTGCGGGGAACTGCATGGCTCCTCCGGGCGGGGACCATAGCTTTCCGCCTCAACGTACCTGGGGCTCGGCATGCTGCGTTGAATTTTGGAGTGGATGAGGAGTGAGGGTGTGGCAGGGCGGCTGGAGCTGCCCAACTGCTGAAACTGCTGCAGGTGCCACAGCGGCTGGCTCCCTGAAAGCGTCCTCCTGCCTCTGAGACCGTAGCGCAGGAGGGTGCGAGTGCACCTCCGCAAGGCCTGACGCTGCTGATCCACTTCCTCTCCCCACGATGGGGACACACTTGGCGACAGTTCCATCTGGGGTAAAAGACCCACCAAAAGGTCGCTGGCATGGGCACTCCAGGGACACCAAAGTGGAGTCTGGGAGACCCCTCGGCTTGTGCGGGGAGCATTCCTCCCCGAAATGCTCGTCCACTTCTGGTTACAGCAATCTTTGAGGGCAGGGAGGGTGGCCAGCAGGGGGCATTGTGGAGCAAGCACGTGGGCCTCGGATCCAAGCCTGGGTTCAAATCCGGGCTGTGGGACGTCCTCACCAAGTCTCGATTTCCTCCCGTAAATGAGGGATGCTGGCGCCCCTCTCGCTGTGGGGGAATAGGGCTTCCAGCACTGCTCCCAGCAGATCTCAGACCTCAGGACGTGAAGGTTATTTTAGGGACAAGCTAACCATGAAGTCTATTTAGTGTAACAGCAAGAGCTGCTAAAAACGTGCACAGACATTCCTTGTACAGCCTGAGTATCCCTTATCCAAAATGCTTGGGACCAGAAGTGTTTTGGCGGCCGGGAACAGTGGCTCACGCCTGTAATCCCAGCACTTTGGGAGGCCGAGGCGGGCGGATCACGAGGTCAGGGGATCGAGACCATCCTGGCTAACACGGTGAAGACCCGTGTCTACTAAAAAAAAAAAAAAAAAATTAGCTGGGCGCGGTGGCGGGCGCCTGTAGTCCCAGCTACTCTGGAGGCTGAGGCAGTAGAATGGCGTGAACCCGGGAGGCGGAGCTTGCAGTGAGTCAAGATCGTGCCACTGCACTCCAGCCTGGGCGACAGAGCGAGACTCTGTCTCAAAAAAAAAAGCTTTGGCTTTTTTTGGGGAATATTTGTACCATAGTTAGCAGGTGAGCCTCCCAAATTCCCACATCCGAAATCTGAAGTGTTCCAGTGAGTATTTCCTTTTGTGCGGCATGTCAGCTGCTCAAAAGTTTTGAATTGGGGGTGTTTGGATTTGGGATACTTAGCCCGTAGTGCTGAGGAGAAAATTTCTGTCTCTTCTATTTTTCCTACACTTCCCAAATTTCTTTAAAGAGTATGAATAAATGCTATTGGGTAAAAAGAAATCTGTTTAAAACCTGTGATCTTTAAAGACTTGACCAGGGTATCCCACGCTTGAGGCACTGCCTAGGCCCAGTGAGCCAAGCCCAGCCCGAGTCGGCAGCGCGGCCCCGCCCCCGCAAGCCCCGCCCCATGCCGAGGGCATTTCCGGGCGCTCTAGGCAGCTCGGAGGACCCGTTCGGAAGACTGGCGGGGGACCCCAGGCGAACCCAAGGGTGGCGGGCCAGGGCCGGGCGAGTGCCTGGCGTTGCTCGCGCGGCTGGGGGCCATGGCTGTGGGGCCTCTCTGGGAGGGGTCGCGAGGCTGTGAACTAGCACGGGGCTACGTTGTAGAGAGAGAGATGGGGCGTCACGGAGGCAGGGGGTGCCAGGCAGGGCGCGGCTGCCAGAGGCCCAGAGGCCGAGCTGGGCCCTGCAGGTCTGAGGTGCAGGACCCGATTCTGGCCCAAGCAGGGGCGTCCCACGGCTCGAGCTGCCCGTCCAGGTGGTGTCTGAGGAGAGCCTGGGCAGCGGCCTTGCAGAGGGCAGGCCAGCAGCTCCTGCTTTGAGGGCTTGGAGGAGAACAGATTCCCGAACCAGGCCCATGATCAATGTATTTGGGTATTTGAACTAAATCCAGATTTCCTGGCTTCCCCTGAGGCCTGCTGAATCCCTTGGGGTGGGGCCTGGGAATCTGCGTTTTCCAGTGGGCCTCTCAGGTAGTTGGGTGGTCCCTGAGTGGGTTCCCATGACCCCATGAAACAAGACCCTAGAAAACGCAAGGCAAAGCGGCCTGGTGAGTGGCCAATGGTCTACAGGAACTGGATGTGATCAGAGCGAGACCTGCATCAACTGGGCAGGGGAGGCGTGGAGCCATACCTGAGGAAGAGACCCAGCCGGAACCCAGGGAAGAGCAGGCTGTGAAAACTGGGCAGAAACTTGCGGCGACTCGGAAGACACTGCCAGGAAACCCTCCCCGGGCCTCCTGTGGGGCTTGTAGCAGCCGCAGGGGTTGGCTCTCACCTTCTAGTCCCAGCCAGGTTGTCTTGGAGTCAGCTAATGGGCAAGGCCCCTACCTCTCTTAGGATCTGAGGATGGGAGGGGCTGCGTTTTTCCAGAGGATCTGCACGTGTGCAGGCTGAGTGTTGAGACTTGATTGGTGTCAACTGGCACTGCCTGCCCATGATGCACAAAAGCTACTGTAAGAAACAGGGTCCATGTCTCCAGGGAGCAGGACCCCGTTCTGAGGCCACAACCCCGAGGGCAGTCTCCGCCTGCAGAGTCCTCCCTCTCGCACCGGCTCACCTCGTGGTGAATCCCTTGGCTACGGTTTGGTGTGAGAAAAGAGATGGGTGTTTCACTCCCTGCTGCATCCCTGGTGACGGCCCTGGCATTTCGGGGCATGAGATCTTTGCTTAAAGGTTTTGCGGTGGTCACTGCACAGGGGGTGGGGGTGGGGTCCCTTGGTGCAATTTATCCGATTCTGCTGCGTGGATGACATCCACAGTGTTCCTCTCCAGTGGGGATTATCTGAGACCTTTCCGCATGCCCGCACCCACAGTCCGCTCCCTCACGGCAGCATGAACTCAGGAGGCGGGCGTTCCCACAGTCATTACATTTGCAGGGCCTCTCTATGTCCACTCTGATGCCTGAGGACCAGCGCTTCCACGAAGGTGTGGCCACGTCCAGTGCTGCTCATTGGCTTCTCTCCTGCGGGAATGTTCTGATCCCGAACGGAGCCTGAGCATGCGCGAAACCCTTCCCACGTTCACAAGGTGCTTCTCCAGTGTTCCATTACATCTCACCTATGCACACTACATGCATACGGTTTCCACCGGCTGTGCGTGTCCCTAGAAGTCACATTCACGGCGTTTCTCCCTGGGAGGAATTCTCCCGTGCATGGCTGCTCTGAGACCATTTGCACCTGCGGCCACGCGTGGGCTCCTCGAGGCTTACAAACCAGGCTGGACTCCTGAAGCCCTAGCTGCACTTGGCACTCGGCGAGGTTTTTCTACAAAATCTCATCTCAGCCATCTGAGTCCTTCACCATTTATCTTATGAATCCGCTCGAACGTACAAGGAAGGCCTCTCTGCCCTCCTGCTCCAGGGAGGAGGTTTTGACCCTCAGCTCCACCTCTGCGGCTGGCCCGGTCTCCGCAAACCTTTTTCTGCTTGGCCAGCTGGTGCCATGCTAGGCTTTCCCACTAGGGGCGCCAGAGAAAGCGCGCGAGGCTGCGGAGGAGAGAGGGGCACACTCTTTCCGGTTTGCTTCCGGTTTTTTCCTCAGGCTTCCGGTCTGTTTGGTGCCCTGGTCGCGTGTCTTCCGAACTCTGCTGCTTCGCCCCGGCAAGAGCACTTCCTTCCGCGGCTGCTAAAACTGGTGCGCGGGTTCCCAACTTCGCAGAAGAGCTTCATCGGCCCCCCGCTAGAGACCTCAGACCGCAGCCATCGACGCCTCGCCTCGGGGATCTGTCCCCACCCTCGGGGCCAGGTCAGGGACCAGAGACCTGCGAAGCCCTCTCCTTAGGGGTTTAGTTCCCAGGCTTTCTGACCCCAGTAATTCCAAACGCTTCCCTTTGTTTCCACAGCCCTAGCGTAGCAGGTGCTCCCTGCAGTTTTTGCTTCTGAGATAGAGTTCTCTTTTCAGCTCCTTCGGTAGTCACTTCGTACATAGTGATTCATGATGCGAAATCCTCTCTGTTGAAATAACTGACGAGGCCTCTGTCTTCTGACTGGACCCTGACTTCCATGCCCTTTCCACTCTCACTCCAGTACATGCCCAAACCCCAATCTTTGTTGCTCCAGGCATTGCCTCTGTGGCGCTGTGTCCCCTCCTTTGAACTCTGATCCTTCTGCTCAGGCCCTTTCTCCCAGTCTGAAGTAAGGAGTGAAAAAATGTGAATTGTTCTACTCATCTGGAAAAGAGAACCCTGAGGCAGGAACAAGTCGTTAATTGCATGTGCGTTTGTCCACAGCTCACCATGAGTCAGGCCCTGTGCTAGGTGCTGGGATGAAGCAGTGACTGACACAGGCCTGGACCTGTCCTTGGGAAGAGTGCGTCTGTGACACAGATACTGTGCCATGTGGCAAAGTAAGCGCGTGGGACAGCAGAGCCTTGTTTGCCATTAAAGTAATATCACAAGTCTGTTAAGGTTGGAGAATCAAGTGAACATGCTGAAAAGTTATGGGGAATGTAGTCTCATAGCTGGGGGAGCTGGGGGCCTTGTCAATTGGTTCCCCCAGTCTGGAGAGCAATCTGAGAGTAAGTAGTGACACTGTGTGTGCTGAGTGTGTCTGTGGGGGTGTTTTTGGATAAAATTAACATTTGAATTTGTGAACTGAGTGAAGCAGAGTGCCCTTCATAATGTGGGTGGGCCTCATTCAATTAGTTCAAGGCCCGCATAGGAACCACCTCCTGCCTGACTGAACCGGGACCTACGTCTTTTCTTGCCTTCAGACTTGAATGGAGACATCAGCTCTTTGTGGGTCTCAAGTCTACTGGCTTTCAATCAGCTCTTCTGCTTGACAGCTGCAGGTCTTGGGACTGCCCAGCCCCCATAACCCTGTGAGTGCATTCCTGATAATAACCCTCTTTCTCTTGTCCTCCCCCACCCCACATCATTGGTTCTGTTTCTCTGGAGAACCATAATACATCATTTACTAATCAGGAAATAGATTCAGAGACATTAATAACTCATCCAACCTCACAGTTAACTGTAGAGTTGGGCTTGAAATTCCAAGGTCGATTTTCTTAGCCAATACACCATGCTACATATATGTATGTAAAAATAAAAACGCTTGTGAACTGAAAAGGGTCCAAACTTAAGCTCATTTTGGTCCTTAATTGCTAATCCATAGGCATGTTTTGGTCCTTAATTGCTAATCCATAAGCATGTTTCGGTCCTTATTTGCTAATCCATAGGCCTGCACACCTGCCCCCAAGGCCATGGTTAGGTCAGCACTTGGCCCTCCCCTTGTCTGGGGCTGCCAGAAGCTGCCTCAGAAGACCTCTCCCTGCAGCTCCAGTGCTTTAGGGTTCAGCGCCCCTCCAGGGCCTTTATTTCCTTCTGGGCTCAAAAGCAGATACTGTGCCAGATACAGATGATCACTTTCTGGGTTCCAGAACTCACATGCACCCCTTTTCCTGGTCTCTCACATTTGCTGTGACCAACCCAAGCCTCAGGTGGTCCTCTGCTGAGACTGTCCACTCACGCTGTTGACAGAGCCCTTCCAGGAGCTCTTTTTGTGGGGATTTGCTATGTACCTGGCACTGTGCAAAGAACCCCACCCATGCCGTCCTTGCAGCCGCCATGTGCGGTGCGGAGCGGGCTGCGCTAACCACCATTGTCAGAGGCAGAAACAGGCTCCGTGAGGAAGGATAAGTGTGGGTTATGGAATCAGGGCTGGCAGATCCCAAACCTTGGCTCCCAGATACCATGGGATCTTTAGGAAGATCCCTGGTCACTTCGGGGAGGAGAGAGAGGGCGAAGGCTGAGAATCGGGGTCCTGGGTCGGAGGAGGGAGAGGGGTGGTGGTGTGGGCTTGGAGGTGGTGTGGGTTGGAGATTGGCCGTTGAGCTGGAGATGCTCCAGGTGGTCTGCGTCCAGGTTCCTCTGGTGGCGGGGGATGGGGCAGAGCCGGCAGGGGTGGGACGGGGCTCCGAGCCAGCCCCGGGGGCGGCCACCCGGACAAGCGGCCCTCGTGTGACGCAAATCGAAGGAGGATGGGGAGAGGCGTGACCAAGAGGCCGAGCACAGCTCAGGGTCGCAGGCGTCCCGGGAGGGCTCAGGAATATCACGTCCGGTTCAACTGCACGCTGATAAACCCGGCAGCCACCACAAGGTAGAAAAATGCCCTTAAAAGTCCACGCCTGGGTCCTGCCGGGCCGCTCTGGGGTTCCCGAGAAATGTTGAGTGGATCAGATGGCACGTTCGAGAATCAGCCCCGTGCCCGCGGGCTTGGAGAAGGCACTGAGGACACTGGGAAAGACGTAAATGCCATTTCAGCGCATCTCGCGGGCCCTGCCCAACGAGGGAGGACACAGAGACCTTGCAGAGAGTTTAGGACCCGGCGCGGAGGAACAGCCCTGCCTGGCCCAGGACCCGCCGCACCCCACTTCCTTCTCCGGGAAGCCTCCCGTCAGCTGCCGCTGCGGGAGTCTCGTGCGGGCTGCCGCGAGTGCGCATGGCCCCGCCCCCTCCCCGCCCCTCCAGGAGCTGCGGCCACTTCCGGGACTATCTGGGACGGCGTGGAGGACCGCCGGGCTCCCCTCTCCGGTCGCAGCGGGCGGGAGTCCAACCCGGGCGCCGGGGTCGCCCTCTCCAGGTCTCACCTGCCCTCCTGCTGTGACTCCTCCAGAACCCCCGGCCTGGCCCCCAGGTGTGCCCGTGGTGGGCCTGTGAGATCACTGTCCTGTTGAAGACGAAGGCTACCGTCCCCGCTTTTTGGCGGTGTCTGCGGGGGCCTGCGCAGCGCGCATCTGATGTCATCAGCCCCCAGCAAGCCCGTTTTCCAGAGAAGAACCCGGAGGCTCCGAGGTGACTCGTGGCTTGCTCGAGGTCACACGATCAGTGACGGCACCAGATGAATCCCCTAGTAGAGCCAGCACCTCGGCCTGGCTGCCCACGCGTGTTACTGAACAAGGAGAATGCAGGCGTCCTCACCCTTACCTTTCAGGCAGACAGTCTGAACCCCAGGCCCACCGCACACCAGCAAGGACGCCTCAAGTAGGCGCCTGCCTCCCAGCTGACTTCGGACAGACACACTGACCTCCAGCCCGCACCCCTAAACTCGTTCTCACCTGGCAGAGTGGGGCGTCCAGAGCGCTGGTGGCCATAGGGCCCCCAGAGCATGGTCTGGAGAGGGTGGCGGGGGCTGGCAGAGCCTGGGGCCGTCTTCCCCAAGGGGCTGCACAGGGCCCTGTGCCGCAGGCTCCCAAGCCGGGCAGCCGCGTTCCGGGGGCTTCTGAGTTGGAAACGAGGTCCCGCTGTCTCAGCAGGGGCCTGGGTGGATGGCTGGTCAGGGAGCTCAGGGATTCATCTGGTGCCGTCACTGATCGTGTGATCTCGAGCAAGCCACACGTCACCTCGGAGCCTCCGGGTTCTCTTCTGGAAAACGGGCTTGCTGGGGGCTGATGACATCAGATGCGCGCTGCGCAGGCCCTCGCAGACACTGCCAGAAAGCGGGGACGGTAGCCTTCGTCTTCACCAGGACAGTGACCTCAGAGGCCCGCCACAGGCACATCTGGGGGCCAGGCCCGGGGTTCTGGATGAGTCACAGTAGGAGGGGAGGTGAGACCTGGAGAGGGACAGCCTCGGAGGAGCCAGGCTGGGGTCCGGGGTCTGCCAGCTGTCCCGGAGGGCACAGGCAGGGCAGGGAGAAGGCACTGGCAGAATCACTGGCACTCAGCACTTGGAGCCACCCCCAGCTGAGCTCTCCCAGAGCTTCGTGGCCCAGACTCCCCTGCCCAGAAGCAGTGTTCCGGCAGCTCTGAAGAGGGCCCGGCAGGCCCAGCCGTACCAGCCCACACCTGTCAAGACCTGAACACCCTGGGCCCCCACACCCCAGGGCAAGGGGCTGGTGCAGAGGAAGCCCGGGCCACTGCTGCCCAGCAGGCCCCCCACTGAATGGAGGCAGCAGAGCTGACAGGGCACGTGGGGAAGCCTGCTGCATTTACAGAAGCAGAGGCCTCCCAAATACATAAGGGAACCGAGTTGCCAGAGACCCCTCACCCAGGTGGCAGACAGGCAGCCTGGCCAGGCCTGTGAGCACTTCTAGACTGGCCCCGTCCTCGACCCCTGCTCTGGGCGCGCCCCCCCCGCCTCCCGTGTTGATGGTGGGGTATCAGCTTTGGGCAAGTCAGGACACCTCCAGGCCTCAGATCCTCCCCTACGACACTCGGGCCGCCCGCCAGACCCCAGGGACCCCGTGGCCCTGTATGGCAGGTCTTGGTGGAGCAGCCCCATCACCCCCATCCCGCAGCGGGTCCTCGGGGACAGGAAGCTGCCCCAAGGTCTCACCCAGGCAGGTGCCGGCTCCCACTTCCAACAATCAAAAAGAATTTATTCCGGACACGTGGCATGCGGTGCTGGGCAGTGCCCACCGTGGGGGACGGGGTGGAGGGTGGGTTGGGGGCAGGTAGGAGGCCGAGCCCCGAGCCCCCGCCCGGCTACTCGCGGTAGTGCACCCGCTGGTGCTGGATGAGCTGGGAGCTCTGGCCGAAGGCCTTGCCGCAGGCGCCACACGCGAAGGGCTTCTCGCCCGTGTGGGTCCGCAGGTGCCGGAAGAAGTGCGAGCGGCCGCGGAAGGCTTTGCCGCAGTCGGAGCACTCGTAGGGCTTCTCGCCAGTGTGGATGCGCTGGTGCTCGATGAGCACGGAGCTCCAGATGAAGGCCTTGCCGCACTGGCTGCAGGCGTAGGGCTTCTCACCCGTGTGCAGCCGCTGGTGGCGCACCAGGTTGGAGCTCTGGCTGAAGGCCTGGCCGCACTCGCCGCACTTGTAGGGCTTCTCGCCGTTGTGGATGCGCAGGTGCTGCGTGAAGTGCGAGCTGTGGCTGAAGGCGCGGCCGCACTGGCCGCACTCGTAGGGCTTCTCGCCCGTGTGGATGCGGTGGTGCTGGATGAAGCCCGACCAGCCGCGGAAGCGCTTGCCGCACTCGTGGCAGGCGTAGGGCTTCTCGCCCGTGTGGATGCGCTGGTGCTTCAGGAGCAGCGAGTTATACTTGAAACTCTTGCCGCAGGCCTCGCACCTGTGCGGCTTGGCCCCCCGCGCGCTGCCCTGCCGGCTCCGACCGAAGTTGACTCCCAGCTCGGCAGCCCGCTCGGGCGCACCCTCGGGCCCGGCCGCTGCTTGCTGCACGAGCGTCACGCGCCAGGCGCCCCGCGGCTGGGCGCAAGGGACGGCCCCAGGCGGCTGGCCCGCCGGCCGCTCCGCGCTGGATTCAGGCCCGAAGCCGGCGCTGCACCGGGCCCTGCGGGGAAGGCTCCTCAGGAGGCTGCGCAGCGCCCCGCCCGCCCCCTCGTCAGGGGCCTGAGAGCCAGGAGAGCGTGGAGCCTGCTCCGGCTTGGGCTCGGAGTCTGAAATGAGAAACGGCAGAGGCGGATAGTACCCGCATGCCCCCACCGTGGCACGGAGGGACGGGGACGGGGAGTGAGAGCAGAGCTGGACGGGGGGGCTTAGAGGGGACAAGGAGGGGCCAGGCACCCAGTGGATGGGAGACAAGCGGACAGGGGCTCGGAGTGCCGTGCCCAGGAGAGCTGACATAGACACAGGGGTGGGGGGCGTTGCAGGGTGACCCAGAGCTGCTGGGACCATCCACAGTCACCACGGCGGCCGTGCCGGTGCACGGAGCCACAGTGGCAAGACAGACCATGGGGTCACCCTTAGCCAGGAGGAAGCACTAAGTGTTGGTGAGGACCCGGAGCCTGGGGGACGCCAGAGCTCCAGAGGGCGCCTCAAAGCCCTTGCCGAGGATGTGGTCCATATGGGCACAGCTCCTCATGGGGCTGCCCCAGGCCTCGGTGGCAAGTGTGCTGCCGCCCAGCTCCCATGCCCACCCCAGGAGCTTCCCACGCAAATCTCTGGCCCAGGGTCTCTTTCCAGGGACCTGACCTCAGACACCTGCTCCCCACCCCAGGGCCGCCCAGATGTGGGCGAGGGCTCAGCACTGTTAAATCCAGCCATATCACTAACATCGCCCAGAGGGAACCCTGGGAGCTTCTCAAGGGGGAGGTGCAGGGGACCTGGACACAGCTCCAACCAGGCTGAGGGGAGGCCATCTAGGGGATGCAGGAGGAGGAGGGGACACAGGATAACTCGTGGATCTGGGGGGACAGTGGTGCCCTGAGCCAGAAGCCCCAGCCCAAGGCAGGTGGAGGGGAGGGAGGAGTTCCTGATTCACTGTGTCCAGCTGGGGCCGGCAGGAGTCCACGTGGGGCCACTGGCGCAGGTGGCTGTGGGCTGCAGTCACCGCCTCGGGAAGCATCAGTAACTGGACTGGCATTAGAGTGGGGGAGGGGCCACGGGGCAGAGGTGAGCTGATGCCAGGGAAGAAAAGGGGCCCCAGGAAGGGGGTGGTGCCAGCATTGGGGGTGCCACAGAGGTGGGCATTGTGAGGAGCCTGGCACGCGCAGAGCTCTGGTCCCCCAGTAACCCGATTCTGCTCACTCACCGGGCCAGAAGGTGTCTCTGCCGATCTCCACTTCCTCTACGTCTTGGAGATCCAGGTCGGACGGCTGGGAGAGCACCTTAGGGCTGGAGCCAGGGGAGCCTGGGGGTCAGGGAGGCTGGGGCTCACCTCCACCCTCTGGACCACTGCCTCCGCTCCTCTCTGACCGCCACGTGCTCCCGGGCTGTGGCCCTGACACAGGACACCTCCTGGCCCTCCCAATCCCAACAGCAGGCCCGCTGCTTGGGCTTCTCTAGCCACGAATGCCCTTTACCTTCCTTCCCAGCTCGGTTCAAGAGCCTCCTCCTCCAGGGGCCAGCATTGGGAGCTCATTCCCCTTCAGCCCAGTAAGCAGAGCCAAAACCTGGGGGAGCTTTGAAGCGGCCCTCCTGCCGTTGAAGGCGGCTTTGTCACCTTGGTGGGCTGTGGCCCACCCTCCTCCATGCCCCAGCATCCTGCAGTGCTGCTCTGGACCGGCCTCTCAAAGTGCTGGCCCTGCAGGCTCCCACACCCGTACCTCACAAAGCCTTCCTGCCTTGGCCCCAGACCTTTCTGTCCCTCCGGGGCTCTCTGCTGTCCTTGACGAGCGCCCAGAAACAGCAGAGGCAGCTGCTTCCAGCAGGCCCAGCGCACTGGCCCCTGGCTTCCTCAGGCAGAGCCTGAGGAATGGGCTGGGCCCATCTATGAGCCCCTCACCCCTGGGCACACCAGGCTTGGGCACCCAGGACCAAGACCCCCCTCCCACCCAAGACTTGGTGGGGGCAGGGTGGGGGGATGGCCTTAATGCTCAAGGAGCACAGACTGAAAAGGGAGGGGCGTGGGCTCCACTGCCCGAGGCCAGTGGTCAGCTCTCCTCACGCCAGCAGGGGCACCAGGCCCCTTTGGGGGTCTCACCTGTCTCCTCAGTGCTGTGCCACCTTGGTGCCTCACCTGCCCCCTCAGTGCTGTGCCACCCTGGTGCCTCACCTGCCCTCTGCCCACAGCAGAGAGGGTGGCTGGGGGCTGTACTCAAGGACGGGTGTGTCTCTTAGCCCCGTGAGGCCGAATCTGGGTGTCCCCAGCAATGACAATGCAGAGATGGGCACAGAAAGACGCAGGGCTGGGGTGGGCAGAGGCTCCTGTCCACACCCTGTTCATAACACAGTGCCTGGCTGTGACACCCCGTTCATAACAGTGCCTGGCTGTGAGCTTTTCATGGGGCTTTCCAGCCTCAGGCAGGCCTGCCCCAGCTGCGGTGGGGTGACCAGCTTGGCCCACCATGGAGGGGGGACCTCCCCAGTCCAGCCAGCCACTCACTCACCCGACACGCCCTCCCGCCCTCAGGTCGGCCCCTGGGAGACCTTCCGAACCCAGGCTGAGGAGTGAGGGGAGGCCCGATATGAAGGGCTGGGAAGTTCAGCAGGTGGGGGCGGCTGTGCGACGTCCCTTCCTCGAGAGCCGAGGGTCCAGAACTGCTTGGCTGCCCCAAAGCAGGATGTGGGGGTCCCAAACCATCTTTGGGTCTTTCGGATACCCTCCCCATTGTGGAGACAGGCCTGGGGGCACCATGTCACCATCCCCTGGCAGCCAGGGGAGCTGGCTTGTTCCACAGATGGCCAAATACAGGGCAGGCTCCAGCGCCATGCTCCTACAGAGGGGGCGGTGAGGACATCACCTGAGACAGCCTTGCCACCTTTGCCCTGCGCTGGGACACCACTGGAGAGGACCTGGCAGCCCTTTGAGAAAGAAAGTGACCCCGATTCCAGCTTTGTTCCTGGGGCCATGCCCTGGCACTGACAGGCAGGATGTTCCCCGGGCTGTCACTTTAAGAGGGCCAGTGACATTACCAAGATAGGAAGCACGCCAAAGCCGCTGCCAGCTGTAGGGGTGCCCGGAGACACCCTCAGAGTCAAGCAACGCCAGGTGGTGTGCACCGTCTCTACCCTGCTGCGGAACAAGCCGACTCAGGATGGCCCCCAGCTCCCTGGGAACTGCCCTGTGCAGGCAGCAAAGCACTTCCTAGGACCTTCTCTAGGGGAGGATGGGGGTGGCCTAGGGTCAGGTGTGGGCTGCATGGGTCACTGTCATTCCACTGCCTAACCCTGGATCCTGACACCTGCCCACATTCGGGCCATTTCTGCAGAGCTCAGTCACCTGCCACCTGCTGGCTGTGCCCAGGCTGTGCCAGGTCTCCACAGGGTGCACACCCAGACCCTGCTCCCCACCCTGCTGGCTCTATGCAGAAGTACCCCTGCCTCAGTTTCACCACCCCTCACCTGGCCAGTGCCCTCCCACTGTGCTGTGACACAGGGACAGTGTGGCCCGAACTGGAGAAACACCAGGGCTGCCCACCTGCTGGGGCTGGTCTTCCAAGTGGAGGTGAGGTGGCTGTACACGTCTGGGGACAGGCGGCAGGTGGGTGCTTTCCTGGCTGGAAGGGCCTTTGTGTATTAAATGGCACAGCAAGTGCTGTGTGCCCGGGCCTGGACCAGGGTGAGTTAGGGGAGCAAGCTAGGCGCTGGGGGGTGGTCTGTGGGAACCTAGAGTCCAGATCTCAGGTGCCAAGGCCAGGCGCTCCATGTGGAAAGATGCTGTGCCTGTCGCGGGGTGGCCCTGCCCTGCCCATGGGGTCCTCCCTAACAGCCTGGGCACTCAGTAACCCCCACAGGGCTGCAAGCCCCCAAGGGTCCCAGGCCTCCCCTCCCTCACTTCTTCCTGCCCAGACTGCCCCTCCACTCGCAGGACCCCTGGGTAAACCTTCCAGAACCGGCCCAGGCAGTGCTGGCTCTGGTGGGCGTGGCCTTGGGGCACAACACAATCCCTGAGAAGCTGTGTGGGGACCCTCAGTCCCCCAAGCCCAGCCCAGCTCCTGATCTGCATCTCCGTGGGGACCACAGAGGTCCTGGGAGATGAGGAACTGTGGCCTGTTCCCACCGCCTGGTCTCCCCGCTCTGCAAGGCTTGGGCTAGGCCATGGCCCCAAGTCCTTTGCTGTGGGACCCCAGCTTCATGGCTGCAGGGACCACCGCAGAGAACCTTACCCGGCCGCTCCTCATGCCCCTCACGACCCTCCCCACTGATAAACGGCTCCTACTTGGGACCTCCTCTGCTCCCTGATACGTCACGGCCTGGTGCCCAGCAACGCACCCACCAGAGGCTCCTGAGGTGACCACATGTGCCTGGGGTGGGCCCCAGGAACCTCGGTCTGGCCCACTGCAAACTTCTTTCTGGGAGTTGGGAGGCTGCGGCTCCAAGTCCTGTCTTGATCCCTAATTGGCAGGATGGCCCTGGGCAAGTTCCAGAAACAGCGAGGTCTCCCCTGCTTAGGAATCTGTGGCCCCTGGGCATTCCCAAGGAGCAGAGGAAGCTGGAAACGCCCAGAAACAGCCCCTGCCTTCACCCAGTGCCTGGAAGTTGGGACAGTAGCTGCCCATTGCTGCGGCCTGGCCCCGTTCTCTCTACACCAGGCCTATCAGCATGAAGAGGGGATGAAGGCCGCCCCCTTATCTGGCTCTGGCTACCTGACAGCCTTCCCAGGCCCCGCTGTGCCTCAGCCACAATCTCCTCCTGCCACAGTCTCTTGCTGGGGGAAAGCAGCCACACTTGCTGTTCTCAGGGCCCAGCTCATCTGTCCTCCCTGGATGTTGTTTCTAGCACAGCAAGGAGACGGCAGAAGCTGCTGGTGCAGCCCCCACTCCCTCCCACGGGGCAAAACCCCTGGGGGTTTCAGGGCACTCGGACATGGCTCCAGTGCCCAGGAGGCTTCCAGGCCTGTGGGGCTGGGGACTCATGCCTGGCTTTCTGGGCCTGGCTGCCCACAGCTGGTGGAGACAGGGCTGGGGGTAGCGCAACCCTGCAGGCTCAGGGGGCCTGGCCCCAGGCCCCTCCATGCTCCCCAGCCCACCCTCCACCTGGGCGTCAGTTTCTTATCCTGCAGAAACTGGCCTGCAGCCACCTCAGTGTGTGTCCTGTGCTGTGCCAAGATGATCTGCTGGGCTGTGCCCTCCCTCAGAAACTGTCCCCCTAGAGAAGTCACACCTCATCAGGCCTGGGGGGGTGCCAGGGCATGCCCTGAGTCTGCTGACCTCCTGGCCTTGTCTCTGGGCTTCTGTGTCCCCACTGGTAACGGGACAGGAGAACTCCTCTCAGCCATTGTACAGATGACATGAGAGGGCAAGGGTGGGCCCTGAGATTCTGACTAAGGGGTGAGGAGCACGGCCCTCAGGGGCATGGGCTGGAGGCCCAGCCACAGTGTGTGCTGCAGGGGCTTGGGATCCTTCCAGGTAGCCCCTGGCCAGGTCCACCAGGACAGGCAGCCCAGGCAGCCCACGGGCGCCCCTTCCCAGCCTCCTCGCAGTCCCTGGGGAGTTGCTCGGGACACCGCAGCGGAGACGGCAGGGCTGCAGGGGAGTGGATGCCAAGCTGCCTGGCTCCCTGCTCCTCTAACTCACCCTGGTCCTGGCTCCTTGGGGGAGCCCCCCGGACTCTCTGTCCCCATCTGAGTGCCCACCTGAGGGCCCCATGCAGCGCAGCTGCTCTCCACAAGCCTCAGTGGTCCCTTCAGCCACCAGGACTCTGACTCCCCAAGAGGGAGAACCCTGTGCCAGGTTGCCCCCATTCCTGGGCCAGGCACGGGCTCTCCAGGCTTGACCTATATGGGGCCTTGCCCCTGCTGTCAGCAGCTCATGTGCTGGGTTGGGCCACGAGGGCCGAGGCCAGGCCTCCTGTGGAACACCCAGCAGAGATGTAGCCTCAGGATCCCTGACCTCTGAGAGGGAGTAGAGCCAGGGGCACTATGGGGCTGGGACTCCCCCACACCTCAACTCCCAGAGCCTGCCATGTGACCATGAGGCCACAACATCAGGGGTGGAGCAAGGCTGGCGCTCTGTCCCTGCGAGTCCCGGGGGATCACACCCAAACCAGCTTGGCAAGGACTCTGGCTGCTCCACTTCCTGAATGACAACACACACTCAGAGGGGCGATGCCTTGCTCCTGGTCACGCTGGATCCAGATTTTGAGGCCACTTTCCCTCCTATACCTCAACTCAGGAAAGAAACAATGCGGGGAGCTGTCCCTAGGGAGCGAGAGCTCAGGCTTGGCCCCAGCCTCAACCACCGCTGCCCCAACCCAACCCGCGCCGAGCCCCTGGCCTGAGGGTGTGGGAACCCCAGCTGCTGAAGGAGCTGCATACAGGTGTCTGGAGGCGCCTCTCAAGTCAGCCAGCGTGGCAGGTCAGGAGGAGACAGGGCAGGGGACGTGAGGGCAGGGGATGCAGGGTGGAGGGCGCACAGCGGGCTGGGTGAGTACCATGTTGATGCCCATGGAGGTGAAGCTGAGGCTCGTGGTGCTGGGTTCCAGGTGTCCCCGGTGATGAGAGACTGACAGGGGACGGGACAGAAGGGGACTCCTGAATGTCCCCTAGGGCTGCCATCTTCCCTGAGACCTGCTGAAGGTGTCACACCTGGGACCTGGGGAAAATGAAAACCATGGCAGATGAGGGGATTGGGAGGAATGTCGGGGGGATGGTGCAGGAGGAGGCAACATGCCAGCTCTCCAAGGGGAGATGGAGGTTTATCCACTCCAGGAGGAGCAAGGATGGAGGATGAACCCACAGAGACACATAGGCCTGGGGTGAGGCAGTTGGGGGACCTGGCACATTTATTCAGTAAGGAATAACGCTTTGAGTGGCTGGGGACGGTGGCTCATGCCTGTAATCCCAGCACTTTGTGAGGCCGAGGTGGGTAGATCATGAGGTCAGGAGTTTGAGACCAGCCTGTCTAATATGGTGAAACCCCATCTCTACTAAAAATATAAAAATTAGCTGGGCGCAGTGGCGGGCACCTGTAATCCCAGCTACTTGGGAAGCTGAGGCAGGAGAACAGCTTGAAATCAGGAGGTGGAGGTTGCAGTGAGCCGAGATGGCGCCCCTGCACTCCAGCCTGGGAGACACAGCAAGACTCAAACAACAGCAGCAGCAGCAGCAGCAGCAAAGGAGTAACGCCTTGGAAGGCGCGCTTAGGAAGCAGCCACCGCCTGGGCGGCACAGCAGACGCCTGTGGGGGCTGAAGCGAAGCTCCTGTCCCAGCAGAGGCTCTGGCATCTCCTTCCAGCCCGTGGCATCACCCCTCCCCCAGAGAAAGGCATAGGGAGTCTTCCAGAAAAACCTCAGCTGCTGGCCCTGTGGGAGGGCTGAAAACCGAACCATGCCTGCTGCGCATGAGTGTTTTGGAGGAAATCTTAATAAGGTTTTTCCCGAACAGCAGAGAAGAGACGTTTCCAGAGGGCAACTCTCTTCCTCAGACCCTACAGAGCCCTCAGAGACTGCAGGCTGGAATCCCCTAGTCCAGCCCTGCAGCAGCACTGGGAGACTCACTCAGGGCTCCAAGACACTTCTTAGTTTACTTTGCAAAAACGGCTTGAGTCCAATGTGAAAAGTGACTTTTCTTTCATACTGTGATAGAGTAGGAACTCCTAATCTGGGGCAGGGAGTGAAGAAAGGAACGGGAAAAGAGGACAAAAGTTAACGGATACTCAGATCTAAGAACAGCAGACAGTGCCTGCTTCGAGGAAGTGGGAGAGGCAGCTCCCACACGGCCGCCACCCCAGTGCCCGGCTTCTGGGCCAGCCTCCATCCCCTAATGATGGGAAGGGTCAGGTCACCAGGTAGGTGGCCACTGGGTGCAGGTCCTCCACCCTGAAGTCACATCTCAAGTTACTTAGTTAACTTACTGGGGACACCTGGTAAAAGGGCCTGCTCGATCACCCCGACCCTGGCTTGGCCCCCAGGACTGAGCAGAGGCGACCATCACAGCGTGGACGCCCCTTCACCCCCAGGGACGCACAAACTCTGAGCTCCAGACTGAAGGGGGAAGGGCACTCCTGCCAGCGGCTCGGGGGAAGCATCCTCTGCCCCTCTGTTCCCAGCCCCGTGGGAGCGGACCCAATCGCCGGGAGCTCGGCACAGAGCGCGTCCGCCCGGCGGTGCGGCGCTGGGGTCCGGCGGCTCCTCGCTCCGGAGCGGCGGGACCTCCGGGCCTCAGTTTCCCATCTGCAGAGTGGCGATGACGACAGCTGCCGTCACTGGGTGCCTGGGAAAGGCGCCCTGCGAACGGACACCCGCTATCGCCAGGGCCGCTGGGCGGGGCGGTCCGCTGCTGCTCCGCGACCCCCAGGAGCCCACCCCGCTCCCCGGGCTTGGCCCAAGGCCAAGGTCACGGCGAGCGGCGGCTGCAAGGGCCGCACGGCCCGGCTGGGCAGGGCTGCACCGCGGAGTACGGCGCACGAGCTCGGACTGGGCTGGTCCCAGGCACCCGGAGCCGCCGCCGCCGCCCGCGCCCACTCACCTTCCGAGCGGGAGGAGGACGCCGCGCGCCGGACGGAAGTGTCCGGCCCCGCCCCACTCCGCCCGGCCGGCGCGCACTTCCGGGACGCTCTGGGCCCCGGGAGGACCGCACGCCTCGGTGGCCGTGTGGGGGCGGGGCCGGGAGCGAAGAGGAGGCCTTTCCCCGCCCCTCCCCTCGTGGGCTGCGCCCGCGCGTGGCTTTCGCGTACACGCTGGCCCGGATCCCGCCCGCGCCTGCAAAGCGCCCGGGCGCGGGGAGCGGCGCTGCGTGGGGCGCAGAAGCCGGCGCCTCGGAGCCTCCTTCCCGACGCCGGCCCTGCACCGCCCGGGGAGCCAGCGCGGGGCCGGGCTTCGGGAGATGACGGCGCCGTCCCCACGCTGCCCGCGGCCCCTCCGTGCACTCCAGGCCTCCGGGGGTCCTCGGCTGGAGTTGCTTCCACGTTCAGCTCGCGAGTCCCCCCCGCCGCCCTCTTGGGTTCCCTCCTCGGGATGTGTCCGCAGCGATGGTCACCGGCGGCCGGGAACCGCTGCGAGACGCGCGACCTCCCGCTCCCCTCGCGGGGGCCCCAGCGCCCTCGATTCTGCCTGCTTTCCAGGGGCGTCCCCGGGAGCCTGAGGAGGATGTTACAGGTTCCCCAAAGCCCCTTCATGGACTCCTTCCTCATTTTCCTCTTGTTCAGCCACAGTTTCTCCCTCAGTTCTGTGCTTACGACCTGAAAAGAGAAAATTGTCACTTTCTGGGAAAAATAAACGGCCGGGGAGGGTTCTTTGACCGTTTTGAGCAGGGGTGCAGAGAGCCGAGGCGAGGGGACCCCTGAGCTGGAGGGGCACGCGGAGCAGAGGGCGGGGGGGCCTGCAGACGGGCAACAGCTGCCAGGGTGGACGCTCAGGGCTGTGTGGGTGGAGGAGCCCCCAGGCTGATAATATGTAAAAATCTCTAAACTCTACCGCAAGAAAACAAACATTCCAGTTAGAAAATTGGCAAGAGCCGCAACAGACGTTTGACCGAAGAGGGCACAGGGATGGCAATAGGCTCGGGAAGGGATGGCTGTCAGGGAAGGGCCGGCCAGCATCGCGGTGGGTGCCACTGCACACTTGCCAGGTGGCTCAGGTAAAAACTGCTAACAAGTGCCAAGCATCACTGAGGTCGCGGAGCAGCTTGGGACATCGCCAGTGGTAAGGCAAAGTGGTGCTGCCATTCTAGAAATTGGCTTGGTAGTTTCTTAAAAAGTTATAAGTAGCGCCGGGCGCAGTGGCTCACGCCTGTAATCCCAGCACTTTGGGACACTGAAGTGGGTGGATCACCAGAGGTGGGGA